>NC_000004.12:7877986-8184483 GCF_000001405.40 Homo sapiens
TGCTCAGAACACACACATGGAAGCAGTGAGCACAAACACACATGGCTGGTGGGCATGGCGTACCAAAATCTCACTACGGCGCCAAAGCAAGAAGGGAAGAAGTTCTTGCAACCAATTCTCCATTTTAAACTTTTAATACAAACATGTCTTTCCCCTTAAGATCTAAGGGTAATAACCAACACACACTCTGGAGATTTTCCTATAAATAAAGGTCTGGTGAAATATGTGTGCCTGAGCAGGGGGTGGCATCGTACTACTCTGGTCTGTGGACACGCAGCAGGTGTAGGACACCCACGTCTCCTCTCCACCCTCCAGAGCTATTGCTGTTTCTTACCAGCTGTGCAGCAGGCTCTCTGGAAGATCCAGGAGTCCAGGCATTCGGATCCAGTTTCCACTGATGTATTCCGAGAGTGGCCTTCCCCTTATACCACCTCAGACTTATCTTCACCATCCACCTTTCCACTGCCCGACACAGGCTCTATCCTTCTATCAGGAGGAGGAGCTGCTTCTCCAAGGTCAAGAACAACAGGTGCCCTTGTTTTCCTCCAGGGCCTCCAGCCAAATCTCCCTTTACAATACAGGCTCTCCTATTTTCCCCTAGAAAGTACCGTGGTCTCTGAAGCTCCTTACCGATGTTTAATAGAAATCTCCAGCTACCGTTAAGTACTGACCATGTACCAGGCAATAGGCTAAGTGCTTTACAGACATCTTAACTAATCTTCATAATAACCTTTCAAGATAGACACTGTTTTCACCATTTTTACAAGTGGAGAAACTGGTACTAAGAAAGGTTACGTTTTTGCCTAAGGTCACACAGTTAAAAATAAGAGCCAGAATGGGAATCAGAACCAGCTGTCACTACTTTTTATACCGTAACACTGACTCTCTAAATTTTGCTCCCGGTGGAAGAAGCTCCTAATGCCTCTTAGGTTACATCCCTCATAGGTTACGTTCAAATAACCTATCTCCCACCACACAGGACAGGCTAGCTACACAAGTTATATCCCTCAAGGTCATTACTCAAATTGTGTTTGACATGTTTATTTTACTAATAGTTCTTACACTAAAAAATGAAATCTTTGAATTGGAAGAACAGCTGTAGATAGTTCACCCAACTTCCTCAATGTACTGAGGAGAAACTGAGGCTCAGGGAACTGGAAAGACTGAAGCAAGGGCCCAGCCCACTCACCTCTCCCGTCTGCACAGCCCAAAGACTGGCCAGAGGGTTCTGCACACAGGACAATAACCAGTCACATTCCAATATCCAAAATAACTGTCTGCATTTTATCTCATCTGAGCCTCACAATCTAATCATCATTGAGATATTACAGACGGTAGGAATCAAATGAACAGAGGTGATGTGGCTGCCCCAAGGCAGCAAGCTAACAAGAGCCATATCTACACGTGAACCACCTCCTCTGTTCGACACCCCAGCCCCGACACCTGCTGCCCTGTTCTGGACAGAATGGCGAGGTCACCAAACACAGACTGGCATCAAGGACACAGGAATAAATCACTGAATTCCAGAAGAAAAAATCTTCCCCAAACACCGACACCAAACAAAAGATCTGACCACGGAATTTAGCATTCCCAAAGTGACGGCAAAATTACCTGGAGGCGTTTCTGCATATATTTTATACATTAGAAAAGCAAAACTCCCTTCTTCCTAGCAAAAGGCCTCTTTGGACTAATTAATTATCTCTGCTTGCTTGCTTTTTTTTTTTTTTTTTTGTGAGACAGGGTCTCTCTCTGTTGCCCAGGCTGGAGTGCAGTGATGCGATCACATATCACACCTCACACTCCCAAACAGCTGGGACTGCAGGCACGCACCACGACGCCCAACTAATTTTTTAAATTTTTTGAAGAGACAGGGTCTCACTATTTGCCAGACTGGTCTTGAACTCCTGGGCTAAATTGATCGGCCTGCCTCGGCCTCCCAAAGTGCTGGGATTCCAGACATGCGCCCCGCCGCCCAGCCTTTCTGCTTTCTTTCACTCAAGTGGTATATCCCACAGCCCTAAAGAAGCAAGGGAAATAAGAATTAGAACTAGACATCCCAGGAGACAAAGAATTCAACAAAGCAAACACACTTCCTGCTTAACCAATCCCTTCACTATTTACAGAAAATCTCTCTGGCTCAGGCCGGGCAGTGAGTTCATTTATTTCAACAAAATCAAAGAAATGACTTATGGTTTGTGGGAACCAAAACTACTTTAAAGGCATTTTCTTTATTTACCTTCATGACTCAATCATGGATTTGAAAGCTAGGAGGGACCCTGGAACCCAAATGCCTTTTTTTTTTTTTTTTTTTGAGACGGAGTCTCACTCTGTCACCCAGGCTGGAGTACAGTGGCATAATCTTGGCTCACTGCAATCTCTGCCTTCTGGGTTCAAGCAATTCTCCTGCCTCAGCCTCCTGAGTAGCTGGTATTATAGGCACCCACCACCACACCCGGCTAATTTTTGTATTTTTAGTAGAGACGGGGTTTCACCATGTTGGTCAGGCTGGTCTGGAACCCCTGACCTGATGATCCACCCACCTAGGCCTCCCAAAGTGCTGGGATTACAGGCGTGAGCCACCGCACCCGGCCCAAATGCCTTTATTTCACAAGTGTGGTAACTGAGGCCCAGAGAAGAAAGGCGGCCTGGAGTCACAAAGCATTGGTAAAGGGGTGAGAGCCGGGAACGGGGTGACCAGACCGCCAGTCAAAGCGTTCCTTGCTGTGCACGGAACTGTCTTCCTCACACAGGAACTCCAAGACTGAGGAGGCTAAAGCATTGTCTGTCTCCGCTCTCCTACAAACCTGAGAAAGAAATGTCTACTGTTACTGGCTCTGAGAAAACACTATGAACTACCCATCACTTCCTGCTGCATCTGAGAAACACGGGGAAAGTTGCCACGGGCGACAGGCTCTGCAGAGGCTGCCACATCCATATTCCCCACAGGCTTCACACTTTACTGATGTGCAAAACACCTATTGCTATTTGCATCCTGAATTACACTCAAGGGCCTTGCTACAACCAACACAGTTGCTGGTGGCCTTTTGATTTCCTTTCTATTTTTATCTGTGATCCTTCCCATATGGTTCTTCCCTTCAAATTTCTAACCCGCTATAGAAACTCCCAGGACCTAGACCCAGGCAACTCCCCATTATCTAATCTAAATTGGGGGGTGGGAACAGTATGTGCATTTTCCCAATTTTCCTGCTCCCTCTGTACGTCCCCGCTCCCCTGTCTAGTCTACACCACTCATCCCCCAGCATTCCAACCTGCTGGCCCTCATGGGGTGACCCTCTGATAGCACCCGCCACTTGAGTCAAGGCTACCTCTCCTGCCAGGCACCCCCACATGGCATCACCTCCCTGACCTCTCCTCACCCCTCTGAATTCTGCCAATGCCAATGAGCACAGCTCACATCCCACCTCTTGGTGAAGCCGTCCCTGATCATTCTATCCCTGCCAATGCCACTCATTTGGCCCTCATCCTCCACTGCTCCTTAGAAACCCGGACTCTGGGCCAGGCGCGGTGGCTCCCACCTGTAATCCCAACACTTTGGGAGGCCAAGGTGGGCAGATCACCTGAGGTCAGGAGTTCGAGATTAGCCTGGCTAAGATGGCGAAACTCCATCTCTACTAAAAATACAAAAATTAGCCGGGCATGGTGGCACACGCCTGTAGTCCCAGCTACTCAGGAGACCAAGGCAGGAGAATCACTTGAATCCGGGTGGTGGATTGCAGTGTGCCAAGATCACGCCACTGCACTTCAGCCTGGGCGACAGAGTGAGACTCCATCTCAAAAAAAAAAAAGAAAAAGTAAAAGAAACCTGGACTCTGTCACCACATAAACCTGGATCCACATCCCAGCTGATTCTTCCTAGTTGTGTGACCTTGGGTAAGTAGCCCCCCCAAATTATCTCATCCTTAAAGCGAGATGGATATTATATATCTCAGCATCATCATGAGGATTAAATGAGCTAACACACATGCACAGCCAAGCATTTCATCAGTGGTAACTACAACCGTCATTATTAGCACATGTTCATCTTGTTGGAACTTCACTTTAAGACACGGGATCCATGAATGCAGTCAATGAACACGACCCCATACCTCCTGTCCTCTAAAACTATGAAGTCCTAAAGTAAGTACCACACCCTCCACAAGAAAAGTCATGACACACTCCTCTGTGCAACTCTATGCAGATACGCTTGAAACTAGGTTAAATAGATAATTCATTTCATAAGAAATTTCGTAAGAAAAAAATAATTTACCAGAATTACCCTCACAAAAAAACAAAAAACAAAAAAACACCAGACCCAGGTAGTTTTACAGGGGAATTCTACCAAACCTTAAACACCAAGGCTACTGCATAAATTGTTCCAGAGGATAAAATACACAGAACATAACCAAATTCTTTTTTTTTTTTTGAAGCAAATATAAATGTGATATCTAAACCGAATAGAGATAGCACAAAAAAGAAAACCAAAGACCACTTTTCCTTACATCAGTGCAAATATCCTAAATAAAATTTTAGCAAACAGAAGCCTACACATTACTACCATGCCCTTACCAAATGAGATTCACTCTAGAAATGCAGGGTGGGTGCGGTGGCTCACACCTGTCATCTCAGCACTTTGGAAGGCCGAGGCAGGCAGAGCACAAGGTCAGGAGATCAAGACCATCCTGGCCAACATGGCGAAACCCTGTCTCTACTAAAAATACAAAAATTAGCAGGGCGTGGTGGCACGTGCTTGTAATCCCAGCTACTCAGGAGGCTGAGGCAGGAGAATCGCTTGAACCTGGGAGGCGGAGGCTGCAGTGAGCCGAGATAGAGCCACTGCACTCCAGCCTGGTGACAGAGCAAGACTCCATCTCAAAAAGAAATGCAAAGGTGATTCAATATTAGAAAATCTACTAATAGGCCAGGCACAGTGACTCACACCTGTAATCCCAGCACTCTGGGAGGCCTAGTCAGGCAGATTGCTTGAGCCAGCGAGTTTGAGACCAGCCCAGACAACATGGTAAAACCCCATCTCTATAAAAAATACAAAAATTAGCCAGATGTGATGGCACACACCTGTAGTCTCAGCTACTTAGGAGGCTGAGGCAGGAGGATCACCTGAGCCCAGGGAGGTTGAGGTTACGGTGAGCCATAAGCGCATCACTGCACTCCAGCCTGGGCAACAGAGTGAAACCCTATCTCAAAAAAAAAAAAAAAAAAAAAAGAGGAGGAGGAGGAAAGACAGAAAGAAAATCTACTGATATATTCACCATATTATTATCTAATGAGAAGATAATGCAATTGTTCCACAGATCATGAAAAAGCCTTCAACAAAATTTAATAATCATTCCTGATATTTTTAAGTCAATACACTTGGAATTGATAGGCACTTAACTTGATAAAATACATGTACTAAGATTAAAACACCCACACCCAAAAAAACAGCATCTTATTTAATGAGGAAACACTTCAAGAATTCCCAGTAGGGTCAGAAACAAGTCAAAGAGGCCCATTTCCCCCACTACTTTTTAACACTGTAGGAGAAGTGTTAGTCAAAGCAATAAGAAAAGAGAAAACAATCAGAAACTTAAAAAAAATTATTTCTATTGGCAGCTGATGTGAAAGTAAACCTGGTAAAGCAGGAGACGTGAAAACTGTAGCTTTCTGCATGCTTATTTTATATCAAACAATAAATAGCTAGAAGATATCATGGAATATCAGCACCCATTTATAAAACAATAAAAAAGTAAACTACTTTAAATAATTTAGCAAGAAATGCGCAAAACTTACATAGGGAAAACTTAAAACTTGATTGAAAGATGAAGAAGTAAATGTGAACAAATGGAAAGATGTCCCCTTGCCTTTGGATAGGACAACTTAACATCAAAAAGATGTCAATTCTCCCCAAGTTAACAAATATATTTCGAGCAATAGCAATAATACACTGAAATCATTTGGATGTCCCCTCCAAATCTCATGTTGAGATGTAATCCCCAGTGTTGGGGATGGGGCCTGGCTGGTGGGAGGTGTTGGGTCACGGGGGTGGATCCCTCATGGCTTGGTGCTGTCCTTGCAATAGTGAGTGAGTCCCACTCAGGAAAAGTGGTTGTTTAAGTGTGGGGCAACTCCCCCACTCCCTCTCTTGCTCCTGCTCTGTCATGTGAGACACCTGCTCCCCCCTTCACCTTCCACCATGACTGGAAACTTCCTGAGGCCTTCCCAAAAGCGGAGCAAATGTCGGCACCATGCTTGTAAAGCCTGCAGAACTATGAGCCAATTAAATCTCTTTTCTTTAGAAATTACCCAAGTTCAGGTATTTCTTTATAGCAATGCAAGATAGGCCTAACCCGTATATCAACAAATTTTGTTTTGTTTTGTTTCTGGAACTAAACAAATTGATTCTAAATTTCATATGGAAAAAATAAGAATGCAGAGATGTCTAAGAACAATGAAGAGAGAATAGCCAGCCCTGCCAACTATTTAAAAATAATAAAGGCTCATCATTAAAACCATTTGATACTAACATATTTAAATTCCCAGTCGGATCCATAGAACAGAATAAAAAGTCCAGTAATAGACCCAAATACACACAGAAATATAAGAAAAATTGTCACCTTAATAACTGGGGTTGGGACAACTGGTAACTATTTGGGAAAAAGAAAAGATGAAACTCCTTACCTTACGTACACCAGAAAAACTCTAAAGATACTTGAAAACCCAAACAGAAAAAAATGAAACAACTCAAGTTCTAGAAGAAACAGATGAATTCTTTTATAACCTGGGTGTGGAAAAAGATTTTCTAATTCTGACTCAAAATCAGACGTAAAAAGAAAAGACTGATCAATGTGCCTACAAAAAGTATGAGCTCCTGGAGAATGACAAACATGGATTACGGACTCCTATCCCCTGCCCTGCCTAGCAGTGAACTCATACACACGGTGCATTCCCTAAACTTCTTGGCCCACCACACCTCTGTGCTTTATGCTGACTCTCTGCAGAGGAGAGGCTGGGTCAATGGTTACACCTTTCTTTGACAAAGGCAGGACGCTGGAGAACTGTTTCACAAAAGCTCATCTCATCGCTCTCTAGATTTCAGGCTCCAATTAAGAAACAGTTCCCAAACCATGACCAACCTGCTTTTCAGAAAAATCACCCTGGTTTGCTACACTCTTCTCAGTGACTTCTCCGGATCCTGTATAAAAATCTTAATTAACCTGGACTGTGCTTATTTTCTAGATTGTCTCTTTCCACTCTGCTTATGTGTCACACTTCAGGCCTTCTCAATCCCTCAGTTTCCCACAAATATCACGCCTGCTTCTGCCCCAGGCCTCTGCACGTGCCACTGCTCTCTGCCCGGTATGCTTAACCCTGTGTGTCCCTGCGTCGTCCCACACACACATCACTACCACACCTTCCTTCACCTGGCTGTCTCACTGAGGTGCTACACTTCAAGACTCAGCTGCGTCTCCCCCGCCTCAGGCCGACCATCACCGCCTCTCTCCCGCTATGCTGTAATAACAGGCTAATTTGTCTGTCTCCTCCACTAGCCAGTAGACAGTTGGAAGACAGGGACCACTGTGTGACTTCTCTCTTTGCCCAGAATGTCAAGCACGATGCCTGATGTGGAAACAAGAACATGACACTCAGTATATGTTTGTTGAATTAATTCACTTTTATGTTTCCAGTTCTCCATAATAGACAACATTCCTGAGATCTGCTTCAAAGAGAAAATTGCAGAGAAAGATGCCATGGCTTGTCCTCTCATACTTAGTAACCATGTCTTTTGTGATAGTCTCAGAACATACAAAAATTCGTGGTGAAAGACTAATTCTGATGAATTCCTTTTCTCGAGCAAGTTGATCACCACCTGTTCAGGGTCCTCTCTGTGTGAGAATACTCGGTGTTCCAAAGGGTATCAGAACTCGAGTGGCACTGAAGCAAAGGAGCTGTGTTCGAGCATGGTCCTTGCATATTTTCCCTTATAGGGTTACAGCTCAGACTCTCCATGCAGACTCTTCCAATTATTTCCACAGGCCTCCGCAGATCATCCAAATGCGCTGCTTAAAGGTAGATCTAAGAAATCTCAGAAAAAGCAGCATAGCTTTAGGCACTGTCTGGTTGGAAAGCTTCCCTCAGCTGGACTGCATCTAAAATTCTTTTTGATGACCATTATTTGAACGACTGGATGATTTTGAATACAAGTCATTAAACTTCTTTGATTCCCAGTTCCGTAATGTATAATGTGGGGATAATAACAGTTATGTGCCTACCAAGGCTGCAATGAACGTCTAAGGACTGCTGTAAATAAAAACCTCTGGCTTTGGGGACACTCAATTTACAGTAGTTTAATTTGCACCTAAAAAGGGAAAGCAAATCAAATCTATTTATAGCTCTCCAGTGTCTCAACAGAACCTATGACAATCGCTGTGCAGTTTCAACTCTGAAAGTGGGATCTTTAAAAGATTTCTCAATATCCCAAAGGAAAGCCTGTGTTTATAAAAGGGATCTGTGCATGTGTGTATATTCTAGGTCCTGGGAATGTTCCTTTCTGAATTCTAAGGAGCCAGCAAGGAGTCTTCAAAGGAACTGGTGTAAACTCCACAGAACACTTTACTTCGGGAAATTAGCCTGACCCTTAAAAGTCAGATTAATTAATGGATGGACATACAAGCCCTGATGGAAAATATCCTTCTATTGTTCTGTAGAAGGCAAAAAACAGGACCTAGATCTGGGTATGTTTTTTGCTTATCATAATAATATACAGAACGTGATAATGGGTTACAGAAGCCAGACCTCCTGATGCCTAGGCTGGGAGAAGGTTATTGACATAAACCAGGCTGGTTGCTAACAAAAGCTTTAAATATGATATCGAAAGCACAGTGTTTCCCTTCCATTTACAGAAGGTCAATTTAGTTCAGTAACAAGTTATTAAACACTATGTTCACAACACTGAACTCAGAATTTAAAGACAAGTGAGATGTTACCCCTGACATCCAAGGGCTCACAACCTAGAACAGCAGACACATACCTGGACTCACAGAACCCTTATTCTAGGAAAGGAAGAATCACAAAAGGTTTCTAGAAAAAATGGCATTGATGGATCTCCACTTTTGTAAAGACCCTTCCAGAGGCAGCTTTAAAGATGAACTGGTGGAGTGGGAGACTGGAGTAGGAAGGGGCACACCAGTCAAGAGAGGGCAAAGAATGATAGGAACAGGAGAATGGAAAGAGGAAATGCAAATTTACACTCTATTTATTGTCACATATTTTGAACATTCACTAAAAACAAGAACAATTAAGTCACTGCAAAATATTTGGGTATCTAAGTGTGGGGTACCCAATAATAAGCAAAGCAAACGTGATCCCAAGTTAGAGACAAGCAGTACGCAAATAAATATAAACACACAGAAATGACGATGGGTGTTACAGGAAAATGCATCTAACCAACAATTTTATGTCAAATTTTCAAAATCTCTGATTTTCTACTCTGACAAATCAATTAAGCTAAAATAAATCAAAGTTGGAACAAAGCCACCAATATAATGTTAAAAAGTATTCAAATGTAAAACCAATTGAGCCAAAAATAGCATAATGATGTAACCATTTGGAATGAGCATTTATGAGGCTTTAAATCATTTTTATATTACTATTTTAAGGATCAGCACTGCCAGCACTGCAAACTTAAACTCAGAATATTCACGTACGCATATACTCTTACTGGGCAACACATGGTTTCAGTATTTTCTTAGACACAAAGGAGGAATTTGTCTTTCTTCTGGCTTAGTACGATTATGCTATTATAGTTTTTTAAATTGTCATACTATTTGTTTTTATTTCATAAAGAACAATTTTTTTTTTTTTGAGATGGAGTCTCGCTCCATTGCCCAGGCTAGAGTGCAGTGGCACAATCTCAGCTCACCATAACCTCTGTCTCACAGGTTCAAGCGATACTCCTGCCTCAGCCTCCCAAGTAGCTGGGATTACAGGCACGCGCCACCACGCCCGGCTAAGTTTTGTATTTTTGGTAGTGACATGGTTTCACCATGTTGGCCAGGCTGGTCTTTCATTCCTGGCCTCAAGTTATCTGCCCACCTCGGCCTCACAAAGTGCTGGGATTACAGGCGTGAGCCACCACGCCCAGCCCCATAAAGAACAATTATTAATTTCAGGAATGCTTTGTTTCAACACAAAAACTTGGATTTTCAAAAATGAAATTGTGACATTTTAGAAAAACAAGTTATTTAATCTACAGAAAGGACATTATGATTCACCTAAACGCACCAAAACACAAAGTGTCTTAACTGCTCTTCCTTCCCCAGCAACTCTCCTCACCCCTTCTGTTATAAATACACTTCCACCTGCTCTGAATGTGTGGCTAGGAGGCTACCCACCAATAAATTCTGAACTCCTCCTATTACAAGGATCAGTAAGGAGAGAGGGGACATGGGTCACACAGGTACAGACATTAATATGACCATAAGGAAATATTATGAATAGCTTTATGCCCACAAATTCAAAAACATGGATGAAATGGGCAAATTCCTTAAAAGATGCAAACTTTCAGAAACGGAAAAGAATAAACAGACTATCTGAACAGCTCTATATTAAAGAAAACTCCAGCCCCAGGCAGCTTCACTAGTGAATTCTAGCAAATATTTCAGGAGAGGTAATACAATTTTCTACAAACTCTTGCAGAAAATTAAAGGGAAGGGCCAGCAAATAACTCAGAAAAAAGACATTACAAGGAACCAAAAACAGACTAACACACCTCATGAACACAGACAGAAAAATTGTTAACAGTTTTTTTTTGTTGTTGTTGTTTTTTGAAACAGAGTCTCACTCTGTTGCTCAGGCTGGAGTGCAGTGGCATGATCTCGGCTCACTGCAACCTCCGCCTCCCAAGTTCAAGAGACTCTCCAGACTCAGCCTCCCAAGTAGCTGGGATTACAGGTGCCCACCACCACCCCCATCTAATGTTTGTATTTTTTAGTAAAGACGGGGTTTCACCATGTTGGCCAGACTGGTCTCGAACTCCTGACCTCAAGTGATCTGCCCGCCTCAGCCTCCCAACATGCTGGGATTACAGGCATGAGCCATTGTGCCTGCCATTAACAAAATTTTTAGCAAATTAAATTAAATAATATCCAAAAAGGATAACACATTAAGACCAAATGGAGTTTACCCTTGGAATTCAAGGTTGGTTTAACACTGGAAAATCATTAAGTATAATTCACCATATTAGCAGATACTAAAATGAGGAATACAGGGGGGTTGTTTTCTAGTAAATCTAATAAAAGGCATCTGCCTGTAATCCCAGCACTTTGGGAGGCCAAGGGGGACGGATCACGAGGTCAGGAGATCCAGATCATCCTGGCTAACATGGTGAAACCCCATCTCTACTAAAATTACAAAAAATTAGCCAGGCGTGGTGGCACGTGCCTGTAGCCCCAGCTACTCGGGAGAGGAGGCTGAGGCAGGAGAATCATTTGAACCCAGGAGGTGGAGGTTGCAGTGAGCCAAGATCGCACCACTGCACTCCAGCCTGGGCAACTCCATCCCAAAAAAAAAAAAAAAAGAAAAAAAAAAAGGCATACATATAAAAACTAAAGTTTTTCATATTCTTTATCTCACTTTACGATTAAAACTCATCAAACTATTCTTTAAACATGTGAGGTTTATTGTACATCAACTGTACCTCAATGAAGCGTTTTTTTTTTTTTTAAAAAAAGAACAATTGAAAAATGAAAGAAAAGGAAAAAAGCAACCTAGTACCACTTCCAATAGTATTAAAATATGTTAAATATATTAGGATAAATTTAACAAAGTATGTAAACAATCTATAAACTGACAACTATGAGATGCTGTTAAGAAAACACCAGTCTATGTCTGGTGGGAGGACCATAAATAAAAAGAGAGATACTATATTTAGAAGAATCCCTACTGCTAAAATAATAACTCTGCCCCAAATCCATCTATAGATGCAACACAATCTCAATCAAGATCCCAGGAGCAATTTTTGTTAAAAAAAAAAAAAAAAAAAAGAAGCCAATTCTAAAATAGACAAAAACAAAAAGAACAAAGAACTAGAACACAAATTGGCCAAACGAGGTGGAGAAAAAAAGAACAATGTTGGAACACTTCTATTACCTAGCTTCAAGGCTTACAATAAAGCTACAATTATCAATACAGTGTGGTATTGGTGTTAGGATAGATTGGTGAACAAAGTCCAGAAATTCACCCACACATAAACGGTCAACTGACTTTTGACAAAGATGCCAAGATAATGCAATGGGGAAAAAAAACAGTCCTTGGAACAAATGCTGCTGAACAACTGGATGTCAGTATGGGGAAAACTAAACTCTACTCCTTACGTCGTACCAAATACAAGAATTACCTTAAATAGATCAGACCTAAACATAAAAGATAAAACTATAAGACGTCTCAATGAAAACATAGGCAAAAATATTTATGACTCTGGAGATAGGCTGAGATTTCTTACAGCAGAAGTACTAATATATAAGAAAAAAATAAATTGAACTTTTTAATCTTTAAGAAAATCAGAAGAAAATATCTGCAATACACATTTCATGACACAGCACTTGTAACAACACACTGAATACCAAAAACACATGAAGACAAACAACCTAATAAAAAATGGGCAAAGTGGTTACAGACATTTCAGGAATGGCCAATAAGCACATAAAAATATGCTAATATCATGAGTCATCAGGTTAATGCAAATTAAAATCACAATGAGATGCCCTGATACATCCACCAGAATGATTAAAATTCAAATGACTCATCATATCAAGCCTTAGCAAAACAGGAGAGCAACTAGAATCCTCCCACTTTCCCGGTGGGAAGGCAGAGTTTGGCAGTTTTTTGTAAATTTAAATGTACACGTACCATGAGATCCAGTAATGCCACTCCTGGCTATTTACCTAAGAGACATTACTGCATGTGTCTACATAAAAACAATGGCAGCTTTCTTCATAACAGCCCAAAACTGAGCACAGCCTAAGCAGCCACTAATAAGCATGTGGATAAACAGATTGCAATATGTTCACACAATGGAATCTTTTTCAGCAAGAAAAATAAATTACCAAAAAAAAAAATAAATAAACTACTCACACACATAACTCAGATTAATCTCAAGAAAAGCCATGCAAAAGAAGCTAACACAAGCCCAAAAGGCATGCTATCTGACTCTGTTTTGGTGAAATTCTAGAACTGGCAAAGGAATCTGCAGGGCCAGGAAGCAGATGAGCGGTTGCCCGGGTCTGTGTCCTGGGAGAGGACTGACAGCAGGGGCTGTGAGTGAATTCAGGGTGGAGAATGTTCTCCGTCTTCACGGACTAGGATTCTGTGGGCTGAAGAAGCACATCCGAGGTAGAGAACCAAGGACCAGAGAGAAAACCTAACTGGTCAAGGTCACGTAAAATTCAACAGGAAACACTATATATTCTAACTGATAATACTAGATCTAGGTAAATAGAACTTTAAGAGATTTTGCTACACAACAGCATTAAACTTAGGTAATAATAGCATCAGACTGGCTGAGCATATTAAGAGCTAATTCTGTTTTTCATAAGGAAGACAGCAGAATTCCTAATCACAGGCTCTAATGAATTGTATTCTCTTCATTATCATAAAGCTGTGTTACATCTTGATATTCATGAGTGAGTCTTCTAATCCAAAGGAAGGAATAAAAAACAAAGGGGAAAGAAAAGGAAGGTTGAACTTATAAATATGGTCTCATTAAAAAAAAAAAAAAAAAAAAAAAGGCCGGGCGTGGTGGCTTACACCTATAATCCCAGCACTTTGGGATGCCAAGGCGGGTGGATCACCTGGGGTCAGGAGTTCACAAGACCAGCGTGGCCAACATGGTGAAACCCCATCTCTACTAAAAATACAAAATAAATTAGCTGGGTGTGGTGGTAGGCACTTGTAATCCCAGCTACTCAGGATGCTGAGGCAGGAGAATGGCTTGAACCCGGGAAGCGGAGGTTGCAGTAAGCCAAGAAGGTGCCATTGCACTCCAGCCTGGGCAGCAAGAACAAAATTCCGACTCAAAAAAAGAAAAAAAAGAAAAAAGCAAACTATGTTCACTTTATGGGTGAAGTAAATGAAGTTTAGAGAGGTGAAGAGCCCACAGGCTAGGAAGGTCAGGAGCAAATTTCTCCTAAATCACTGCAGGGATGGGCAAATTTCAGTAGGGGACAAAAGAGGCTCCGGCACCATTTCTAAGTACAGAAGCATCACTTAAGAACTACACAGGCCTCTCGACATGGAATGAAAGATGACCCGGCCAGCTGCCAACTGCCCCATCAGAACATCTAAGGCTCTGCAGATGTCCAGAGTGACAGATGGGCTCCTGACCACAGGGACAGCAGGCTCTGCAGAGGAGCAGTGGGAGGTTCCAGACTGAGAGAGCAGTTCACAGACCTCTGCATTCCCCAAGGAGACACTGGGGGAGGGGCAGCCCACAGAAACGGGGAGGTGGGAATCATTGGACCTGCATGCTGCCAGCTGTGAGATGCCACATGTCCAGCAACTAAGAGAACAGACATTCCCCATTCACCTCCATCTTTTTGCACTTGAACTTGATTATATGCATCTCTCAGCCATGATTTAAATAAAAAGCTGACCCTGATTAACACGGGATCTGGTGGGTAGAGTGGAGACAGCAGCTTCCAGGGTGCCTAGAACACGAACCCCCAAGACTCAGCCTTTCCCACCGAACAAACCACCATCATTGGTAACACCCCAAACTATTCCATGACGCATTTGAGACTGCACCCTGACCTCAGCCAGCTGGGATGAAATTGCAGCCCATGAGTCAAACGTGGGATGTGGTGGGGGAGCAGCGGGGTGGGGGATCCTATAGGAAAAAGGCGGATGAAAATACCCTCCTTGAGATGGCAGAGGGCAGACGGAGAAAAAGACCATCAAGAGAACATCAAAACACACAACCAGAAAAAGATAAACTGGAGCATTTCAACCATAAGAACTTGAACTCTTACCTCTCAGTATATCTCATAACATATATGAGAAAATGAAGAAGACACAAAGACTGAAATCAAGGGATTTTTACCAGCCCCGGTGCCGGGGGGGCAGAAACCACCCCGTTTCTCCTGGTCTCTTCTAACTGGTCTATGGCTTTTTACACTATTCCAGATCAGTGGCTAGCAACATCCCCTTTCCATCAGGAAAATCATGTTGAATCATGACTCTTGTAAGATGTCTAAAAAGACATAAAACTGCCTTCACGCTCTAAAGTTACATTACACTTTTAACGTAAAAAAGCTAAGGATTGGCTGGGTGCGGTGGCTCACGCCTGTAATCCCAACACTTTGGGAGGCCGAGGCGGGCGGATCACGACGTTAGGAGATCCAGACCATCCTGGCTAACATGGTGAAACCCCGTCTCTACTAAAAAATACAAAAAATTAGCCAGGCGTGGTGGCGGGCGCCTGTAGTCCCAGCTACTTGGGAGGCTGAGGCAGGAGAATGGCGTGAACCTGGGAGGCGGACCTTGCAGTGAGCCGAGATCACGCCACTGCACTTCAGCCTGGGCGACAGAGTGGGACTCTGTCTCAAAAAAAAAAAAAAAAAAAGGTTAAGGGTTAAAGGATTTTCAAAAAGTACTTTCTGTCCTCCAGCTTGGAACACCCTAAACCTGTGCTTCTCAACCTTTCCTGGGGACACAACTCACCACCGGGGGTTCTTGTTAAAGGCAGATTCTGACTCACTCTTCTGGGACGGGCCTGATATCTGCATTCTAACATGCTCCCAGGTGGTGTCAACGCTGCTGGCCATGGGTCGCACTTTGAGAAGCCAGGCCCTAAGCCACACTGACTTTGGTACACCAGGGCGAGGGTGTTTCCAGTGTAGAAGGGAACCAGCAATAATGCTCCTTAAGGAAATAATGCAAACGCTGCCGCCTCCCTCGCCTCTACCCACAGCCTCAGCGAGCCCTGGAGGCTTCAACAGAGGCTGAGTTCAAATCACCAGCAAAGACCTCAAGAAGGGAGACAGCACAGTAAGAACAATGCCCCCAAACGCTGCACTTGGCCTCTGGCTGACGTTCACACTGTCAAGTTCAAAAATATCTGAAATGACTTGGGAACAGTGGGGGTTAAATCTGTGCACAGGTTCACCCATGTCCTCAACCATCCACAGCAGGGGAGACTGCAGCCCACACCTGGCCCAAAGCCTATTTTTGTCAATAATGTTTTATCGGAACACAGACACGTCCATTCATTTATGTATCACCTACAGCCGTGTTCACACTCCAACAGCAGGGATGAGTGTCGCAACAAGAGTCTAAAGCCTACAATATGTACTCTCTGCTCTGTTACAGAAAAAGCTTGCTTACCTCTGTTCTGGGTCTTTAGGGGACAAAACTCGAAAAAGGAAAACCTGAAGACAAAGGATATGACGCTAACACAGAAGAAGCATTTAGCACAGAGGAGCGTGAATTCTGAGGCAGAAGAGACGTACATGTCAAGACAAGCCTGGTGACGGCGGCAACCCCGGGACTCTGTTAGCTATGAGAGGCCAGCCCGCTTTGTGAAGGGTGACCATGCTCCTTTCAGAATGCAGAATCAGGGAGACAGAGGGGGCCTGGTCCATCTGTGTCTGCCCCACCAACCACCATAACTGTGTTGGCTCCTTCTATACACCCACTTCACCACCCTTCTCTTCACCAGCCCTTCGCATCATGTGACCCACCGATGAAGAGGTAGGTCTGAAATGAGGCTCTTGCGTTATCTGGCTGCCGTCATCTCTGGAAAGATGGGGGCCCTAGGTTCTGCTGCCAAAGAGGAAAAGCCTCGAGGGCTCCTGACAGGAGGCCTAGGATTGAAGCTCCAACCACGAGGGGAAGGAAGGGCCATGGGCTGATCTCCAGGGAGGGGGATGCTGGAAGGCCTGCTGTCTCTCTGCCCCTGGCTCCCCAGGCAGATGGCTCCGCCGCTATGCATGTGGGTACAGACGGAGGGGCAGGTGGCACCAGGCTCTGGGTAACATATGTCAGTGTGCTAATGGAAGCAAATTAAGAACATCGTTGGTCTCACACACCCGCTTCGCAGGGCTGGGGCTGCCACAGGGAATGGATGAAATCCAGACTCCAGGAGGATGTGATGATAGAACGATCTGGACACAGCGAATGAACACAGACTTCGGTGGTGGAGGGTTGAGGCTGGAACTCTGCTCCAGCACTTGCCAGGCATGGCCTTGAGTACAGTGCTGTGCTACCTCACCTCTAAAAACGAGGATCATCAGAGGCTTGTCGGTCAGTTCTTTAAATGTCATTATGTGAAGAATTTAAATTTAGCACAGTCCTTAGCTCGTAAGAAGTCTCCAATAAATTACTACGGTCATTATCAGTATAATTATTATCTGTTAAAGATTTTTTTAAAAAAAGCTCTTAAAGGATAATCTCCACTTTAAAGAGCGGTTATGAGGATTAACCAAAGATAATCTGTAACTTTGTCTACTCCCCAGCATAACACATAGTAAGTGCTCAAAATCTGTAGCTATTCCCCACCCCAAAGAAACCAAATCTGGCCTCCCTTACATGTTTCATGCAATGCCAATCAACTTTCCAAACAAGTCACTCGAGTTTTTTAAAATAATGTCTCCAGAGTAGATACTATCATTTTACAGGTGAGAAAACTAACTCTCAGGACTCAAGGACAGAAACCTAATGAATGACAGAGCGAGCTCTGCTCAGTGAACAATAGCTGCCATCCAAAAATATCAGCGGTTTTAGGAATTAGCAGCTCAGTGATCTTTGCTTCAAAAAAGCAAAAAGACCACATTCACACTTTACCACTTCTACATGGAAGTGTGTGTTCTTCAGAAAGTTTTTTTTTTTTTTTTTTTTTTTAAGACGGGAGTTTCACTCTTATGCCCAGGCTGGAGTGCAGTGGCGCGATCTTGGCTCACCACAACCTCTGTGCCTCCCACGTTGAAGCGATTCTCCTGCCTCAGCCTCCTGAGCAGCTGGTATTACAGGCATGTGCCACCACACCCGGCTAATTTTTGTACTTTTAGTAGAGACTGGGTTTCTCCATGTTGGTCAGGCTGGTCTCGAACTCCCGACTTCAGGTGATCCGCCCGCCTCGGCCTCCCAAACTGGGATTACAGCCACCATGCCTGGCTCAGAAAGTATTTTTTATAGAACTAATCCAAATGGTCCAATTTCTATGGAGCAAATTTTCTTTGTAATGCCTAAAACACAGTATAACCCACCATTAAAAGAGGTTTTTTACATACACCTTTGGTTTTCCAGCTAAGGAATGTCAATCTGCTCCCCAGAATGAGGACTCAGAAGTTACAAGACAAACTAAATAATACTGAACACCGACATGACGAACCTCCTAAAATAAAGCAAGCACCTCCAACGAGGGGTCTGATCACTCTCGACTTCCTTCCTCCCACCTCTGCCTACTCCCTCCCCAACCCCATGGTCTGTAAAACAGCTCTTCTCAAGTCACTTGATGACATCCCTGTTGCCAAGTCCAGCTATCAAGGCTCAGTCCTCACTCCCCCCACACCCAGGGCTCAGTCCTCACTCCCCACACACCCAGGGCTCAGTCCTCACTCCCCCCACACCCAGGGCTCAGTCCTCACTCCCCACACACCCAGGGCTCAGTCCTCACTCCCCCCACACCCAGGGCTCAGTCCTCACTCCCCACACACCCAGGGCTCAGTCCTCATTCCCCCCACACCCAGGGCTCAGTCCTCACTTCCCCACACCCAATGCTCAGTCCTCATTCCCCCCCACACCCAGGGCTCAGTCCTCACTCCCCCCACACCCAGGGCTCAGTCCTCACTTCCCCCACACCCAATGCTCAGTCCCCATTCCCCACCCCAGCCCCCAACCGCCCGGCAGCACATGATGCCTGGCAGCATGTGACACGGTGTGACACGGTGTATCTATGGCCCATTCCTCTGGAAACAGTTCCTTTGGTTTTGTCACCTACGTGGCTGGTCTCTGCTGGCTCCCCTTCTCTTCCCAACCTCTGAAGATGTTTGGTCTAGAGACTCTTTTCTTCTCCTAATTCTATCCACTCCCAAGGTGATTTCCTCCAATCCCATGATGTTTATCTTCAGTTTGGCCCTCTACCCTCAACTCCAAACCATTTCCAACTGCCTTCTTTGGGTAGGCTGAGCTCAATCTCATCTTACAGAGGGTCAAAGAGGTGATGAAAAATAATGAAAACACACCTTCAAGGAAGCTGTTGATGATGAATTTTGAAAAACAGGACATCAGAGTAAATTCAGTTATGCAAACTGAGGACCTGCTGTTTACGAACAAACGGTAGGAAAACATGTAAGAACTGTAGGCTCAATTCCATATAAATGAGCTGAACACACAACTACAGCTACAGCCTCTTGCTAGCCCTGTGTGCATTCAGATGCTTCTTCTCCTTGATCACAGAATCCGCTAATCCTATCTTGGGAACTACTCATCTTCTTTGGAGTCTCTTGCATTCTGCTTTTTCTCCCCAGCGCTTGTTTTTTTTGTTTGTTTGTTTTTGTGGTTTTTTTGACATGGAGTCTCACTCTGTCACCCAGGCTGGAGGGCAATGGCGTGATCTTGGCTCAATGCACCTCAGCCTCCCAGGTTCAAGCAATTCTCCTGCCTCAGCCTCCAGAGCAGCTGGGAACACCAGCGTGCACTGCCACATCTGACTAGTTTTTGTATTTTTAGTAGAGATGGGGCTTCACCATGTTGGCCAGGCTGGTCTCGAACTCCTGACCTCAGGTGATCCGCCTGCCTCGGCCTCCCAAAGTGCTGGAATAAGTGCTGGAATTACAGGCATGAGCCACCGCACCCAGGCAACACTTCGTGGCATCTCTTTTTGGACCTCAAATTTAGCATGCCCAAAACGCACTTTTGATTCCCCCTGCTATAACCCACTCCTCCCATAGTCTTCCCCATCCCAATAACAGCATCTCTAGTCTTCTAGTTACTCAGGCCAAAATCCTTGACATCATCCTTAATCATCCAAACCACTTAAACTCTCCTTTCAAAGTATGTGCCAGACCTAACCACTCCTCACCTTCCTCATCCTTCCCAACCAGGTCCAGCCTTCATCATAGTGCTCTGGGTTACTGGAAAAGCCTCCCAATCACCGGGGACAGTGGCTCACGCCTGTAATCCCAGCACTTTGGTAGGCCAAGGCGGGTGGATCACCAGAGGTCAGGAGTTCGAGACCAGCCTGGCCAACATGGTGAAACCCCTCTAATAAAAATACAAAAAATTAGCCGAGCATGGTGGTAGGCACCTGTAATCCCAGCTATTCGGGAGGCTGAGGCAGGAGAATCGCTTGAACCCAGAAGGCAGAGGTTGCAGTGAGCCAAAATCATGCCATTGCACTCCAGCCTGGGTGACAAGAGTGAAACTCCATCTCAGAAGGGGAAAAAAAAAGCCTCCCAACCCACCTCTCTCCTTCCGCCTTTCACCCTACCCTGCATTCTACCTTCCACTCTCAAACATTTCAGGAAAAAAAAATTATATCCACAGAAAGAGAAAGTGCAAATGGGGTGAAATGTTTGGGCAATCTGAGGGAAGAGCATACGGGAATTCTCTGTACTATTTTTGCAACTTCTCCATAAGTCTGGATTATTTCAAATTCAAGAGTTAAACAAAGAAAAAGAAGAAAAAAAAAAAAAAAACACTCTCTCCCTTTGTGAACCCATCCTGTCTTTCCCCTGGCAACTTAAGGACGCTCTCAACTAAGCACATCTATTTTTTCACGAACACTAAAAGAACCCTTGCCTAGTTTTGTCTTTCTGTGCTGGGCAGTAGAAGTGTGTGTGTGTGTGTGTGTGTGTGTGTGTCTATTTCATATATATGTATGTGTATATATATGTGTGTGTGGTGTGTGTATATACAGAGAGGGAGAAATATATATGTGTGTATATATAAAAACATATAAATGTATATATAATGTGTATATATACACATTTGTGTATATACAATGGTATTGTATATACACAAATGTATATATATAAATATATGTGTGTGTATATATATATATAAGTAATACATACCCCACAGCCTGTCCTTAACGAGTTCTAAACTTAGTGGGAAAAATACATACCTAAGCAGAGAATTTCAAAATAATATGATGAATATTTTAATAGACAGATGCATTGGTATGGAACATGCTGCTAAGACACATAACCTCCTAGATAGGGCAATGAATGAACTAAGTTTTGCACCTATAGGCGCCCCCACTGATATCCTCACAAACTTTTACAGTTATACGCATTTGCTTCCCCCAGGACCCCCGTTTCATAAGGGTTAGTCCTGGAGCCTAGCAAGTTCCTACTACAGCTGTCACACATATGCCATTCAAGAAACAGTGGCTGGGTGAATGACGAGTTAAGAACCGTTTGTCAGTCAGTGCTCAATAATACAACATGCACTGGTATGCAAATTATATTTTTGTTGAAAACAAGGGCAGGATCACAAATTATCTTCCCTCGAGAAAGGCAGACCTCAAAAACTTCTTTACCCTACTAAAGCACATTATAAGAAGCTCCGCTTATATAAAAGAAAACCTCCTCATTCATTATCAATGGCATGTAAACCTAATAAGCCTCCACCTCTGATAACATCTCTTCCATCCCCAGGGCTAGATAAAGGAGATTCTGAAAACCCTGTTAATTGTGAAGGTGGCTCCCAGCTCTGACAGTCTTGAACCCTACAGGAGCCGAGGTTAGACAGCAGAAGAATAACAAAGGGAAGCATCAGCAGGCTTCGAATATGTTTGAACCAGAGATGGCAAATAGGCTTCAACCAACTGAAAACACCAAAGATTCATACTGGCCACCTGAGGGGTTGTGCTCTTTAAAAATAAATAAATAAATAAATAAATAAAAAAGGAAGGGGTCAAGAATCCATCAGGTCTGAATGAGAAGTGTATCAGTGACTAACACCTCATATGGCAAAAGTACTCAGGTGCGTTTTGGTTACTCACAGCTTCAACAGCATTCAAAGGCATGTGCTTCCCTAAGACTAAGCCATGGCAAATACCCCCAGCAACTCTGCAAGGAGAACATCCAACATGTATTTGGCTAGAAATACAGTTGTCTTTAACAAATTAACACCAAATAAATCCTGACTTATTAGAGCCTGCAAGAATGCCATTCTCAATGATAACAGTTATCACTAAAATCTCCAAAAATCTGCGATCCTGCAAGAAGGAACTGTGACAGAGGAGGCCACACATCCAGAATGCTTCCAAGACTGCCTGTTACAGAATAAAAGAAATGAAACCCCCCCAAGAATGTCTTTGCTCACATTTAGCCAATTGTTCCTTTGTGCGCATCTAGCACATTTAGCATTTAGCACATTTAGCTGCGCATTTAGCACAGCTAAAATGGCCATTCTTCCCCACAGCCTGAAGTTGTATGCTAAAATAAATGAGACTCAAATGAAGCCAGAAACGTGCAGATGTGAGGAAACCAACACAAACTAAGTCGGCTGGACAGTGTGGCCAGGAGGATGGTGCTTCCCAGGAAGCAATTACTTCATCTCTGCCCATGAAGCAGGCAGCTGTCATTGTCCCCCAGGCCCACGCCAGCGACTCCAAGTAGGTTATAACCAAACTACCTCTAACAATCAACTTAAATACACCACACAATTGGCTTCTGAAAGGGTACCTTGTAACCAACAAGAAACTATAAGCACAACTTTGAAAAACTGTACAACTAAAAACCTTGGAAACGGATAAACACTGCAACATTTTGACTCAAATACTGTTACGTGGTAGCATTGCAATAATTCACTGAAACAAAAGAATGAGTGAGGAATACGTTTATATAGGAATCAGAGGAAGCACGACTAATCATTTAAAGAAATAGGTCAAGAAACTGCTAGGTTCAAATGCTACCCTGAGACACCGTCAGGGCCTCAGGCAAATTCACTTCTCTTGGTCCTGTTTCTATGTTCATCAAAAAACAGCTTTGGGCTAGGGAATCTGTTGCTTTCCAATGCCTTCCTTCTGCGATTCCAGCGCAGATTTTAGGACTGCTCTCCCACTTGGTATATGAAAGCACTTTCTATGTATAACAGCAAGAGTACATTTCTGTGTTGAATGCAGTTTGGGACCTACCCTATGAGGAAGAATATAATCATGTAACTTTAAGCATGACCACAAGGCATACTCTAAATAAGGATAACACATAAGATGTGGCCATATGCCTGTGCGTGCCTAGCAGGGAGATGGGGAAGTCTCATTTAATGAAGCCAAGGGTGCCTATTGCACCTTAACATCCTCACTCCACATCAAGTTCACAACGTCCTTCTGACATCAAATCACAGGTATCACATACTTTTCCATACTTTCCACCGAAGATTAAAATATGCAGAGCACCATGATAAAGACGCCTCCATCACCAGCATGTTGGCTCTCACTGTGCGGAATTACATACTTCCGGTGCTAAATGATCACCAGGCTGCAGCGGCAAGCAAGACCGGTCTCCGTGGGGACAGCAGCCCCTGCAGCAGCCCCACTCCTGTCGCCACAGTCTGATGCAGCTGCAGAGAAGCTGTGGCTGAGGCCATTCACTTTGTGAGAGAACCGCACAGGAGGGAAAAGATAGGGAAGGTAGGGAAGAGGGCAGGTGCAGAGCCAGGGAAGGACCTGTGATGAGAACGGAAAGGAATGCGCCTCCCTGTACACACACTCGGATTTTATGAAGATGTGGACAGGGGGCTGAACTGGATGCATGAGAACATTCCTCCAAGTTCCTTTGCTGTTTTTCTAAATATTGATGTAAAATCTGAACTCAGACACAATTTTTTAAAATCACTTCAATCAGCATCTTTGTCTGGTGTTCAGCATCATATCTACGTGATCATCTAGAAAACCAACTTCTGTTCTAAGGCTCACATCTTCCTATAAAGTCCCAGAGATTTTATAGTGGAATGCACCCCTCATTTGCATCAACAACACACACAACTACCATTAAAGAAATGCTTAATTTGCTTATATAATTTTTTAAACACCCATATTTGAAACACAATAGAGAAGACAACTTTTGATAGCTCTGCTTTCGAACTGCGGGTGGAGCAAATAACCTGCCATGATTTCTAACCAGTCAACAACCCGTCTTCTCTGACTGCAATAGGAGCAATCTTTCTGAGCTCAGGATGAAAAAGAACCCAGCTGGTTAGGGGACAGATAATAATCAGTTCTCAGCGGGCTTCCCGGGTCCCAAATCCCCATGTGATGCGTGGAAGTAAAAAGCTATCAATGACCAAGCATCTGAACGCTTATCCCACCTCGCCATCTGCTTCTCCTGCCATGCAAATTTAAAATTAATAAGCCTGCTATTAGAGAACAGAGTTGGTGCTGCATCTGTCTTCCTAAAATTATGGGTAATTATCAGCCCACAATGGCTGCTAATCAGATTTGAGTGGTCCCTTAGACAGGAAGCTAAAGTGCCTCAGCCCTAGACTGAGAAGAAAACAGAAACTGGAATGCTCTAGGTTTGATTTTTTTCCCCTTGTTCTAAAGTTGCTGTTTCCGAATCTCCTTCTATTGTCGTGTTTATAAAATGTATGAGAAACAGGGACATTTAAAGACATCATAGAAATGGCCACTCTTTCTAGGTACAAACCTTGTGAACATAATTTTCATCTGCTGGGCTTTTTCTCCACAAACTGTGACCCTGGAGTACATATTCTCCATTGCGGTTACACATTCAGAGTCGGGGAAGATGGCTTTAGCAGTAAGGCAGGGAGTGCAGTGAGAAGTGACCAGGCACTGGGAGGGGCAGACAGGGACTCTACCGCAGTGGCCTGGAGCGCTCCTGGGCCTCAGCCTTTACTTTTCTATCTGTACAAGGGATCTAAAGGCCCCTGATTCTAGGCCACAACAGCTCTTCATACACACATACACAAACATTACACACCTATGTGAAAAGCTATGATACTTGGCTGATTTCCTGAAGAGGTTATCTTGTATCATTTCTACTCAAGTACTCCACCTCCTTCCCGGCAAGTATCTGCGCCACCTCCCTCCAGGCAAGTATCTGAGGATGATGGGCTATCCCACAACAATGTGTGTAATCTCTCCTGCTTATGATCCCTATTCACAGAGCATTTTCCAAAAGCATCTGTCATGAAGTGACAGAAGAAAGAAGAATAAGGTTCTTTCAGCCAATTGATTCATTCATTCATTCAACAAATATTGACTAACTATCTAGGTGCCAGGCACTGGTCATATAACAGGGAACATATATTTTTGTAGGTAGAGACAGACAAGCAAAAAGTATGTTAAAGAGCAATCAATGCTGTAGAAGAAAATACACCAGGAAACTGGAAAGAAGAATACCCCTAGCCACCCTACACTGGGGTGACGCTAGCGTTACAAAGTGGAAACAGCGACCAGGCGCGGTGGCTCACACCTGTAATCTCAGCACTTTGGGAGGCTTAGGCATGCAGATCACCTGAGTTCAGGAGTTCAAGATCAGCCGACCAACACGGGGAAACCCCGTCTCTACTAAAAATACAAAAATTAGCTGGGCATGGTGGTGCACACCTGTAATCCCAGTTACTCAGGAAGCTGAGGCACAAGAATCACTTGAACCTGGGAGGTAGAGGTTGCAGTGAGCCGAGAAAGTGCCACTGCACTCCAGCCTGGGTGACACAGCAAGACTGTGTCTCAAAAAAATAAAAAATAAAAATAAAATATAAGCAGAGAATAAGATACCAAAAGAAAGAACATGAAAGATTAATTGTAACAAAAGCCTTTGTAAGCTGATACTTTCCTTCCTGGATCCTTGTCCCTCACAAATGGAAAAAAAGGAGGCGGGCGGGCAGCATCAAAATGATGGTGATGTTTTAAGATGGCTTCGGGTTTCAGATGTCTGACAGCCATACTCATGTACTTCAAGGAAAAAGCTCTGTAAGCCATCTGGGCAATGGTTTAATGTCTTTTTTTTTTTTTTCCAGAGAGTTTTTAAAATACAGGAAAATGTGTGTGTTTATTTGGCTGTTCTGTGCCTGCACACGTGCAAACTGTGCTAACAGATTTTTCCATGTTTTGCTGAATTTGCCAGCTTGCCATAAACAGGCTTCCATGTCTTTTCTTAATTGTCTATAAATAGCACAAACACCCAAAAATGCAAATCAAGACAAGCTGTCCCTTCAACTGCTGCTGCCATGATGACAGCGAATGACAATTGGCCAAACCAATACGTGGAGACTGAAGCTGTCCAGCAGAGTGCACGGGGCCGACTGCTTTTCCCATAGCGTTTAAAGAAACAAGCGGAAACGGCTCTCCACACATGACAGACAGGTCCTTTGTTCTTTGAATTAATACTGCCAATGCCCAAAATACTTTCTCCATCACACTATCTATATGGAATTCAAGTTCCTTCCAATACCATGAGTAACGCCAGTGATAGACTATGTTTAGCCATAATGACCCATTAGCGTTCTTTTTCCTCTAAAATGTTGAAATAATAACATTTAGTGTGCACTCACGAGGTGCCAGGCTCTGAGTTTTATCTCGTCTAGTTCTCGCTGAAATCCTGTAAGATCAGTACCATATTCTCTCATTTTTCATAGATGAGTTAACTGAGGCATAGAAAGATTAAGTAAGTTGTCCATGGTCACAGGTTATTTAGTAACTTTTCTCCAAACTTTCAAAAGTTAACTACTGCCACTATTACAAATGGTTTGTTTGTTTGTTTGTTTGTTTGTTTTGTTTTAGGACGGGGTCTTGCTCTGACCAGGCTGGAGTGCAGTGGCGCGATGATGGTTCACTGCAGCCTTGACTTCCTGGGCTCAAGAGATTCTCGCACCTCAGCCTCTCAAGCTGGGATTACAGGCATGAGCCACCACACCTGGCTAATTTTTAATTTTTATGTTTTGTAGGGATGGGGTTTTGCTATGTTGCCCAGACTGGTCCCGAACTCTGGGCTCAAGCGATCCTCCCAGCTCGGCCTCCCAAAGGGCTGGGATTACAGGTTTAGGCCACTGTGCCCAGCCCTACAAATGTGACTTATACAAAATCAGAGCAGTGAGCAGGGAGAGAACAGAGACTGCAGCGAGTCTCCTGGCTGTTGCAACACCATATCCCTCCTCCATACCGTAATGTGTCTACACCCACCAAGCTCCTAGAAGTTGAAGGCATGCCAGCTCAGAGACTAAACAGAAGGAAAGAAAGAGCAAGATGCATACATGTGTCTTGATTTCAGCTCAAGCTGAAATCAAGCGTGCCTCTCTCCCCTGCAGCTGCACAGGCAGAAACCAGGGGCCATGATTCTGAGGCAGCGTGTTTGGTTCCTAGCAGGTAATCTTTTGGGAGACCATCCCATAAAATTAGTGTTATACTTCTCAAAAAGGAAGTGTGACTTTTATAGAAAAATCTATTCCATTTGGGAGAAAGGTCTAATAAAACCACAAAAGGATAATACATTCATACAACAACAAATTAAATTCATCTGTCACAAACTGAAATCCCAAAGCCCTCTGGGCGCACAGCTGCTTTTCTGAGCTGAAATTCAACTCCAGTTGAGAAACAGGTCAACTTTTCTAAAAAGATTTCTTTTTCACATGCCTTAAATAAAAATTCCTTTCCCTCACTTGTCATTTTCCAGATTTAATGGCTCTGTTGGCCTTTCTCTCATTTAGGCCATGAGCACTGACTGCATGTCTGCTGCAGCCAGGACTCCAAGGGAAGCACCCTAGGGAACACAGATGACCGCAGCACAGTGACACCCTCCTCAAGAAGCACACACAGGGAAGGCAAGATGATACAATCACAACCTTCACACAGAAAAGAACTTGGCATCCATACCCCGTCCCATTTCTAGAACAACGATGCTGAGTCAGTAACATTTACCAAACAGCCTGCAGTGTGGAGGCAGGCATAAGGGGGCTCCATGCCGGGAAGAGCACCTTCCGCAGGGGGACACGCATGCAACGTGGAGGCAGGAGACACCCCCACGCACAAGGGCCAGCCTGGGGGCCTGCTGAAATGCCCATGCATGTGGGAGGAGGGAGAGAGGACAAGATACCTCAATGCTCCAAAATGAATAGAAACCTCCCAAGAACCTCTCTCCAAACAGGGCAGGGATTTACAAAAGACCAAACCCAGCATGCAGAGTTACCTGAGCAAAGCGCCATGAGAGTGACCTATCGAGAAAGAAACAGGGTTACTAGAAGCCCGAGCCTCTACTCCCAGCTCTGCGACTCATTCACCCTATGACCTCGCTGAAGGCTCTTAGCTTCTGTGAGCCACAAGAGAATCAGGGGGCAACAGAAGATATGAAAGCTGCCCTGCCTTTTTCACAGAACTGCTGAGGGAATAAAATCAGATAATGGATTTTAAAATTCTCTGTGAATTACGAAGCAAAAAACAAACGTATGAAATCATTCTTATCATTAATAACAGCACTGCAAAATTAAGAGCAGAGTTAAGACTACAGCATTTTCCACCCCCCTATTCCGGAGAAAAATAGTGAGTCCAGCCAATGTATTTGG
The DNA here is from genome assembly GCF_000001405.40 of Homo sapiens. Lineage (NCBI taxonomy): Eukaryota > Metazoa > Chordata > Mammalia > Primates > Hominidae > Homo > Homo sapiens. The sequence goes on from NC_000004.12 coordinate 7,906,505, forward strand.
GCAACCGCAGTATCTAGGCTTCGAGAGCCTCAGACAGCTCATGAACTCTGACAGTATCACTCCGGCCCAGTGCTCATTAAGTTCTCCAAGACAGCCAACTGACATAAAATACTACAGCTTTTTCAGATGGGCTTGAAGCCCTCCAAACTCACAGCACAGCTAAACAACGAAGAGGTTTTCTGCCACTAGACTCAAAAGCTGGCTTTTGTAGATTCCCACAGAAAGAACATTCAAGGCCAGGCGCGGTGGCTCACGCCTGTAATCCCAGCACTTTGGGAAGCCAAGGCGGGTGGATCACCTGAGGTCGGAAGTTCAAGAACAGCCTGGCCAATATGGCGAAGCCCCATCTCTACTAAGAATGCTGGCGGGCGCCTGTAATCCCAGCTATTCGGGAGGCTGAGGAGGAAGAACCGCTTGAACTCGGGAGGCGGAGGTTGCAGTGAGCTGAGGTCGCGCCACTGCACTCCAGCCTGGGTGACAAAAGCAAAACTCCACCTCAAAAAAAAAAAAAAAAAATTCAAATGTCACATGATGATATTAAATTTCCTGTGCTATGCAACACAGAGAAATGCTACAACGTTGAAATCCTGAAAAACATATTCATAAAAAGCATTTAGCGACTTAAAAGACATTCAATACAACTTGTAACAGTGAGTTCCCCTCCTCTTTCCAGCTAATTCCACTAATGCTGTGACCTTAACAATGCTTTTGCTAAAACAGAGGAAAATTTATAGGACCACTTACCCCTCAGCTGACAGCTAAACCACTGCTTCTCCCTGGGCTCACTAAAGATGACCTTTACCCAAAACTAGGCTGCAACGTCCCTGTAAATGTTGACTAACAATTTCAAAATTCCCATGTTCTTTGTCCATGCCTAAGGAAGATGAATTGAAACCAGATATCTCAAAGTCAGAACTAACAGAGGCCTTAAACATCAGATGGCCCAACCCCTTCTTTGACAACCGAGGGATCTAAAGCTGAGATTATGGAAGAAAATAGCCTGTTTAGTAACAAAGTGAAAACCAAAGCCTAGTCACCTAACCTCTGGTCCAGAACTCCTGCAACAACCCAGCACCCATACAGGACCAGTCTCCCTAACCAGAAACTCCGAAATCTATAACTTTTTGAGCGCTGACGTGACGCCCAATGAAATCTTCATTGGAGCAGCTCAGATTTTGGATTTTTGAATTCAGGATACTCAACCAGCAAGTATAATACATATTCAAAAATCCAAAAATGTAAAAAAATCTGAAACACTTCTGGTTCCAAGCAGTTTAGATAAGGGATATTCAATCTGCATTGTTTTTTTTCCTCTAATGAAGGAAATTAAAAATGAGGCCTGAGCAAAGCCATTTAATCCATACTAAAGCCATTCAATAGTTTAATTAGCACCCATTTAAAGTTAAGTGCTACCCACAGATATTTAAAAGCATGAATACATACACGCCTATAATCCCAGAACTCTGGAAGGCTGAGGCGGGAGGATCACCTGATGTCAGACGTTCAAGACCAGCCCGGCCAATGCGGTGAAACCCCGTCTTTACTAAAAATGCAAAAATTAGCCGGGCGTGGTGGCACACACCTGTTATCCCAGCTACTCAGGAGGCTGAGGCACGAGAATCGCTTGAACCTGGGGGGAGCACGTTGCAGTAAGCCGAGATCACACCACTGTACTCCAGCCTGGGCGACAGAGCAAGACTCTGTCTCAAAAAAAAAAAAATTAATTTAAATTGTGTTTTAACATGGAGCCCAAGTTCCCAGAACACAAGCCCTGCTCTATGCTCCAAGGGCACACAGGGTGCCCCTTTATCTTAATACTCGCCATATTCCATGGCAGCCCTTGGCATCACACTAGGCTTCCTGTGCATGAGGCAGGGATCATATATTATCACTTTTCTGTCCCCAATGTCTAGCCTAGAAGACACTCAGTAAATGATTACTGAATTAAGTCAGTTACTAAGATATTTTAAACTTGTATTAACAAAATTGATTTAATTGATTTAATAAGTTTACCAATGCAGCTTTGATACCACACAGCTTAAATCTCAACTTGTGGATTTATCTTGTGTTCTGCTAGATTATCATCTATTAATATTTAGGAGGCACATACTAGGTGCCTAATTCATCACTAATTGCTGGGGACCTAGCAGTGGCAAAACAACATTCCTTGTTCAAAGAGAAATTCTAGTATAAAGAGGAATAGAAGGAACAGGCTAGATTGATGAGAGAGCTAAGAAAAGGACAGGCTGCCATAGGAAGCACCTGTTCTTGTCTGGATGATGCATAGTTAACGAAGTCTGAGTGCTTCGTATAGCATAAGATCATCTCCTCCAAAGAAGCTAATGAAGCTTTGATGCCCCAGTACCAGAAGTCACCATAAAGGTGCACATAGCCACGTGCTTAGTGTAGGAAGTGAAACCAAACAAACAAAGCTCCAACTTCTAGAGGCAACGGTCCAATTATAAAATCCTCTGGCTACATTCAATTGAAATTCAAGGTATTCAAGAGGCCAATATTTAAGTGATAAATTAACCCAATCACTTAAAACTAAAGTAGTCTTTGGTTCGAGGGGTAAGGGTATACTACCTTTTACAAATTCATTAGCTCTTAATATTTACATTTAAATATGATGATGGTGGTGTCATAATAACTTTACTGAGCAGTTACTATGTGTTAGGCACCAAACTAAGCACTTTGCACACATATTTGCACAATCCTGTTAGATGATGACCCCTTGTCATCCCATTTCATAGATGAAAGTCAGGTTTATATAAGTTTAAAAACTTGCCCCAAATTACACAGCTAGTTAGCAAAACCCAGGCAGCCTGACTCCATAGCCCTTGCTTAAAGAAGTATTATTTATAAACTGTCCAGCACAGCAGTGGTACAAACAAGAGTTCAATAAATACCTAAAGAGTACTTCATACCCAAAATCGTTTCCTGCCAATCAAACTAGACTTACTCTGGTTCTGCATAACCAACTGTCAAATTATTGTTTCATGAAGAAAAGGTGGAATGGGTAGAGATCGGAATAGAGTGAATAACCGGCAAATATACTTCACGGCAGGTAGTAACAGGATGTGGCATTTAGGCAATTTCCACATTTGTTTGCATAACATTTTTTTCATGGTTCCAAAGCGCAAGAGCCATTCTAAGCTAGTGAAAGCATAAGGCATGTGTATGATTCAGGACTCCAATTCACCGTGGATCAGTGGATCTCAATTTTTACTGTATATCAGAACCATCTGGGGGTTTTTAACAGAACTATAGCTGCCCAGGCTCCATTCCTGCAGATTCTATTTCAACTGGTCTGGAGTCAGCATGCATGCTTTTTTCACAGCCCCCCAGATGCAGCTAGGGTTGCAAACCACTGTCCAAGACGCTCTCACACCTTGGCTCAGTTCAACACACATTCATTGAGATGCTAAGCACTACGAATCGGGCTAAAACAAATCAGGCTCCACTCCCTAATAATATTGGCAAAGAAGCCAATCTCAGAGATTTATTCCAGTCCAAACCAAATAAATTGCCGGGTGAAAAAAATACCCTGGTATAGGCTGCCATACAAAACAACTTCTTGTATCTTCCCGGTCAGTGGCCTAGGGACTGACTCTGAGCCATGAAAATTCAGAATCAGGGAAAAATGCCAGTCTGAGGCATCTGCCACACTCCTAGCACACCCCCAAAAGCGCCCAGCTACATTTCACATCCACTGTCCTAACAGGAGTCGAAACAGGGAAAAGCAGTGCAATACAGAAAACAGAGCCTGCTGGGAGTCAAAAGACTGGGGAATTCCAGTCCTAGCCCTGCTACCAACCGGCCTGGTCACTTCTCTCTGGTCTTGGTGTGGCCAACAGTTACAGAGAGGGTGAGGCATAAAAACAAGAGATGTTAGGCAACCTCCAGAATTCAAAATACATAGAAATAAAAAAACATTAAGGTGATATCAAGGAATTTATGCCATCAACCAGAAAAGTAACTGAAGTATTCCTTTTCCCATTCTTAAGAAATCAAAAGTGGAAGCAGAAAATTGAGCAATCAGCCTACCAAGTCAAGTGGGGCAACAGACTACACTCACGGATTCTGCTCACAACAGCGGGAGTAACAGACCAAAAGAAGAACTGCAGAGCATCCCTCTCTCCCCCGTTCACCCGTGCCACGAGCACGTGAGTGCATCCACAGGCAGCACCCAGTCTCCTGTTCCACTGACTCCAGCGTCCACTCACTGCGAGCCTACTAAGTGGCCACATGTGCTATGATGCTGTCTCATCTCGTCACCATAGACATCTCTGCTGGAGGTGAGTATGTGATAGACGAAAATCACGGAGGCCTAGGGAGGTTGAGACACGTATTCCCACTGCGGTGAGGGCGTGCTTGAGAGGCACCCCACGACTGGGCCCTCCATGCCACTCTCCTCAGTAATCACTCCCAGACCAGAGCACCGAGGGGTGGATCTTCTTCCTCTCACTTTTTTCAGCCCCTTGGCTGACCCAGCATTCCCCAGAAAGCTATCGAGTCCTGGCAGCTCTGAGGCCACAAAGCCATAAACGCACGGGACACACAGCCCATCTGTCTCCAACGGGTCTTTTACTTGTCATGCTGGTCATTTCTATGAGCAGATGGGTTGAGAAAGACTTGGCAAGTTACCACGAAATGACCCCTCCACTCCTCCCTGGGGGAAGGCTGACTAGCGAGCCAGGACGGCTTTCTTCCCCCACTCCCTGCATTCCTGTCCCTAAGGAGCCAGAGACAATCCCACCAAATATAGGCAGGAGCCAGCCGCCTCCTTCCTACAGCCGGAGGGGGGAAGGGTCCTCTTGGGCCTTTCTAAGTGCATGAAAACCAAACTGTGAGCTGTACTGACCCGGGCCTCGCCCATGTTGCAGGCATGTACAACACAGGCGCCCAGTGATATCATCAGGCAGAACTATGAATGTGCTTTCTATCATTTTCATACAATGATTCCAGAGCCGCTATTCACACAGCTCCACTTCTCACACAAATGACATGCTTTACGGATTGCACAGCATTTTCACCATGCCCCTCATCCGCTCCTCCCAGCAGCCTTGCGTGATCCCTTGAGTATGCTTCCTCATCTCCATTTTTTAAGAAATGGAGTTTCTGAGTTTATGAAACCAAAACTTTCCCAAGAATATCCAGCTAGTATTAGAACCAGGATATAAGGGCCTCTGATTCTAGAACCAGTACTTGTGTCACTATTCCACACGGGTCCCTCCAGGGATTTCTGCCTGATATTAAAATGCAGACAGCAAATCCATCTCTCTAGAGTCCTGGGGTTCTCCATAGACAAGAAGTAAATCTTCTAAGAGAAAGCTTACACTTATTTGGAAGGCTACCTGGGATATTTCTTTTAAGTTAGTTTGTTCATGTTTTGGAAAGATTGTTCCAATGGCAACACGGGGAATGAAATATAGAAAGGATTCCATGATAAGGCAGAGTTATTAGGTGGCTCTTACAACAGTTCAAATGCAGCATGAGGCGCAACCAGAAAGGACAGAGAGAAAATGCATTTGAAAGAAATGCAAAATGAAGTCCACACAGACCCAGGATGGAAAAAAGGGTATTATGCATGATGGTGGTTTCTAGTTTGAAAGACCGATGAACAAGGACGTCATTAACTATTGCAAAGTGGTATCCGGGACCTGGGTGCACCAGTTTGTTTAACCATTCACCTGCTGAGTGGTGTCCGGGCTGTTTCCAGTTTCTGGCGTTTTATAAATAATGCTGCTATGAACAGATACATATGGCTTTTGTGTGAAGGTTAAGTCTTCATTTCTCTGGGATAACTGCCCATGAATGTGAGTGCTGCGTCCTATGGCAATTGCACATTTAGTTTTTTAAGAAACTGTCAAACTGTTTTCCAGAATGGCTGTGCCATCTTCCATTCCTGCCAGCCAAGTGTGAGTGATTCCGTTTCCCTGCATCCTCACCAGCATTTGGTTTTGTTATTACTTTTTATTTTAGCCATTCTGATAGGTGTATAGTGATGTGGCTTTAGCGTGCATTTTTCTGACGGCTAATGATGTTGAACATCTTTTCACTTGCTTATATGTTATCTGAAATGTCTCTTCATGTCTTTTACTCATTTTCAAAGTAGATGGTTTGGTTTTACTGCTAAATTTTGATAGTTCTTTATGTATTACAGATGTAAGTCCTTTATCAGACATGTGGCTTGCAATTAGTTTCTCCCAGTCTGTAGCTCCTCTTTTCATCTTTATTTTGCATTTTACATTTTAGTCCATGACCCATTTTGAGTTAATTTTTGTATGAGGTATGAGGTTTAGATCAGAGTTCAGGTTTTTTTTCTATGAATAATCAGGTAGACAGCAATTTTTTTTAAGAGACAAGGTCTCACTCTGTCACCCAGGCTGGAATGCAATGACAAGATCATAGCTCACTGCAGCCTTGACTCTTGGGCTCAAGTTATCCTCCTGCCTCAGCCTCCTGGAGTAGCTGGGACCACAGGCAGGTGGCACCATGCCCAGTTAATTTTTTTAGTTTTTGTAGAGATAGGATCTTGTGCCATGTTATCCAGGCTGGTCTGCAACTCCTAGGCTCAAGTCATCATCCCACTTATATGGGGCCAGGCACAGTGGCGCATGCCTGTAATCACAGCACTGTGGGAAGATGAAGCAGGAGAATCACTTGAACCCAGGAATTCCAGACCAGCCTGAGCAACACAGGGAGGCCCTGTCTCTGCAAAAAATTTTAAACATTAGCTAGGCATGGTGTTGCACACCTGTGGTCCCAGCTACTTGGGAGGCTGAGGTGGGAGGATCTCTTGAGCCTATGAGGCTGAGGCTGCAGTGAGCCATGATCGCACCACTACACTCCAGCCTGGGAGACAGTAAGACCCTGTCTCCAAAAAAAAAAAAAAAAAAAATGCTAGCGCATCACCCATATTAAAGATGGGTATTGTCTTTGTGAAACTTTAATTACAATTATATAATGGACATGTAAAATGTCCAGCTTGAAAGTTTGAAAAACATATAACTCTAAGTATCCTTACCTTAAAATTCTGATTCCTACCTAAGATATCACATACTGTTTACATAAGTATCACAATGCCTGGACAACAACTAAAAATGTGTAAGAGGAAGAAAATGAGCATGTATGCCTATTAATTAAGGTATATTTCCCACTTATTACATAAAAAAGTCATCACTGCAAACCCCTGTGACTGTATCTAAAGCAAGCCTAAAGTTTTACTTCTCTATATTATAAAATGCAAAGCTAAAATTCAAATACTACACATTTCCTGAAGCCAAGTTTAGTTAAAATAAATGCCTAGGGTCTATATCAAAAATATGAAAAAGCTAGCTGCTTCATAGCCATTCCAATCTAAGTTCAGCTTTTTCTAATTGACACATAATTGTATACTGTACATATGTAAGGGGTACATACAGTGATGTTATAATACATGTAATGTATGTGATCAGAGTAATTAGCATATCCACCATCTCAAACATTTATCATTTCTTTGTGTTGGTAACGTTCAATACCCTTCCTTCAAGTATCTGGAACTATATATTCTTTTTTTTTTTTTTGAGACAAAGTCACACTCTGTCGCCCAGGCTGGAGTGCAGTGGCGCGATCTCAGCTCACCGCAACCTCTGCTTCCCAGGTTCAAGCGATTCTCCTGCCTCAGCTTCCCTGGTAGCTGGGGTTACAGGCACCCACCACCACGCCCAGCTAATTTTTGTATTTTTAGTAGAGACGGGGTTTCGCCACGTTGGCCAGGCTGGTCTCTAACTCCTGACCTCAGGTGATCCACCCACCTCGGCCTCCCACAGTGCTGGGATTACAGGCATGAGCCACCGTGCCCAGCCTGAAACTATATATATTCTTGTTATCCACATAAGAGAACATGCGGTGTTTAACTTTCTGTCCCTGGCTTATTTCACATAATGTCCTCCAGTTCCACCCACGTTGCTGAGAATAACAGGACTTCATCCTGTGTTACGGCTGAATAGTACTCCACTGTGTATAAAGACCACATTTTCTCTATCCATCATGTGCTGCTGGACACCGAGGCTGATTCCATATCTTGGCTACGGTGAACAGCGCTGCAGGTAACACAGAGGTACAGATGCCCCTCCGACACTGATTTCCTTTTCTCTGGGTATCTACACAGTAGTGGGGCTGCTGGATCACACTGTGGTTTTATTTGTAGTTTTCTCAGGAACCTCCATACTGTTTTCCATAGTGGCTGCACTAGCTTACTCTTATTCTTTTTCTCTGAGACAGTCTCACTGTTGCCCAGGCTGGAGTACAGTGGCGCGATCTCAGCTCGCTCACTGTAGCCTCCACCTCCCAGGTTCCAGAGGTTCTCATACCTCAGCCTCCCAAGTAGCTGGGATTATGGGCGCCCACCACCACACCCAGCAAATTTTTGTATTTTTTAGTAGAGATGCGGTTTTACCACGTTGGCCAGGCTGGTCTTGAACTCCTGACCTCAAATGATCCGCCCACTTCAGCCTCCCAAAAGTGCTGGGATTACAGGCGTGATCCACCGACCCAGCTAATTTTTGTATTTTTAGTAGAGACAGGGTTTCACTATGTTGGCCAGGCTGGTTTCAAACTCCTGACATCCGGTGATCTGCCCGCCTCGGCCTCCCAAAGTGCTGGGATGTCAGTGTGCGCCCCCGCGCCCAGCCAGCTGCTCTAGTTTACATTCCCCCCTACGGTGCGTAAGAGTTCCCTTTTCTCCATATCCTCGCCAGCACTTGTTATTTTTTGTCTTCTCACTGTGGTTTTGATTTGCATTTCTCTGATTATGATACTGAGCATTTTTTTCCACATATTTTTTGGCCATTTGTACATCTTCTTTCAAGAAACGTCTGTTCGGTTGGGTGTGGTGACTCCAACCTGTAAGCCCAGGTACTCAGAACGCTGAGAAAGCAGGACTGCTTGAGCCTAGACCAGCCCAGGCAACAGAGCAAAACCCCATCTAAAAAAAAAAAGAAGAAGAAGAAGGAAAAAGAAATATCTGTGTCTGTTCAGCTTTTTGACCTCCAAAAGTTAAGAGCCCATTTTGGAACCAGACGACCTGCCTGATTCAGAGACAATCTGTGTTTAGTTCTATGCTGCTACTTTCTAATGTGACTTTGGGAAGGTCCCTTAACCACTTTGAGCTCAACTTCCTCAACATTAACCAGGAATAAGTACCACCTGCTTCTGCTGGTTAAGGCTGAGGACTGAAAGGAGAACCCCCACAAAACCACTTCACAAAGCCGCCCTGCGGCAAGCCCCTCAATGGAGAGTAGCTGGTATGATCATTTGAAACTAAGTACAACTTTCTTTCTCACTTTCCCAGGCTCACTCTACATACAATTAGCAAGGAATAGCGGATAAAGGAAACCAAAATAATTACTTAATTTTTAATAAGAATTTTTTTAAAAGTGGGGGTGGTGGAAAAATAGGAGGGAGAGGACGGGAAAGAAAAGCAGCCAGTCACAAGTTCTAGTCCAGGGCTCATCCCCGGCCTCCTCACTTACGCAATCACCAGTCCCCACCTGCTGGGGAGAGGCACTTCCTCGGCTGGCTTCACCCACCTGGAAGGCACTGCCTTAGGTGTTCAGATACCAGGAGCACCTTGAAATGGGCAATGTGCTTTGGGTAGGAGACCTGCAATTTCCCCAAAGAAACCACGGCACAAAAGTGACCCACAAAGGAGGTACCAACTGCTGTAAATACTTGGTGGCAAAAACCGATGTCGTGCCTTCTGTACAGGAGACACATACCCAAATAAAACTTGCCAAAATAGCAGAGAAAACAATACAGCAGACATCCAGTGCCATTCTGTTACAGAAATATTTATATCCCAAAGGCAGGGACCTCTCTGGGACACCGTCTTTATTTCCAAGTTTCATGGAGGATGTCTGATTGCACTCACTTGCGTCTCAAAAAGCTTCCAGCCCCTGCTCTAAACCCTGTGGCTCCTCAGCAAAACCCAAAAACAAGTATCAATTTTCCTTCCAAATGGGAAATTTCCTGACCCAGCGAAACCAGCATCAAGTCCACTTACTATGATAGCTGATTATACGTGAAGCCCTCTAGTCCCAGGATGACTCCCCTCCCCCTCCTGCAGGAGTGGGAAGGGTGGGCATAGCACTGGCCTTCCAGACCACACCTCCAGGCAGTTTGAAACCATGGCTGCTCAGGTGAGCCATGATAAAAATCAAAACCAAGCATCTCTGAAAAGTGTACATGTCAAGAACCAGACCTCGGACCAGACTCAGCAGAAAGGGATGTTGCAAGGTTTGTCCAGAGACCTCCTCTTCATGCCCTCTCTCCCTGGGACCTCCCTCCTTGCACTAGGGGCCCAGGGCCAGTGGACCACTCCCTTTACCTCTAGCCCAGTGCATTTTCAGGAACAGCTCCCGGACTGTACCAGACACTGAATGTATTCACTGAATGCACTATTTCTTGAAATGATCGTAAATCACCTGATTATAACAACTGTTTTAAAAGTGTTCTCTCTCTCTCTCTCAGGAATAGTGCCATGAGTTTGAGCAAGCAGCTTTGCTTCTCTCTACTGCAATTCTATCATTTGCAAAATGTTAACAATTACTGTGTTCACCCATAGCACTGTTGTAAAAAGCCTTAAGACTCATTTCATGTAGCCCGCCTGGCGCACAGACCCTGTCACATGGTAAATGCCCACTGAAGGTGAGTTATCTTTAGCTATCATTACCTAGCACTCCAGCGAACAAAAGGAGTCAATCAGGTCTCACTGTATCGTCATGAAAGGATATCCATGTAGACTGCTGAGTGGGGGTAGGGGGACTCAATGTTTATCAGTACTATTTTGTTTTTTACAAAGTGTACATATATATTTGTAGGTACACTGGAAAAGATCTGGAAGGAAATACACCCAGTGTTATTAGTGACTACCCCAAAGACACATTCATCCAAACACAAAAGAAACACACTCACTTTCTGTCTTCCATATCATTTGAACTATTTTTAATGAGCATCTATTGCTTTTGTAAAGTTTTTGAAAGGAATTTATTGCAATTTTTCTGGAGAAACAAGCAGATGCATGAAGAAGGCCGAAACAGAAGGTAAAATGGAATGAGCCTCAGAATCCAGGCCAGGCTCAGCATGCACATGAACCACGTACCTCTCACTACAACTCAACACCAGCTCTCTCTTCTCTTGGTCCAATGGCCCAAAACTTAGAGATAAAATGTCTATTGTGATCACATCAATCCCACCAAGGAGTTTGGAACCACCCTTCCAAACTCCTCTGGTTCTGTGTACCTGCCCGGGGCTATTAGCTTTCCTCCTGCGTCTTTCACTGCACTGCAATCCCCTAGAGGTGGAAACGCAACCTGACACTTAGTCATCATCCCCACAACACTCAGCACCGCAAAGAGACCAGGGCAGTGATGCCCACTCCGACTGTCATTCTACTTATAAAGCAAAGGACCACGGGATAGATGGGACTTGTCTTTGGTAACTCACCAGCTGTTGCTTGAACCAGAACAAAGCCAGGTCTCCTGATGCCCAGAAAAGAACTAGTGCACAGCCCCCTAGAAACATGGTGGAAATGTTTTGCTTGCTGTGAAAAGATGCACTACTGGAGAAGATGGGTGCAACTTCTCATGGAGCCACTCGGCCCAGATCACCAGGAAACCGGGCTGCCAGAAGAGACACTCGGCCCAGGTCACCAGGAAACAGGGCTGCTGCCGGATGAGACACTCGGCCCAGGTCACCAGGAAACAGGGCTGCCAGATGAGACATTCGGCCCAGGTCACCAGGAAACAGGGCTGTGGATGAGACACTCAGCCCAGGTCACCCGCAAACAGGGCTGCCGGAAGAGACACTCAGCCCAGGTCACCAGGAAACAGGGCTGCCGGATGAGACACTCGGCCCAGGTCACCCGCAAACAGGGCTGCCGGAAGAGACACTCGGCCCAGGTCACCCACAAACAGGGCTGCCGGATGAGACATTCGGCCCAGGTCACCCGCAAACAGGGCTGCCGGAAGAGACACTCGGCCCAGGTCACCAAGAAACAGGGCTGCCAGATGAGACACTCGGCCCAGATCACCCGCAAACAGGGCTGCCGGAAGAGACACTCGGCCCAGGTCACCAGGAAACAGGGCTGCCGGATGAGACACTCGGCCCAGGTCACCCGCAAACAGGGCTGCGGATAAGACACTCGGCCCAGGTCACCAGGAAACAGGGCTGTGGATGAGACACTCAGCCCAGGTCACCAAGAAACAGGGCTGCCAGAAGAGACACTCGGCCCAGGTCACCAGGAAACAGGGCTGTTGGAAGAGACACTCGGCCCAGGTCACCCGCAAACAGGGCTGAGACGCTCGGCCCAGGTCACCAGGAAACAGGGCTGCCGGAAGAGACACTCGGCCCAGGTCACCAGGAAACAGGGCTGCCGGATGAGACACTCGGCCCAGGTCACCAGGAAACAGGGCTGTTGGAAGAGACACTCGGCCCAGGTCACCAGGAAACAGGGCTGCGGATGAGACACTCGGCCCAGGTCACCAGGAAACAGGGCTGCCGGAAGAGACACTCGGCCCAGGTCACCAAGAAACAGGGCTGCCAGATGAGACACTAGGCCCAGATCACTAGAAAAACAGGGCTGCAGATGAGACACTCAGCCCGGCCCCCGGAAAGGGAATCTGACTGAGCAGTGGAGGGAAATTCACACAGATTATCCCGGCCCAACGGCGGCAACAACATCAACAAAACAAAAAATACCTGACTGGAAAGCCGAAGCCTGGCTAGCAAATGCAAAACAGAGCCACAATCCTAGCAGCACGCATCACTGCAACACAGAGCTTCAGTCAGCGTCTGTACACTTCAGGTAGAAATGTAAAATGTCTGTGTTTTTGGAACAAGGGGGCTATTTTTGTGGTGTGTGATGTGTCATTTTATATGGCTGAATGGAACCTGTGTTTTCATTAAACAGGTCCTACACAAACGTTTAGTAGAATCTAAGAAATGACATTTCTGAGCCGATTGAGTTCTTATCAGAACATACGAATATCCAGCCCTAAGAACAATAAACAAGCCATGTGCGAAAGAGCTTTGGGATTTTCTGTTTCACTGAATGAAACCTGCGGATTTTTTGTTTAGTCTTTTATTTTTTTTTAATTTTTAAGTTCTGGGGTACACGTGCAGGATGTGCAGGTTTGTTACATAGGTAAATGTGTGCCATGGTGGTTTGCTGCACCTATCAACCCATCACCTAGGTATTGAGCCCAGCCAGCATGCATTAGCTGTTTTTCCTAACACTCTCCCTCCCCTCGCCCCACCCCCAACAGGCCCCAGAGTGTGTTGTTCCCCTCCCTGTGTCCATGTGTTCTCATTGTTCAGCTCCCACTTATAAGTAAGAACACATGGTGTTTGGTTTTCCGTTTCTGCCTTAGTTTGCTGAGGATAATGGCTTCCAGCTCCATCCATGTCCCTGCAAAGGACATGATCTTGTTCCTTTTGATGGGTGAATAGTATTCCATGGTGTGTATGTACCACATTTTCTTTAGTCTATCATTGATGGGCGTTTGGGTTGATTCCCTGTCTTTGCTACTGTGAACAGTGCTGCAATGAACATACGCGTACATGTATCTTTGTAACATAATGACTTGTATTCCTTTGGATATATACCCGGTAATGGGATTGCTGAGTCAAATGGTATTTCTGGTTCTAGATCTTTGAGGAATCGCCACACTGTCTTCCACAACAGTTGAACTAATTTACATTCCCACCAACAGTATTTGAATTTGGCCATTTTGAATTGAATGGTGTTAATTCCTAGATCATAAATATATTTATATACACACACAATTCATATTCAACCCATATACTCTATCTGGAAAGTTTAACAATATCCAAATTATTGTGCGCTAACTTTTTGGATAAAATTTGTAACTTCTAATGCAAAGGTCCGTATTTGGGGTCATCTTTCTCTGGTGACGACAAAAACTAGTGGCCTTATGGGCAGTTTTTAATGCTGTAACTATAATAAATGAAAGAAGGAAAGATAATTATCAAGGAAGAGAGCTAACTGCTAAACTACACTTGCTTCCCCAATCTTCAAAGTTATACGGAAAATATAATTAACTAAACACAAAAGACATTCACAAGGTCAAAGGGTTACTAACAAAGCTACCAACCTTTCTCTTACCAAAGAAACTGCAATCCCTAAAAGACAAATAGCCTGGGCTTCTTCCTTCGAATCTCTATTTTGAAAGGTCTGAAAAGTCGAAAGACAATTTCGATATGTTTGAGACTAAAAAACAGAAATGTATATTGTTTCATAATCTAAACTGTTTACAGGTCTGTCCCAGACTCTCAAGAAAAAAATTCCCTAAACCTGAAAAATATCTTCTACAGAAAAGGTTTATAGGCTAGGAGAGGGACTAAATAGTACATAATTACAGTATTAACTTGTCAAAAGCTAAATATATAAACTATATATTATATATATTTTTGTAGGTATACCTATATATCCATAAATAAATAAATAAATATGGGTTTTTTTAATACCAGTTTGCCTCCAAAGAAAATGCATTTTCAAATTAGAAGACTAAATTCAGGTCCTGAGTGAACCACACATCCTATGAGACCAGGTAGATGACCTATCTAATCTCTCTCAGCTTCAGTTTCCTACCCTATAAAATGAGAGCAAAACTTTTTTTTTTTTTTTTTTTTGAGATGGAGTCTTGCTCTGTTGCCCAGGCTAGAGTGCAGTGGTGCACTCTTGGCTCACTGCAGCCTCTGCCTCCCAGGTTCTAGTGATTCTCCTGCCTCAGCCTCCTGGGTAGCTGGGATTACAGGCGCCCGCCACCACGCCTGGCTAATTTTTTTATTTTTAGCAGAGACAGGGGTTTCACCACGTTGGCCAGGCTGGTCTCAAACTCCTGACCTCAGGTGATCCGCCTGTCTCCGCCTCTCAAAGCGCTAGGATTACAGGCATGAGCCACCGCACCTGGCCACTTTTTTTTTAACCTATCTATTAGACTGACAAACAAAACATCTGAGAAGAAACTGTTGGCAAGGAAATAGAAATAGGCGCCCTTACACATTGACAGTGAGATAATGGTACAATCCTAACGGAAGGGAATCCAGCAATACCCATCAACATTTAAAATGCGCAGAACCTTGGATCCTACAATTCCATTTCTAGCAATGCATCCTATGCACATATTCACGCAAATATGCAAGAATTACATACAACTCAGCATTGATTAATCCAAACGGTTGGGAACAACCTAAATACTTAGCAATGGGGAACTGGTGGAGAACAGTGTTTATCTTATGCCAACATCTGTGTTTTTAAAAAGAAGACACATAGGCCGGGCGCGGTGGCTCACGCCTGTAATCCCAGCACTTTGGGAGGCTGAGGCAGGCGATCACGAGGCCAACAGATCGAGACCATCCTGGCCAACATGGTGAAACCCCGTCTCTACTAAAAATACAAAAATTATCTGGGCATGGTGGTGCATGCCTGTGGTCCCAGCTACTCGGGAGGCTGAGGCAGCAGAATCGCTTGAACCCAGGAAGCGGAGGTTGCAGTGAGCCAAGATCACGCCAGCCTGGCGACAGAGTGAGACTCCATCTTGGAAAAAAAAGAAAAAAAACTGGCAACAGTGGTCACAGGGCAATGATGGGAGTAGGACTTCCTTTCACTCTCCAGGACCTTTTGAATGTTGCTCCATCGCTCATATTACATATTCAAAATATACGACTATAGTACATATTTTCAATGTAACTATGAAAAAATGGGGGAATAATAATACCTAACACACAGGACTGCTGTGTAATTAAAGGACAAAAAACATTAAGTACTATCAGAGTTCAAAGGAAGAAAAATTAATTCTAGCTTGGATGTCAGAGCAGGGATCATGTAAAGGAAGTGAGTATTTCAAGTCTTGAAGGATGGAGAAGATTTAAGGAGGTAGAAGTGTGGAGATGATGTCCCAGATGGAGATAAGAACATAGGCGAAGAAGATGAAGAGACGAGAAAGTATAAATTCTAAGTGCAGCTCTCAGGCTGGGCTTCAGAACAGGGCTTAGGCAACAAGCTGGAGTGCAAGGTTGATGACAGGAATGGAAACACTGAAACCCAAACTTGCATATCATGCCCAGATCATGAGCCTTGAATGCCAAGCCGGGGAACCTGTCCTTGATCTTAACAATGAAAAATCACTGGGCCGGGTGCGGCGGCTCATGCCTGTAATCCCAGCGCTTTCAGAGGCTGAGGTGAGAGGACTGCTTGAGGCCAGGAGTTTGAAACCACTCTGGACAACACAGCAAGACCCTGTCCTTACAAAAAAATTTAAAAATTAGCTAGGCATGGTAGCACACCTGTAGTCCCAGCTACTCAGGAGCTACTCAGGAGGCTGGGGCAGGAGGATCACTTGAGCCCAGGAATTTAGGGTTACAGTGAGCTATGATGGCACTCCTGCATTCCAGCCTGAGCAACAGAGCAAGGACATGTCTCAAAAATAAAATAAAATGAGCAAAAAATCACTAAGAATTTGTATAGACATAAAGCAGAAAATCATACCATATATGATTTAATCCAGATATATAAGGTAAATGAGAGAGGGAAAAGAGAAATTAGGAAGCTATTATAAGAAGACAAGACTCAATTAAGACATAAGCAAAGGCCCTGGGCTCACAGCACTATCTTTATATAAAGGAATGGACTACCACATTTATTTTCATGGCATCACCAACTTAAATACAGGCTATAGTATTCTGGAACCATCTCTGTATCAGTCAGC
The DNA here is from genome assembly GCF_000001405.40 of Homo sapiens. Classification (NCBI taxonomy): domain Eukaryota; kingdom Metazoa; phylum Chordata; class Mammalia; order Primates; family Hominidae; genus Homo; species Homo sapiens. The sequence continues at coordinate 7,923,280 of NC_000004.12, forward strand.
TCAGATGGCCATAATACCATAGGCAAATACCATAGGCTGTGTGGCTTAAACGTTAGTTTATTTCCCACAGCTCTGGAGGCTGGAAGTCCAAGATCAAGGTGTCGGCCAACTCAGTTCCAGGACAAGGACCTCTTCCTGGCTTGCAGACAGCCACCTTTCTTCTTTTCCTCACACCAGGGCAGTAGGAGCTCTCTGCTTTCTCCTCTTCTTTTTTATTTGAGATGGAGTCTCGCTCTGTCACCAGGCTGGAGTACAGTGGCACGATCTTGGCTCACTGCAACCTCCGACTCCCTAGTTCAAGCAATTCTCCTGCCTCAGCCTCCCAAGTAGCTGGGATTACAGGCACATGCCACCACGCCCAACTAATTTTTGTATTTTTAGTAGAAACAGGGTTTCAGGATGGTCTCAATCTCCTGACCTTGTGATCTGCCCATCTCGGCCTCCCAAAGTGCTGGGATTACAGGTGTGAGCCACCGCACCCGGCCTGGTTTCTCTTCTTCTAAGGCCACTGATCCTGTCAGACCAGGGCCCACGCTCATGACCTCATCTAACCCTAATCACCTCCCAAAGGTCCCATCCCCTAATACCATCACACTGGGGGTGAGGGCTCCAGTACGAGAATCTGGGGGAGACATAAACATTCAGTTTATAACAATGTCTTTTCAATCCTGTTAAACAAACAACCAAATGAGCAGGAGAAAAGGTACCTTATATGCAAACAAGTCAGTACTTTTTATATTTCTGCTAACACATTAAGGTCAATTTAAAATGTCTGATAGCAAGAGTCAGAAGCAGAGATAAATGAAAGTTAGTGATGCTGCATTTTAGGCCCACATTTAGTTGTCTTTCAATGACATTGTGGCAGAAAGAATACTGCTTTCTATTCCTGGTTTTGCCACCAAAAAAGCTGGAACGTTTCCCTGTAGTTCCGTTTATCTTTAAAATCACTGGGCTGACCTAGCAAACCTCCAAGGTCCCTTCCATTCACAAATTCCACAAATAACTTCCTACCAACAAAGGTTACACAAATAAACTACACTGATGAAGTGGAAAAGCTAACACTAACAAACAATGAGATGCACAAAAGACAAGATGTATAGAGAACTGGATCAACCACATACTGGTGGACGATGAGCCAGCGGTGGATCAAAACAGATTCCCTAACGATGGACAGACAGGCAATGGCGCCTAGGTACTATTGTTGAAGATTTCCTATTTTAAATCTTCAAGATAAATGGCCCAGTTGTTTCTATTCACTCTGATTAAATGTGAACGTGAAAACTGCTTCCAGGGGACACAGACATCTAAAAAATTCCCAGTGTATCCAATTTGTCATTTGATATTTTTACTGACAAGAAAAATGAGGGACTGAATATCCAAACAGACCATGCCTGACCATGTGTATAAAGACAGAACTCAGACCACAACCTGCAGCTGCCCGCCCAGGACACCAACCCCCTATCTACAGTAAACAGCCAGGAGGCCAGCCAGGCTAGCACATCAGACAGGAAGCCAGACTCTTCTCTCTCGACAACCCAGAAAGCTAAATGACAACTCTGTCCCACGTGGCCAGGACTTGACTCAAAACCAACAGCCACCCTAATTTTGGCCCCTGTTTCCCAGTTAGGATCATTCAGAGAAAGCCAAATACGCCCCTAACCAATCACATAGGACACCCCACTTCTGCAGAGCCACCTCCAGCCCCCACAACAGCCTCCACCGGGAGCCGTTCTTTTCCATCCTGAAGCTTCCCCACTCCTCATCTGCCACTCACTTGCATGTGAGTCTCTGCCACATGCAAGTGACGACACCGACTCCCTTGCCACAGCAGCTCTGAGAAAGTCAACTCTGCCTGTCCTCATAGGGTCGGCCTTCCTTTATTTCCCCCAAAGAATAAGTCTTAAATGAGGGGCTTCTCTCTGTATGACCAAGCTATAGAATTCAGAAGCCCAGCGTGGCAGATTCCAAGCCTGGAGAGACCATATACCCCTCAGGTCCTCTTTCCACAAAACGCGGCTTCCTTGAGTTCTTCAGTCACTCCCCACCAACCAGGGAAGGAACCACATGTTATGGAAAGATCAAGGGCCTTGAAGTCAAACTTCTGAGTTCATCCAGTACTTCATCTTTCCACTTTAGCAATTACGTGGCCTTGGCTGGGCATGGTGGCTCACACCTGTAATCCCAGCACTTTGGGAGGCCGAGTCAGGTGGATTACCTGAGGTTGGGAGTTCAAGACCAGCCTGACCAACAAGGAAAAACCCCATTCTTACTAAAAATACAAAATTAGCTAGGCGTGGTGGCTCACGCCTGTAATCCCAGCACTTTGGGTGGCCGAGTCAGGCGGATTACCTGAGGTTGGGAGTTCAAGACCAGCCTGACCAACAAGGAAAACTCCGTCCCTACTAAAAATACAAAATTAGCCAGGCATGGTGGCGCATGCCTGTAATCCCAGCTACTTGGCAGGCTGAGGCAGGAGAATCGCTTGAACCTGGGAAGCAGAGGTTATGGTGAGTGGAGATCGTGCCCATGCACTCCAGCCTAGGCAATAAGAGCGAAACTCTGTCTCAAAAAAAAAAAGAAAGAAAGAAAGAAAGCAATGATGTGAACTTGAACAATTTTCTTAACTTCTCTAAGCCTCTATCTTCATCTTTAATAAAATAATTTTACCTCCAAGATTGCATTAAATGGAATCCCACATGTAAAATAGCTGACAAATATTAGCTGCCCAACAGCTGTGAGTTCCTACTGCCGCCCCACTTTACCCCGAGGGAGAAGCGCAAAATGTCGAGAAAAAGGCTGTTGATCCCTACACCTTAGCATCCTGTGTTCACACAAGGCGCAGTGGTATCCTGACTTACCGGGGTCACCCAAATACAAGATATGTTTTGATTTTTCAACTTAGGTACACATGGCTTCTAATGCTCACAATATATGATCCATAATTAAGAGGAGATTCTCCTACACTACCCCACAGTTCTATTTTAGCAGACTTACATGTGCCATAATATCTAACTCTCTTAAGCCCTCTTCAGCATCAAAAACAAAACTTTAATCCGTAACGCAGTTATCAGCAGTAAAAGTGGAAAAGGTACCTATGAGTCAAAATGAACCTCTGCCCTGCCCCACCCCATCCTACAAAAAGCTGTTCAGGAGTATTAGGGCTGGTTATGAGAATACTGTTTGTATTCCCAGGGACGGACAAATGCCTACCGTGGTTAGAAGACGCACTGCTCAGCCTCCAGGGTAGAAAGTTCCCCACACCCTCTACCCAAGGAGGAGAGAAGCAAATGGGGAGGCCAGGTTCCAGGACGTGGACTATTTAGAGTGTAGTTTCTGCAGTCCAGGACACTGCCATGGGTGAAGCTCTTCCTCCTTTTCCACCCAAGTGGCCAAGGTCCTATGGCTGCTGTAGGGCCTCTTCCCTAGAATGAGTCAGCCCAGCCATTCCCCTTCCCCTTCTTTCTTTTTATTTTTTGATACGGAGTCTCCCTGTGTCGCCCAAGCTGGAGTGCAGCAGCGCACTATTAGCTCACTGCAACCTCCGCCTCCTGGTTCAAGCGATTCTCCCGCCTCAGCCTCCCAAGTACCTGGGATTACAGGCCCCCGCCACCATGCCCAGCTAATTTTTGCATTTTTAGTAGAGAAGGGGTTTCAACTTGTTGGCCAGGCTGGTCTCAAACTCCCGACCTCAGGTGATCCACCTGCCTCGGCCTCCCAAAGTGCTGAGTCAGCTCAGGCATCCTGACCTTTTGTCCTGGCAAAATGACTCCCTTCCACGTCTACCTTCCAAGTAGCTAAATCAGAGATGTGGCCTTGGGGCAGGCTTGAAGAATCCCTGTTTTTGGTCCTCAAGAGGTCCTACCAGGGTTTGGGACAATTCCAAGACTTGTGTTCTTAAAGGGGAAAGAAACCTCACATACACAGCTCTAGCAGAGCTCAGGTGAGCCCATATCAGACGCAAGGCTTGGGAGGCAGCCCTAAGGTTTGGGTGTGCCATCTATGATAACAGCTAAGAGCTCCGAAGCCAGCTGTCCGGGTTCAAACCTCAATTCCAACAGCACTGGCTGTGTGATGTTGGACAACGTCCCCAGCCTCTCTGTGGTTCAGTTTCTTCGCTGTAAAAGGATCACAATAATAGAGCTGCTCTAAAAATTAAGTGAATTAGTGCATATAAGGCATTCAGAACAATGCCCGGCACATGGAGGAGTTCAACGGACACGTATTGAACACAGTAACTTAGCAATTAGTAAATACACTCACACAGGCCAGGCGCGGTGGCTCACGCCTGTAATTCCAAAACTTTGGGAGGCCGAGGCAGGAGGATCACTTGAGCCCAGGAGTTTAAGACCAGTGTGGGCAACACAGCAATATTCCATCTCTAAAAATTTGTTTGTGTAACATATATGTATATATACACTCATATATTCACAGTGTATTTATAATATACAAAATAGCTGGAATACAGACTTAACTATGCAGAATGGTTACTTCTAGAGAAGGGGGGATAAAAATTTCAGCTTTTTACCCCACACATATATTCTTGTATCATCTGAAATATTTAAGCCAATGTGTATGTATAAAGTTGCCCCAAACACATAGCAGAACAATGTAATTTTGGCTCAAAAATCTTCAAATCATGATGGAATTGTTCTGTGAAAGTCAAGTCATAGAGATGAAAAGCCTCCCTCCGGCCTAAATGCTCTTTCGTATGATCTATACTATACAAACCAATGCAGATACCCCAATCATGATAAGAATTTTCAGTCCCTTTACAAACTAGATGGTAGTTAGAGTTACTAGGCAAGAACATGGACCCAGTTCTGCTTCAAAGCCCAGTGTTCCTCACGTAATAGCAATGCATTCTTCAACCGGTGCCTTTGGCTAAATGTAAACTGCCCCAACCCCACTCCAGCACAGCCACCTGAGCTCTCTATTTTACACAACTCAATGAGGCCTGGGAGAAAGCAGGTGCAAATTTCACTTACTCAACAACAACAAATCCCACCTGATTCCTCCGCTGAGCTAGTTCTCAAGTCATCTTTTTCTAAGCTCTTTCATTCAGCTCTACCACACGTACCCAGGCTGGGTAAAATACTTTACTAGGTTTTGTTTTTTTGGTTTTTTTTGAGACAGTCTCTCTCTCTGTCGCCCAGGCTGGAGTGCAGTGACGCCATCTCGGCTCACTGCAACCTCCGCCTCCCGGGTTCAAGCGATTCTCCTGCTTCAGCCTCCCAAGTAGCTGGGACTACAGGCACGCACCACCACACCCAGCTAATTTTTGTGTTTTTAGTAAAGATGGGGTTTCACCATATTGGCCAGGCTGGTCTCAAACTCCTGACCTCATGATTCGCCCACCTTGGCCTCCCAAAGTGCTGGGATTACAGGCGTGAGCCACCACGCCTGGCCTACTTTACCAGTTTTATTCCTGAATTAAACCTGTTATTACTATCAATAATGTCAATCAGTGCCATTTCATTCACCATATGCCACACACATACAAAGCACTTCATACTCGTCCCACCTGTCTGCCCTCCTGCAATGGCCGCGGTGTTCCCCATCTTACATGAGGGGCACAGAGAAAGACAATGACTTCTCCAAGGTTCTGTAATTCACAGTCAGTGGCAGAGCCAGCATGCCCAGCCAGGTGTGGCCAAGGCCTGTGTTTCAGCCACAGCACCTGGTTGCTGCCCCTAAGGCTCAATGGGCAAGTAACAGATCACTCCGATCGCAGAGGCTTCGGAAATGCCTTCCACCGTGGTACCAAGGATGGTTTGCTCTCAGGAGAGGAGGCAGGGGTGGGAATCAGCACACAGTTCTGCTACATTTCTCATGCAGGGCACAGACTAAGTATTTTGTGCCTTGCTTTGCAGATGAAATGTCTCCTGCCCCCTGTACAACAGCTTTCTTTGTCCTCTCCACATAAAAGTACAACTGAGTTCCTCAGGAGCAGGCAGTGATCACTGCCCTGTGCCACAGCTGACTGATGTCCAAACAGGTGGACACACAGGCTCTTCTTTTATGGCCCAGGCTGCCCCCATCTGCCAAGCATCAAAAACTACACACAGAATTTGCAGAACATTAATGACATGGAGGTGACTGCTTTTCCTCTGTTGAAAATTTACTGCACTGTCCTAAAAAACAAAGAGAATTCAGGAAAAGCTGAACATTTGGGGCTGGCTGGCTGTAATCTTCAGCTGCTGAAAAAGCCTCAGCTGCTCGGTTCCACTGTGGAAATCCAACTCCTCCCTCAAAGTCCAACTCAAATACACCTCCTCTGTGATGCCTGCCCCCCTTCCTCCCTTCCAGAAGCATGTGCTCCCTCTGCACTCCCACGGTATTCTATCTGCACCTCTGGAGCCACACTGTCCCAGCCTACAGTCAGCTCAGTGCACAGCTGCCTCTTCCTGTGTGTACCTGCAGGCCCCACCTGGGCTGGAATGCTGCCTTCTTCACCACACAGAGGCGGCACTCAGGAACTACTGAATGAGGGAGGGAGTGGATGAGGAAGATCAGCCAAGGGCTACAGGGAGTGGCCTGCAACTCACAGCAGGAACAGCCCCTGCCCTGCCAATCCGGAGGTGCCGGCTCTGTTCTCAGCAGGACCGTTATAATAGCTTCAGGCCACAACGGTCAACTTGGTGTCAGGACCTAGACACACCAAAAATCCTAACAAATAAAGAGGCCATGTATGCAGCATGCTGGTTAAAAGCACAGGCTTCGGAGTCAGAGCTTGAATTCTTATTATGTGACCTTGAGCAAGTTACTCAATGCATCAATCTCATTTTGTCACCGGCAAAATGAGGACATTATCTGCCACACAGTGTTGCTGAAAAAGTAAGAGAGGTGACACACAAAGTGCTTGGCACTTACTTACTCTTATGGTTTATTACAAAGAATAGAACACGGGAACAGCCAAATGCAAGAGACGCACAGGGCACACCACGGGGCAGGGAGGTCGGGGCTCCCATGCCCCTGGGAGTGCCACCTCCCCAGCACCAAATGAGTTCGCCAAACCAGAAGCTCTCCAAACCCAATATTTAGAGGGTTTTATGGAGTTTTCATAACATAGACATGATTAAGTCATTGGCCACCGGTGGCTAGCTCAATCTCTCATTGGCCACCGGTGGCTAGCTCAATCTCCAGCCCATCTCGTCTCCCCTCCCCGGAGGTAGGGGTAGGGCTGGTATGTCCAACTCTTTAATCATACCTCGGTCTTTCTGGCAACCAGCCCTAATCCTGAACCTGTCTAGGGGCCCAAAGCCACCTGTCATCTCATTATCATACAAAAGACACTCCTATCACTCCAGAGATTCCAAAAGTCTTAGAAGCTCTTGTGTCAGGAATTGAAACCTAAGACCAAATATTATAACCAATGATGTTCCTATCAGGAAATTACAAGGGTTTTAGAAGCTCTGGGCCAAAAACCAGGATGAATACTAAATATATACACTATTGTACTATGTATCCCACTATCACAATAATTTTTTTTGAGACAGAGTCTACCTCTGTTGCCCAGGCTGGAGTGCAGTGGTGCAATCTCAGCTCACTGCAACCTCCACCTCCCAGGTTCAAGCAATTCTTGTGCCTCACCCTCCTGAGTAGCTGAGACTACAGGTGTGCAACACTACAACCGACTAATTTTTGTATTTTTTAGTAGAGACGAGGTTTCACTGTGTTGGCCAGGCTGGCCTCCAACTCCTGGCCTCAAGTGATCTGCCTGCCTCGGCCTCCCAAAAATCTGGGATAAGTCATGAGCTACCGTGCCTGGCCTCACTATCACAATAATTATACTGAGAGGATAGGGGAGAAAAACGTGGGCAACAGGAGGAGCGGGGAGGGTAAGCCACCTGAGTCCTTGTCTTCCACAGGACATCTCCCTGTCTTTCACACAATCTAGAAGAATGAGCTAAAACATAAACGCAGTAACCTCCAAGGAACAGGGATCAGGGTGGAAAAGGGTAAGGTAGGGAATTGCTGGGTTTTGTTCTAAGCCTTGTTAATTTCTGACTCTTAGAACTGTATGCCTGTACACCTTTGCTAAAAATGAGTATTTAATTTTTAAACAAAATCTGATACTTGACCAACAAGAATAGTATATTAAGTGATATGGTTTTTTGTTTTTGTTTTTCAGAGAGAGGGTCTTGCTCTGTTGCTCAGGCTGGAGTGCTGTGGTGCAATTGTAGCTTACTGCAGCCTCAAATTATTGGGATCAGGTGATCAACCTCCTGAGTAGCTAGAATCACAGGTGTGCACCACCACGCCCAGCATTTTTTTTTTTTTTTGGTAGAGGTGGAGGTCTCGCTATGTTGCCTAGGATGGTCTTGAACTGCTGACCTCAGTGGATCCTACTGCCTCAGCCTCCCTAAGTGCTGGGATTACGGGTGTGAGCCACCACACCAGGACCAAGTGGTGTGTTCTAAAATTTTCTGGAATGCAACCACTTTGAAAATGTATGGAGAGCTATAAATCATCTCCCCATAAACACACATGGATGCATATACACAAAATTTTTGCACAGGATTTTGAGGAGTTCATAAATTTCTGAAAGCCAGGTTAAAAACCTTAGGATTATAGATTCTGGTTTCTTTTTCTTTTTTTTGAGACGGAGTCTCACTTTGTCGCCCAGGCTGGAGTGCAGTGGCGCGATCTTGGCTCACTGCAAGCTCCACCTCCAGGGTCCACGCCATTCTCCTGCCTCAGCCTCCTGAGTAGCTGGGACTACAGGCACCCGCCACCATGCCCGGCTAATTTTTTGTATTTTTTAGTAGAGATGGGGTTTCACCATAACCAGGATGGTCTCGATCTCCTGACCTCGTGATCCACCCTCCTAGGCCTCCCAAAGTCTTGGATTACAGGTGTGAGCCACCACGCCTGGCCCTAGATTCTGGTTTCTTAAAGGAAATGTATTTCAAGTCAGAGCTTGTCATTTATTGCACAGGAAAAAAAACTTCATAAAAAAAAATCAAAAACACCCACATGATAAAACGAGGTCCTGCTTGGTTTTAAACTACTTGGTGACCACCATCAGTTGTTTTCTTGACCACAGGATGCACCTAATTCCTAACTATTAATAAAGGTACAAACATTGTTTATTGGGCTTTTTGCTTCAGCCTTGAAACAATCAGATTCTCTAAAACTCAGGAATGTGAATCGCTGTTGGGTTGATTCAGCTGTTTCCATTCTAGAAATGGACCTGGAATCATGTACTTTTCACCCCATGAAGAGTTCTTTGTGTAAAACTTGAAAAGGCAAGGTCCCAAATTCCCCATATGGGTGTTTCTTCCAATAGAGGAATTACTCTAATGACTTCTTAGCAAAACTTATGTAATCAGGGCAGGCCATCAAAATACTCCAAAACACAAAGTTTAGCTCCATTTCTGAAGGACCTGTCTCCACTGCTATAAACCTCACCAACAGCCTCACATCAAGTCAGAGGAACAGATTTTCCATTTAAGAAGGATCTTCATGGCAGTGGCTCACGCCTGTAATTCCAGCATTTTGGAAGGCCAAGGCCGGCAGATCATAAGGTCAGGAGTTTTTGACCAGCCTCGCCAACACAGTGAAACCCTGTCTCTACAAAAAATACAAAAATTAGCCAGGCTTGGTGGCACGTGCCTGTAGTCCCAGCTACTCAGGAGGCTGAGGCAGGAGAATCCCTTGAACCTGGGAGGTGGAAGTTGTGGTGAGCCGAGATCGCGCCACTGCACTCCAGCCTGGGCAACAGAGTGAGACTCCCTCTCAAAAAAAAAAAAAAAAAAAAAGGGGGGGGATCTTCACGTTCCTGACGATTTGCAAAAAAAAATTGGTATCTGTTAACCAGAGGCATTGAAAACCACCTCCCAGGCTGCTGTAGTAAGTGGATTGGTAACCGCGGTGGGAGATTCTAACCCCCGAGACCTGTGACTACGTCACACGGCATGGCCAAAGGGCTTTGCCACAGGCCTTAGGAAGAGTATCCTGGGCTAACCAGGGAGGTCCAATCTAATCCCATGAGCCTTTAAGAGCACAGAACTGGCCGAGCACGGTGGCTCACGCCTGTAATCACAGCACTTTGGGAGGCCAAGTTGGGCCGATCACGAGGTCAAGAGATCGAGACCATCCTGGCCAACATGGTGAAACCCCATCTCTACTAAAAATACAAAAATTAGTCGGGCACAGTGGCAAGCACCTGTAATCCCAGCTACTCAGGAGGCTGAGGCAGGAGAATCACTTGAACCCCAGAGGCAGACGTTGCAGTGAGCTGTGATCACACCACTGCACTCCAGCCTGGGCAACAGTGCGAGACTCCGTCTCAAAAAAAATATTTAAAAAAAGGGTATAGAACTTTCTCTGAGTGAAGAAGAGAAATGCGCCCAGGGGAATTGGAGGGCCTGACCAGGTCCCTGGCCTAGCTAGTCCTGAGCTGATGGGACCACATGCAAAGACCAGATAGAGGCCTCAGGAGCTGAGGACAGCCCCCAACAGATGGCCAGCAAGGGGACACCTCAGTCCTGCAACCACAAGGAACTATATTTGGCCAAAAGTGCTTGGAAACAATTCTCCAGTGAGGAATGCAGCCCAGCCCACATGGTGATTTTTGCCCAGTGACACCCACGTCAGACTTCTACCCCACAGAACTGTGAGATGATACAATTTCAATTATTTTAAGCCACTAAATTTGTGGAAATGTGTTAAAGCAGCAACAGAAATGAATATAGTGATTTACGTGGAAATCCCTAGCGGAGTGTCTGGCACGGTGTTGACATCTGACAAGCGTTTCCTGATTTCCTTACATCCAAAGGCAGGGCTGGCCACACTCCATCCAAAACAACAGATGATAGACTTGTTCTGACAGAACAGATACAGTGAATTATAAATGGCCCAGAACACCTACAAATTTTAGGTTTCAGGTAAGTGATTGCCTTTCCTTTCACTTAGAAACCTCCCAATGCTTGTCTTACTGATAAGCTCTAAGTACCACACAGAAGACTAAACACCAGACTAACCCGGCTCCAGATGCCCCGAGGGAGCCCAACCCAGCACTCACTCTGCTGCACTGAAATGATGTCCAGGTCGGTTTTTCCCACTGGACCACGAACTCCAGCTCTCCACGTGTGAGTCACGAGTCCCACTTCTGCATCTCTGCTTCTAGAACGGTGCCCCTGCACTTCACAGGAAATCTGTATCCGTGTTTGTCAACACTATATATGACAGTATAACTTAGTATGTGCACAGAAAACATAAATTCTTCGAGGACCAGGGCCGGGTTTATTAGCCTTTGTACTCCCACTACCACTGTCTGGGATATCAGGGGCACTCAGGAGAAGTTGGTGACGAGAAAGAAAAGGCAGAGGAGAGAGAGGAAAGCAGGCCCGACACCGCACACACAGCTTCTGAGGTGGCTGGAGGAGAGGCAGGTGCAGAGAAACTTCCTGGGTGCTGGACTGGGGTTCACTGTGATGCTGCTGCTGGATTTCAAATGTCAAAATGTGATGCTTTGCTGACCTTGACCTCTGACTGCCCTTTAGTTTTCCCAGCCTCAAGACAGGGCACTTAGAAACTGCAATGTCAAGAAATTACGCTTCGCTAAAGCATGGGAATGCTATTTACGTGGACATTCATTACTTCATTTTTTACACGGGAATGTAAATAATTGAAGAGATTGTTAAAGACTAAATCATGCACATTCAATACCTTTGCAAAATATTAATGATAACTGAAACACAAATTTGATGTTCCCCAAAAATGCTAAAATATAAAACAATACTGGCCAATTAAAGATAGAAAAAACCCTAATCAAGCTCCCCAACAGACACATTAAGACTTCTCTGTACATTAAACATTTGGGATTTCAAAGGAAAACTCAGATTCATTCCATTCTTAATGGGTTTTTTTTTAAATCTTAGGTAATACAATATTTTATTTAAAATTTACAAAATTCCATTACATTCATGATTTCATTTGATCCTCAAAACAATCTCCTGAGTTAGGCAGAACAGGTGTTACTAGCAATTAACTCCATTTTACAGGTAAGGGAACTGAAGTTCAGAAAAGTACTTGGACTTAACAAAAGCTTTAGTAGGGCCACATATCGAATTCCAGTCCTCTGCTAAAAAGAACTAAAGTTATCTTTCACATTTTATTCATACTTATATCCTGTCAATATCCAAAACTGTTTTGAGGTAGCCTGAAATAATAGACACCTATACAATAAAAACATTAAAATGAAAAACAGAAAATAAAACAGCAGGTGACATGGGAGAGAGAGGAAGGTAGACAGCAAAGACTTGAGACTTATAATCTAAGAAAACTTCATCTCTGACCTTCCAGTTCCAGGCAGATAATACTAAAGGGAACAAGATGGCTTACAGACTCATAAGCTGACAAAAGAGAAGTCGCATCAGTCCTTACTATGAAACACTCCTAGCAGCCACAGCAAATCTCTAGGATACAATACCAATGGCATCAAAGCAAGGGTATACTTCAGTGATAGAGCGAATTAAGTTCCCTGTTTGGGACCCCGGCCAGGGCTAGAGAAAAGAACTCTGAAATGCAGAGCTCAAAAATATATCCTCTGTGTTCTCCATACCCATGCATCCCCTCCCTTTCATTTAATCCACATAAAAATCAAGCCTGCTGTAAATGAAAAACACCTCGACACAGAAGCAGAATTAACTAGTTAAGTTTTATTAAAACATTAATAAAATCTAGAAAACCATAAAGAAAATCTGGTCGCGTTTTGAAGCCCTCTCCTAAGATCACATTCCCCAAAAGAACAAAGTACATGGAGCATATAACAAAGAACTTTTCCTAAATTAAGAATGCAAATCAAAATACAGGCAAAATCCTACTGAGTGAAGCAAAAATTGTAATTCAGTAGCTCACGACTTGACCAAATGGCTATTTTTAATCCCTATAATCATCCAAATAACTAGGAATAGCAGAGAAAATTGTGTCTCCTTTCTACAGAGACACGTGGCTTTAACAAACTCAGGCACATCCAATTCCCACCTTACCAAACAGATAAATTGGAAAGGAGCTTAATATTTTATTTTTAAACTATTTATTTACCTTTTTATTTTTTACAGAAAGGGTTTCACTCCGTCACCCAGACTGGAGTGCAGTAGCATGATTATAGCTCACTGCAGTCTCTAATCTTGGGCTCAAGTGATCCTCCTACCTCAGTCTCCCAAAGTGCTGGCATTACAGGTGTAAACCACAGCACCTGGCCTTACTGTTTGAAAGAATTAATTACCATATTCCTTAGAACTATAGCTCCTCTATAGGTCATTCAACATGTGATGCAATTTTTTACAAGCGGTAATTTTTTTTTTTTTTTTTGAGATGGAGTCTCACTCTGTCACCCAGGCTGGAGTGCAGTGGTACAATATCGGCTCACTGCAATCTCTGCCTCCCAGGTTCAAGTAATTCTCCTGCCTCAGCTTCCCGAGTAGCTGGGACAACAGGCATGTGCCACCACACCCGGCTAACTTTTTGTATTTTTAGTGGAGATAGGGTTTCACCGTGTTAGCCAGGATGGTCTCCATCTTCTAACCTCGTGATCTGCCTGCCTCGGCCTCCCAAAGTGTTGGGATTACAGGCGTGAGCCACCACACCTGGCCACAAGTGGTAATTTTAAACTAGGCTTCAAACCATTACACAAAGCCAAGTACATCTACTCAAGGCACTCTCAAAATTCCATTTACTCCCATTTTACTCTCCAAAATAAAATGTTAGGTTGAAACATACTTCACATGACACTTAAAAGATCAACAAAATGCTCCTGAAAAAAAGATCTGAGCTCAACAACTCCATTAATGAGAAAAAAACAAACCAATTGGATATAGTGAAGATGTTGCACATAAAACAATTATGAAGAATATGAAAGATATTGCCAAAAAGTTGCTTAAGGTTTCATCATAGATACTTGTCCTTAACTCTGAGATAAAGTATATACACATGTAACTCAACTTGTTTAAAAGGAAAAAAAGGGGAAGAAGAAAAGAAACTTCCACTTTAGAATCCACATTTTCAAAGGCTTCCGTTATTTACACCATTGCTGGTAAGAGAATTTTTCTCTACTATATTTGCTTGAAAGAATTAAAGGTGTAGGGCTGAAAAGATTCTTAGAAATTATGTAGTTTACGATCCTCAAAGGTGAGAAAAATGAAGCCCAGAAGAGAAGGCCTTCCAGGAAAATTCCAGAGCCGGACGTAGACCCAGTACATTGTTTCTGTTTTTATTTTGAGACGAAGTCTTACTCTATCGCCCAGGCTGGAGTGCAGTGGAGTTATTTCAACTCACTGCAACCTCCGCCTCCTGGGTTCAAGCTATTCTCCTGCCTCAGCCTCATGAGTAGCTGCGATTACAGGCACCCACCACCATGCCCGGCTAATTTTTGTATTTTTAGTAGAGACGGGGTTTCACCATGTTGGCCAGGCTGGTCTCGAACTCCTGACCTCAAATGATCCGCCTGCCTCGACCTCCCAAAGTTCTGGGATTACAGGCGTGAGCCACCGCGCCCGGCCGACCTGCTAAGTTTTAATCAAGTACTCTGCACTATGCAACAAACATTAGGAAGTAATAGAAAAAGATTAATCTAAAAACCCTCTGGAGAGTCAAAGAATTGCAGATTTAAAATAGCATGAATACTTGGATTCATGGTATTGAAAAAGGAGCTCGCATTTACCCGCATGCACAAACTGCGCCTGCCCACCTCTATCAGAGCATTTTTCAAGCTGTGCTACAGTTAACCATGTATTACCCAAAGCCAATCTGTCCTGGCAGATCATAAGCTCTTAAAGACCAGGACTTCAGGAGAACAAGCAAAGCTTCAGAGAGAAGGGAGCCACCTCAACAGAGTCCATAGCAATGGGTCGGCATGAGCTGATGACTGGAGGTGCGGCGTAGAGTGGGGGTCTGGGGCAGCGGAGGGCAGAGAAAGCAAAAGGGCCCGCATGACACGCTAGAGGGCTAGGAGCCACAGCTGCGGTAATTAGCTCAGTTTTGTCTTGTATGCCTGTTACTTAAACACCATCTCTTGTTCAGAAAGAACTTCAGGTTGGGTATTTGGACTCCTTGAGCCTTCTGCTGTTTGTCTCCGGGATCTTTAACTCTCCTAAAAGGGGAAAACTGTCCAGTTCGATTTTGCTTCCTGGGACATAACAGGTTTTTCAAAAGTTTGATGAAAGCATTCACTAAGGAGTGATTCCACTTTCTTTGGTGGCTGAGAAATACAGCGTCTGAGGGGCAGCATCAGGTCTTCCCATCAAGCTGAGGTCGGAGTCTCCCCACCCACGGACCTCACCCTCGCTCTCCCCTCATAAATCTGACCTCTAACTGTAACTGCCTTGGCCTCATTCCGTGGGTGTGGATGCTCCTGCTTGAAACGCATTTTCCAGCCCGCCAAATTCTTGGGAGAGTTTCTTCCACTCTCCAGGCGCTGAGAGCTACAAAGTTCAATCTGGCTTTCCAGATTTTTTTTTTCTTCCCATTACTAACGGAAGAAATCAAGAAGCTCCGGGCAGTAGGGCCCTGCTCCCTCCAATCAGAGCCCAGCCCGGGGCCAGAGCAGGAAGCGCGGCGGTGGGACGCGCGGTGACAGCCCCGCGCCCCCCGGGGCCCGCCGGCCAGGGGAGAGGACGGTGCGGCCGCTGCGCGACAGCTCCGGGCCCGCGCCTCTCGCTTCCACCCGCCGGGCAGGTGAGAGGATAAATCACGGGGCGGGGCAGTGCGCCCCCACCAACCGCGCCCCCCGCGCACGGACCCCCATTACACTCGCGTCCCAGGCGGGGTCGACCCAGACGAGCCACGGGGCGGCGCAGAGCCCCACTCGCAGGGCGGCCGGGACCCACGCGCGTGGGTCCACGCAACAACCTATAGGTGACAAAACACTCAGGAAGCCGTCATGCGGGGCCAAGAAAGAGCCCCCATCCAGAGTCACGGACCCCCTCGTCCGAGGGTCCGCGCAGTCCCCTCGGTAAGTCGGACGAAGCAGTCTCGCTACGGGGGAGGGCGGCGGAGCCTCCCACTCTTGGTGACCCGGACCCCGCCCCACGAGTGGGTCTTCGCAGGGCCCCCTCTGACGCACACGGGGACCAGCCACGCCGCGGGGGCACCGGGCAGGAGCCAGCGCCCGGGTCCACGCAGTCCCCTCCGGGCAGACGCGGGGAGCTGGGGAGCAGTGGGGACCGGCCCCCACCCGCAGGACGACCGGGACCCCCGCGCGGGCCCACGCGGCGTCGCAGCAGGCGCGGAGCCCCCGGTACCACCCGAGGCCGAGACAAAGCCCAGGCGCACGGACCCCGGACCCTGCGGAGCCCCGCTCGGAGCTTCCACGCCCGGGGCAGAGACCCCCGCCGGGTCCGGAGACCCTGCCGCCAGTCGCGCCGTCTCACCTCAGGCCGCCACCTCGCAGCGCTCGCTCCTCGCCGCGGCGCCTGGGCCGACTGGAGCGCAGCTGAACAGCCGACAGAGCCGCAGCCGCCTTAACAATGGAGCCCCGGGGCGGGGCCGCCGCCGCCGCCTCAGCCCGTGTACCCCGCTCGAGATCCGGCTCGGCTCGCGGAGCTGCAGCCGGCGTGGGGCTGCGGCCGGGACAGACACCACGCAGGCGCACACGGCCCCGCCCGCCGCCCGCCGTCCCGCCCCCAGCGGAGCCGGGCGCCCAGGGCCCGCCCCCCGGCCAATGGGAAGCGAGCTGCGCGGAGTGGGCGGGGCCTGAGGGAACAAAGGGAGGTTGGGCGGGGCGGTGCTGGGACTGGGCTTGCGGGGTCCCGCGGGAGGACCCGCCTCAAAGAGCCGGCCCGATCATCGCCTCCTAGAATACCCAGCTCAACGTCTACCTGGAGTCGGCTCTACAGGACGCGCTCATCTCAAACCCAGAGCTCAGGCTTTTAGGGCAGAGAGCGAGAGAAAGGCTTGCTTTACAGAAAGGGAAACTGAGGTCCAAGGAATAGGATTGCCTGCCGCTCGAAGAAACGTAATCCCATTCACTCGTTCATCTTGTAGTCATTCAGCAAACATTTGGAAGCACGTATGGCGGGCGTTAGGAGTGAAGTAGGGCCGGGCACGGTGGCTCACACCTGTAATCCCAGCACTTTGGGAGGCCGAGGCAGGTGGATCACTTGAGGTCAGGAGTTCGAAACCAGCCTGGCCAACAAGATGAAACCCCGTCTCTACTAAAAATACAAAAACTTTGCCGATTGTGGTGGCGCGTACCTGTAGTCCCAGCTACTGGGGAGGCTGAGGCAGGAGAATCGCTTGAACCCAGGAGGTGGAGGTTGCAGTGAGCCGAGATCGTGCCACTGCGTGCACTCCAGCCTGGGCGACAGAGTGAGACTCTGTCTCCAAAAAAAAAATTTTTTTTTAAAGATGTGAAGTAGAAGCGAACTTAGGCCCTCCCTGAAGGAGCTCGGCCAAGGAGTACCTGAGATGTCTCTGCATCTCTTTAAGGCCTGATAAAGGAACCAGGAGCAAGCAAGCACTAATCACTTCGCTTTCCTGCCTCAGAGCTTTCACGTGTTTGCTGTTCCCCACCTGAAATGCCAAGTACCAATGTATTTATTTATTTCTAGAAATGGGGTCTCCCTATGTTGCCCAGGCTGGTCTCAAACTCCTGGCCTCAAGCTATCGTCTCATCTCAGCCTCTCAAAGTGTTGGGATTACAGGCATGAACTACTGTCCCCAACCCTGATCATCTTTAAAACCTCTTTCCTCATCTTATTTGAGCTTCCTGCATCATGTGACCCCCACACACTTGGTTTTTCTGTACCTCCATAGCTGCTCCTCTGTGGGTCCCAGGGACCCACCCCCTTCTCTGCCCAACTTGTACATGTCTGGGCTCAGGCCAAATGCCCTTCCATTCACAGTGGGCACTGCTACAGGAAATCTCATGCCCTTCTGGGCTTCACAAACCATCCACATGCTCTGCTGCCTGCCAGAGACATCCATCCAAGTCAGATGCCCAGCCCTGACCTCTCCCAAAGGCCTAGCTGGACACCAGGGAGGCATCTCAAATTTTCTGCGGGCCAAAACAGAGTGCTTTATCAGTGCCCCAACCTGCTCATCCACATTCTTGTGATTCTCAGTAAACAGCCCCTCCATCCACCTAGCTGCTCAGGTGAAAATCTCAAATCCTCCTCCAGTCCTTCCTCCCCAAACCTCTCACGCAGCCCTCTGCCTTCCTAGGACGCTGAGCACCCCTCACTCCCAGCGCCAGCTGGGGTGCTGTCTGAGTGGCTGCCTCCCACTTGGCATGAAGTGTGACCTCTTGCCCAGTGCAGTGACTCACGCCTGTAATCCCAGCACTTTGGGAGGCCAAGGGGGGCAGATCACTTGAGGCCAGGAGTCTGGGACCAGCCTGGCCAATATGGTGAAACTAAAATACAACAATTAGCCAGGCATGGTAACACGTGCCTATAATCCCAGCTACCCAGGAGGCTGAGGCAGGAAAATTGCTTGAACCTAGGAGGCGGAGGTTGCAGTGAGCCAAAGTCACGCCGCTGCACTCCAGCCTGGGCAACAGAGCGAGACTCTATCACAAGTTAAAAAAAAAAAAAGAAGTGTGACCTCTCTAAGGCAAGGCAGTGTCCCACTCTGATTCACTTCCATGTGCAAAACAGGACCTGCGCCCTGAAGGCACTCACTCAGGGATGCTGCTGGGATGGGTGGATGCACAGGTGAGGTCTTGATGATGGCTGGGGCTGACCCTATCCCCATCTCCCTTCCCACACACACCTGCACACTCACTCACTTGCACACTCGCACCCACCACTGAAAGCCTGGCCCCTAATCTGATTTGCCTAACAAGGTCCCCCGATGAACATCACATGCTTCCCTACCTCTCCCCAGCTAGGGCCCCACTGTGTTCTGGGATGTACTCAGGGATCAGGAGAACACAACCTCAGGGAGTGAAAGGACATTCCAGGGTGCAGGCCTCTGCATCCCCCTCCATGCCCTCACCGCTGCCTAACACACCCTCACCCCTGTACCTGGCCAGCTCCTACCAACCCTTAAAGTCTCACCAAGTTCAGTGGTGGCAGCCACACCCTAAAGTGACTAACCCCCCCAGTGACCGATGACCTATGCCCTTGCATAATCTTCCTGACCTTGGGTATGAGCAGAACCTGTGACTGGCTTCTAACCCACAGAGCCTCTGGCAAAAGCAATGGATGTCACTGTCACAGTGCATCACCTTTGCACACTAGAGAGAGAGGTTCCACCTGCAGGCCCTGCAGGAGGGAGATGCCATGCTGAGAAAGGACCTTTGGAGGGGCCCCGTAAGCAAGGAAGCAAAAAGCTGGGCCCTTGCCAAGCGGGTCCAAGGAAATGAATTCTGCCAATAACCTCAGTGGACCTGGAAATGGATTCTGCCCTGGTTGAGCCTCAGATGAGGATGTAGCCCAGCTCCTTAGCGTGAGACCCCAAGCAGAGGACCTGCTAAAATGTGCTCAACTCCTCGCTTGCCAAAACTGGGTTAAATGTGTGTGTTGTTTTAAGCTTCTAAGTTTTTAGTTATTGCCTATGAAAGTGTTAAAATATAAGACAATAACGTAGGTCCCCTCCCCATCACACACTTTCTTCTTTCTGGCATTCATCACAACTATACTTATTGATTTAAAATCTGCCTCTTGGCTGGGCATGGTGGCTCAGGAGTTCCAGACCAGCCTGGCCAACATGTTGAAACCCCATCTCTACTAAAAATACAAAAATTAGCTAGGCATGGTGGTGCATGCCTGTAATCCCAGCTACTCGAGAGGCCGAGGCAGGAGAATTACTTGAACCTAGGAGGCAGAGGTTGCAGTGAGCCAAGATTGCACCATTGCACTCCAGCCTGAGTAACAAGAACAAAACTTTGTCTCCAAAAAAAAAAAAAAATTGTCTCTTGCATGAAGGCCCCATGAGAAGAAAAATGAAAACTCTTACTCATAACAGTGCCCCAAATGCCCAGCACAGTGAAGTTCTAGGGCAGTTGGTCGATGGTGGATGCTGCTGGTTGGAGGGCCCAACTGGCCCTGCCAGCTGCCTTCTCCCTGGTCACGTTCCATTATAGAGAACAGAATAGTTTCTTGCCTTTCCAGAGTTCCTCTTAGTGGGGATTGGCCAAGCAACATTGTCCTGCCCAGGGAGATATAAGTGGAAGTTGGCTGACAGGTTTCTAGCCGTGGTGTGCTGGGGCTGTTTGAACCAGAACATGAGAGCTGACCGTCCATTGTTCGGGAATTCTGCGAGTTGGTGTTCAACACATTCAGTACTTAAAAATATTAAATAATATAAACTTGCAAATTAAAAAATGCATTAGACCGGGTGCAGTGGCCCACGTATGTAATCCCAACACATTGGAAGGCTGAGGCAGGAAGATCACTTGAGCCCAGGAGTTCAAGACCAGCCTAGGCAAAAAAGGAAGACGCTGTCTCTACAAAAAATTTTAAAATTAGCTAGGCGTGGTGGTGTGTGCGTGCAATCCTAGCCACTCAGGAGGCTGAGGTGGGAGGATCGCTTGAGCCATCTGTTCAAGGCTCCAATGAGCTATGATAGTGCCACTGCACTCCAACCTGGGTGACAGAGCCAGACCCTGTCTCAGAAATAAATAAACATATTTTATATATTAATAAATATATAATAAATATATATTAATATATACATTTATGTATATAATTATATATTTATACATAAATATGTATTTTTATTTATTTATTTATTTATTTATTTATTTCAAGATGAAGTTTCACTCTTGTTGCCCAGGCTGGAGTGCAATGACGTGATCTGGGCTCACCACAACCTCCACCTCCCAGGTTCAAGTGATTTTCCTGCCTCAGTCTCTTCAGTAGCTGGGATTACAGGCTTGCACCACCACACCTGGCTAATTTTGTATTTTTAGTAGAGATGGGGTTTCTCCATGTTGGTCAGGCTGGTCTCAAGCGCCCGACCTCAGGTGATCTGCCCACCTCGGCCTCCCAAAGTGCTGGGATTACAGGTGTAAGCCACTGTGCCCAGCCTATGTTAGATATTTATATAATTATATATATTAATTTTATAAAATTATATATTAATTTTATATAATTAAATGTAAATATAAATATAAAACAAAGATAATAAATCATCAAAATGCATTATTTCCTGATTGTTTTACTCTTACTATGTTCTTAAAGATTTGCATCTCCCGCGTCAGTAGGTGGAAATCCTAAATCATGGTGTGCTGCTGACTTCTCTCTCCAACGCCGTAGTCAGCAATGTCATGGTGGTAGCTTGAAATCAGACATAGTAGGGGAACTTATAAAGAAATTGGCAACTGTTAAAAATCAGGACTTTCCCTCTCCCTCCTCTCCCCCAAAATACCAGCACACCCCTGATTTTGAGGGAAGTTTTTGCTCTCTTGGAAAAGGAAAAGACACAGCAGACGCTGTCTTTTTCTCAGCAGCAGGGATTATGATCATGAACATGGGTGTGATATCTGCAGCTATAGTGGCCATTGTGCAGCCATCTCCTACACTACAGGCAAGAGAATCAGAGAGATACTGAACCTTGCACTATTGACCCAGTGAAACAACACCAGCAATCACCTACCCCCAGATTCTCTGTTAGGTAGAAAAAACAAATCCCTTTTTATCGAAGCCTCTGGTCATAAATTCTACACTTACAGGATTCTGTAACTGAAGCATGTAGAATTAATATTTGTTGAATTAGTAAATGAATAAACTCGGCCTGATTCTTGAACACATACTTGGAAACTTCTCACAACATTCCTGCTGAGACATCCAGGCCTATGTCTACTAGCAAGAAGCTAACCACCCAATGAACCAGTCCAGGCACAGTATGACAGCTCTGATTAGCAGGAAATTTTTCCGCTTATGAAACTGACATTTTCTTTTTCTGTCTTTTTTTTTTTTTTTTTTGAGACAAGGTCTCACTGTGTTGCTCAGGCTGGAGTGCAGTGGTATGAATATGGATCGCTGCAGCCTTGATCTCCCAGGCTCAAGCAATATTCCTACCTTAGCCTCCTGAGTAGCTGGGACTACAGGTGCCTGCCACCAAGCCCGGTTAATTTTTTTTTGTTTTTATTTTTTTGTAGAGATAGGGTCTTGCCATGTTGCCCAGGCTGGCCTCAAACTCCTGAGCTCAAGCAATCCTCCTGCCTCAGCCTCCCAAAGTGTTGGGATTATAGGTGTGAGCTACCATGCCCAGCTGAAACTGAAATTTTCTGATCTCTTGGGACCTCAGAAAATAAGTCAAACCCTTCTTTTCCACCGTAGCCCTTCTGATGTAAAGAGAGTTTTTGTTCTCTGGAAAAACAAATCAGGGTTTATTGATCCAAGAGTTGGACCAACCCAGTTCATGGAAACTCCTGACCTAGTTTGATACTATGAAGGACTAGTTGCTGGAATGAGTGACCAACTGGAGACTTCTTCCCAGGCTTTTCCATTAACACATCTGTTGAGGAAAAAAAATAATCACAAACTATTTATATGCCAAAGAAAGCTTCATTTCCATGACACCTTTGTTGCAGTCCTTTTTGAGGGAGCAAAGCTCGCCTTTGGCACCTGGGCACCTGGTGGAGATTCTGGGCCCAGTTTAGGATGTGCTGTCAGTTTGCCAGTGCAATCAGAGCTCGCAAGGCTGCTGCATGCATTATCGATAACTAATCAATAACCACAGTTATCAATAATTGCGTTAGTATCGATAATGCATGCAGCAGCCTTGCGAACTTTTATTGCCCCACCCCACCTAAAGGCTTAAAACAACTCACATTTATTATCTCATAGTTTCTGTGGATCAGAAGCTTAACCGGGTGCCTGTGGCTTAAGATTTCTCCCAAGGCTGCAATCAATCCATGAGCTGGGGATGCGGTCCCATGAAAAGTCTGGACTCAGAGGAATGTTTCCAAGCTCATTCGCGTGGCTGTACGCAGGCCATATTTTCTCACCAGCTGCTGGCCTTCTTCCATTGCTGGATTACTCCAATCTCGCATTGCTAGGAAGAAATAACTGATGCGGGGTCACTTCCAAGAGAAGAGGTTTAATTGGCTCCTAGCTCTGCAGTCTGTACAGGAAGCAAAGCAGCATCTGCTTTTGGGGAGAGCTTAGGCGGCTTCCAATTATGGTGGTAGGTAAAGGGGGAGCAGTCACATCACAGGATGAAAGCAGGAGCAGAAGGATGAGGGGAGAGGCACTGCACCCTTTTAAATGACCGGATTTCACGAGAACTCACTCCATATCACGACAGTACCCAGGGAGTTAGTGCTAAACCATTCATGAGAAATCCACTCCCCCCATAAGCCAATCACCTTCACCAGAACTCCACATCCAACACTAGGGATTGTATTTCAATATGAGATAAGAGTGGGAACACACATCCAAACTCTATCAGTTCCTTACTGCATGAACCCTACATAGGGTAACACAAGAAGGCAGCCCACCTCCCCTCAGCACAAGCAGGTGGGGCAGCAAGAGAAAGCGCCTGAGATGGAAACCATTGTCTTCTTATAACCCAGTACTGAAAGTGACATTCCATCACTTTTGCTGTCTTCTGTTCCTTAGAAGTAAGTCAGTAGGTCCAGCCCACACTCAAGGGAAGAAGACCACGCAAGGGCAAAAATACCGGGGAGTGGGGATCATCGCAGGGGCTGCCTGCCACAGCTGCTGAAAACCAGTGTGTAAAAAAAAAATCTTGGCTTGACATGGTGGCTCACGCCTGTAATCCCAGCACTTTGGGAGGCCAAGGCGAGCAGATCGTTTGAGCTCAGGAGTTCAAGACCACCCTTGGCAACACGGTGAAATCCCATCTCTACAAAAAATTACAAAAATCAGCCAGGCACTGTGGCAAGTGCCTGTGGTCCCAGCTACGCGAAAGGCTGAGATGGGAGGATGGCTTGAGCCCCAGGAGGCAGAGGTTGCAGTGAGCTGACACTGCGTGAATGCGTTCCAGCCTGGGCTACAGAGCCAGACCCTGTCTCAAAAAGTAAAAATGAAAATAAAAAATAAAAAATAAAAAAAATCAGCCAGGCTGGATGGCTCATGCCTGCAATTCCAGCATTTTAGGAGGCTGAGGCAGGTGGATCACGAGGTCAGGAGTTCGAGACCAGCCTGACCAACATGATGAAACCCCGTCTCTACTAAAAATACAAAAATTACCCTGGTGTCATGGCATATGCCTGTAATCCCAGCTACTCAGAAGGCTGAGGCAGGAGAATCGCTTGAAGCTGGGAGACAGAGGTTGCAGTGAGCTGAGATCACGCCACTGCACTCCCAGTCTGGGCAACAGAGTGAGACTCCATGTCAAAAAAAAAAAAAAAATCTTAAAAGCAGCCATAGGAAACAAACATCACATCATTCTAGGTGATAACCAAAGGAAATACAAGGGATTTCTCAGTAGAAATAATGGAAGCCGGCTGGGCACAGTGGCTCATACCTGTAATCCTAACACTTTGGGAGGCCAGGGCAGGCAGATCACCAGAGGTCAGGAGTTCAAGACCAGCCTGGCCAACATGGCGAAACCCCCTCTCTACTAAAAATACAAAAATTAGCCGGGCGTGGTGGTGCATGCCTGTAATCCCAGCTATTCGGGAGGCTGAGGCACAAGAATCGCTTGAACCCGGGAGGCAGAGGTTGCAGTGAGCCAAGATCGTGCCATTGCATTCCAGCCTGGGTGACAGAGCAAGACTCCATCTGAAAAAAAAAAAAAAAAAAGAAAGAAAGAAAAGAAATAATGGAAGCCAAAGGTAATGGAATAACAACAGTCTTGTCATGTTGAAATAGAAAGAAAAAACCCTTGTCAATCCATCTGCAAAATCTACAATCTCTACTATCACTCACACACACTGTCTTCAGTCCCCTTTGTGCACATGACGTAATATGAAAAGAGCCACTTCCTGGCTGGCCCCAAGCAGCTCACAAATTTTGCACTACTTCGTGGCAAACTCTGGTCTATCAGGTTATTATGGTGGTGTGGTGTCTTGGCATAAGTTTGAGAGTAAAAACAATCGTGTTTTGGAACCTAGCTGTAACACCTCTATGACCTTGAGCGTCTCTTTGCTTCTCTGAGCCTCAGCAGCTACATCAGTAAAATATGTATAATACCTGCCATGCCGGAGTTTTCTTAGAATTAAATGACATTGTATAGGTAAATTGCCTATCACATAGTAGTCACCTCATAGACGTAAGTTTTTGGTTTTGGTTTTTTGGGGTTTTTTTTGAGACGGAATCTCGCTGTGTCACTCAGGTTGGGGTGCAGTGGCGATAAGGGCTCACTGCAAGCTCCCCCTCCCAGATTCAAGTGATTCCCATTTCCCTTGCTCCAGCCTCCCAAGTAGCTGGGACTACAGGCACCTGCCACCATGCCTGGCTAACTGTTGTATTTTTAGTAGAGACAGGGGTTTCACCATGTTGGCCAGGCTAGTCTTGAACTTCCGACCTCAAGTGATCTCCCTGCCTCGGCCTCCCAAAGTGCTGGGATTACAGGCATGAGCCACCACACCCAGCCAAGCTTTTGCTTTTTTCTGGCAAGCAAACTCCTACCCATTCTTCAAGACCCAGTTCAAATGTCACCTCTTCCCCAAAGCTGTCCCAGCTCCTCAGGAGGGCATCTCTGCCTCTCCACCATCTCACAGCTGCCCTATCTTATCATACTTAACACCCCATACGATCACAGTCTGTTTCTAGATCTGTCTCTCCCATGCAACAGGGAACTCATCCAGGGCAGAGACTCATCCTTATCTTCCTGGCTGGCACCCACGAGGTGCCTGGCTCCATAGTACACTCCATGAATGTTTCTCATTTGATTGGAAACAGTTGGGGGTTAAAATGATTGTATGCTGAGTATTTCTATGCTGCAAACTCACCAGCCTCCCAGCCATCCTTTCCAACTCCCTTCCCTGTTATCATGGAAGGAGGGACTTCCCCTCCCCAGGTTTGACTTGGTTGTCACTTTCACTGACCACCGTGTGTTAAACAGCACCTCTCGTCACTCTCTCCCTTATCCTGAATGTTTTTCCATAGCTTGCATCCTGCACAGGGATCGTCTGTCTGCTCCCCACACCCTGGATAGAAGCTCCAGGGTTTTATCTGTCTTATTCGCTGTCATATCTGAAGATTCTGGAGGAGTGCCTGGCACCTGGCAGGCACTCAGCAGTTCTGTGTTGAATTAATCAATCAATCTTATGCGGCTGTCTAGAGGTCTAAGTCTTCACAATAGTGCCTGGCGGGACTATGCCCTCAGGCTCTAAGCACTTGCTGGTTTTTCTTCCTCTTCTTCCTCCTGCCTTCCCTCTCTCCATCCTTCCTCTTCCTCTTTCCCCTTGGTACTTGTGTGCTCAGGTCTCTCTCATTACAAGATTCTACATCAGCCACGCATCACCCATATGAACAGGCCCTCCGCCTCCCCTCTGCCCCCGTCAGCTGCCCCAGCCTCTCCACTCACCCCGATGCAGGCATGTATGCCCTGGTGGGCTCTTCTGTAGCCCCGGATCCTCCATCTCTTCTGCCTGGGTTCTGCCACTCCACTTGACAAAACTCTCCTTGCCAAGGTCACTGAAACTCTTTAGGACGAAATCCAAAGGACACACTTTGGTCCTAGCTGGCTTGATCTCACCTCACCATTGCTCTCTGGGTCCCTCCTTTTCACACCTGCGACTCCCTTGCCCTCTGTTGTGCCATATGCCCTCTTGAGCTTCCTCCTCAGGCCTCTGCCCATCCTCCACGAAGCTCAGAAAGGCCCTGCATTCCTCTAAGCTGCTCCAGGCCCTCAGCTCTGCTTGCTGAGCTCTGTCTCCCTGAGCAATCTCACACAGGTGATGACACTGGCCATCCCTCCCAGGCAGCTGTGCCCACCCACCCCTGTCTATTGGGCCTCCAGCCTGTGGCTCAGTCTCTCTTGGGGACCTCCACCTGGGCAGACATGGGCGGGTACATCAAACACAACACCCAGCAGACAGAACACATCTCCTTCCGCCCACCCCAGGCTACTCTTCCTGGGTTCCGGCTCTCTAAACAGCCCCACCATCCATCCCCTTGCTCACACCAGAAGGCAGGGCCCAGTGAATATTTGTTATTTGATTGGAAACAATATTCAGGGGTGCAGAGGGAGGCTGCACCCCTCCCGCTCCCTGTCCCCGTTCCACATCACTGTGAGGCCGGGTGAATCTGTCCTCTGGATCCACGTCCTCCTCCCCAGCCCTCGGCCCCCTCCCTGTCCCCATTCCACATCACTGTGAGGCCGGGTGAATCTGTCCTCTGGATCCATGTCCTCCTCCCCAGCCCTCGGCCCCCTCCCTGTCCCCGTTCCACATCACTGTGAGGCCGGGTGAATCTGTCCTCTGGATCTGCGTCCTCCTCCCCAGCCCTTGGCACTTCTCTAGGCCTTTGCTTCTCTCCACAGAGGTATGACAGAAGCATCCCTCAGTCTCCCCGTCTCCAGACCTGGCCCCTCCAACCCATCCTCCTCAGGACAGCCCAGAGCAAAGGAAGAGGGATGCTAGTCATCCTTCAAGAACAAATCTCAAAAGTCCTTTCCTTGAGGAAAGCACCTGTCTAGGTCTGGGAAGCTGCCTTGAAGGACGCCTTTGATGGGGAAGCCTCTCCGATTACAGGAGGATGGGCTGGGGCAGAGAAGCAGATAGACAGCGGAGCTACTCTGGAGGGACATGCCGGCCGCCAGGGATGGGGAGCAACACAGGGAGCAGAGGACAAGGGGAAGGGTGGGGAGCAGGGAGGAAGAGGAAGGGGCTTGCGGGACAGTTCCCTGGTGGGAATTGCCTGGGGCATTTTGAGAACAAGGATATCTAAAGATCAGTCTTGTGCTCTCCCAGCTGTGTGGTAACCTCCTCCTCTAGGCCGTCACAGGCCTGACTTTCGTGAGCCATACTGGGAGGGTTCTAGTACATAAAAGGGGGGTGATATGGTTTGGCTCTGTGTCCCCACTCAAATCTCATGTTGTAGCTCCCATCATTCTCATGTGTTGTCGGAGGGACCCAGTGGGAGGTAACTGAATCATGGGGGCAGGTCTTTCCCATGCTATTCTCATGATTGATAGTTAATAAGTCTCACGAGATCTGATGGTTTTAAAAACAGGAGTTTCCCTGCACAAGTTCTCTTCTCTTGTCTGCTGCCATGTGAGATGTGCCTTTCACTTTCCTTCATGATTGTGAGGTCTCCCCAGCCATGTGGAACTGTAAGTCCAATAAACTTCTTTCTTTTGTAAATTGTCCGGTCTTGGGAACGTCTTTATCAGCAGCATGAAAACGTACTAATACAGGGGGCCTGGTTCATGTCTGGGTCAGCTTGGAGCTGGGAGAGGGGCTGGCTGCGGGAAATAACACCTCAGTGTTCTCACCAAATCCTTCAGAATTTCACACACTATTACCCAATAAGTGGATTAAACCAGTTCAATCAAAGCCATCAAACCCTATTTCACTACTGGCTTTTCTGAGGTCGTAGGGTTGGTACATACATGGCATTCTGACTAGCCAGCCTAACAGTGACAAAATGCAGGTGTGGAACTCCTGCCCCCAAAACCCTAATGATATTTCCTTCCAGAACAGCTCACAGCTCACACCAATATCTTGTTTAAAAAAATTTGGGTCCTCTGCACAAGGACTCATGCATTTAAGTTCTCACATGGGGTCTGAACCAGCTTAGAAAACCTGGGAGGTGGCATTAGGGCTCCTTCCTGGGCTTGGGGCTGGAGTAGTCTCTCTCTGCTTCCTTTGGCCTTAGGTTTTCCTCCTGCAGAGTCGGGACATGGGACTGGATGATTTCTAAGGCCTCCTATACCACAGGCACTGCTCCCAGTCTGGTCTGTGATGAATATGATTATTTTAATTAAGCTCTCCATCCATCTATCCTTCCATTCATCCATCCATCCATCCATCCATCCATCCATCCATCCATCCATTCATTCAATGTTTATCTTTTGGCAGTGATAGGTGAGCTGTGCATCTTGACACAAGACAATGAGGCCAGGCACGGTGGCTCATGCCTGTAATCCCAGCCCTTTGGGATGCCACCTGAGGATCACCTGAGGATCACCTGAGGTCAGGAGTTCGAGACCAGCCTGTCCAACATGGGAAAACCCTGTCTCTAGTAAAAATACAAAAATTAGTTGGGCATGCCCCTGTAATTCCAGCTACCCAGGAGGCTGAGGCAGAGAATTGCTTGAACCTGGGAGGTGGAGGTTGCGACGAGCCGAGACCGCCCCACTACACACTCCACCAGCCTGAGTGACAGAGTGAGAATCCATCTCAAAAAAAAAAAAAAGAAAGAAAATGATTCATACAGCACCTGTGCTAGCAACTAGCTTCCTTTAGAGCTCTTTACTGAAAAAAAATGGCTGCACAATGAGCATCATCCAGGGCTGCAGAATGTGGCCCCGTGTGAGGAAGATGGAGAGGAGGAGGGTCCCAGGAACTGGAGAATGTGTGGGCTTAGAGCTCCATGATCCTGGGCTTAAATCCCATGCCGCCATTCACCAACTCTACAACTGCAGACGTTGCCTTGTGTCTCTGAGCCTCCGTTTGCTCGTATGTAAAATGGAATGCGTGTGCTGGTTCTGTTACGTGATGAGTCACAAAAACTCCCAGTACTGGGCCTGACATGTGGCCCATTCTCAAACACGGTGACTATAGAGCTTAAAAACATGGCTGTTGGCATCAAAGACTCTTTGCTTTGAATCCCAGATCTGCCACGTACTAGCTGCATGATCTCAGGCTGTTTACTTAGCTTTGCTGAGCCTCAGTCTCCTCATCTGTAAAGTAGAGATAATAATACCTGTCTTACAAAGCTATTCTGGGAATTGAACTGTACAATGCTGTAAAATACCTAGCCTGGTTTCTGGCACAGAGCAAGCACTGAATTAATGGTAGTTGCTGATACATAAAGATGAGGAGGAGGAGGAGAAAGAAGAGGAGGGTGAATACTTCTGATAAATGAAATATGGGTAGGCCTTGATTGAAAGTGGTAAGGTGGCTGGGTGTGGCGGCTCATGCCTGTAATCCTAGCACTTTGAGAGGCCGAGGCGGGCGGATCACCTGAGGTCAGGAGTTCGAGACCAACCTGGCCAACATGGTAAAATCACGTCTCTACTAAAAATACAAAAATTAGCCAGGTGTGGTGGTAGGCGCCTGTAATCCCAGCTACTCGGGAGGCTGAGGCAGGAGAATCACTTGAACCCAGGAAGTGGAGGTTGCAGTCAGCTGAGATTGTGCCACTGCACTCCAACCTGGGTGACAGAGCAAGAGTCTGTCTCAAAAAAAAAAAAAAAGGAAAAATTAAAAAAGAAAATGGTAAGGCTTACTTAGCTTTTAGATGCCTCATCTCAAGAGAATTTTTTTTTTTTTTTTTTTTGCCTTCTGCAAAACAATTTCCTTAAGGCAACATTTCCACTTCTGGTTCTCTTCAGATTCTAATTCTCTGTACATATTGTTTTCCTTTAATTATATTTTATGTGAAACTCCCATTGATTTCAATGGGACTCCTTTAAGTACTGGCAAAAAACATATCCTGCTTAAATGCTATCTAGAACAATGAAAGACAATGTCTCTGTTTTTCTAATTTCAGCAATATGTGTATGTTGAGTTTATTTATATAATTCCACTTCCCATATTTTTTTGCAGAGTTTCATGATTTCCCAAAAATGTGTAGATAATATAGGCACTTCCTCTAGAGACTTCTGTGAAAAACATTTTACTATACACCAATCTTGCCTATGGTTGTTAAAGTAAAACTCTTCGATAAAACATCAACAAAGAGAATTCAACAGGACATCAAAAAAAAATCTAATAAGATACTCGATTATTGTATCTATTATTATATTCTATAATAATAATATTTTTTTGAGATGGGGTTTCACTTTTGTTGCCCAGGATGGAGTGCAATGGTGCAATCTCAGCTCACTGCACCCTCCCCCTCCCAGGTTCAAGCGATTCTCCTGCCTCAGCCTCCCAAGTAGCTGGGATTATAGGCATGCGCCACCACGCTTGGCTAATTTTGTATTTTTAGTAGAGACGGGATTTCTCCATGTTGGTCAGGCTGGTCTTGAACTCCTGACCTCAGATGATGCGCCCATCTCAGCCTTCCAAAGTCCTGGGATTACAGGTGTGAGCCACCACACCCAGCCTATAATGATTAAAAAAAACCAATAAACTCTGACCAGGTAGTTTATACCAGGAATGCAAAGATGGCTCAATATTAGTAAATTCAGGCTGGGCACAGTGGCTCACACCTGTAATGCCAGTGCTTTGGGAGGCAGAGGCAGAATCGCTTGTGGCCAGGAGTTCAAGACCAGCCTGGGCAACATAGCAAGACCCTGACTCTACAAAAATACTTTTTAAAAAATAGCTGAGTGTGGTGGCATGCACCTGCAGTCCTAGTTACTTGGGAGACTGAGTTGGGAGGACCTCTTGAACCCAGAAGTTTGAGGTTACAATGTGCTATGATGATTGCACCACTGCAGTAAAGGCTGGGTGACACACAGTAAGACCCTGATTCAAAAACATAAACAAAGAAAAGAAAATTTATTAATATATTAGATCATAGTAACAGGTCTTTCAAGGAGAAAAATCATGCAATCATATCCAAAAGTTCAATATTCATTATTGATGTTTAAAAAAATTCAATAAGGCTGGGCATGGTGGCTCATGCCTATACTCCCAGCACTTGGGGAGGCTGAGGCAGGTGGATCATTTGAGGTCAGGAGTTTGAGACCAGCCTGGCCAACATGGCGAAACCCTGTCTCTACTAAAATAAACAAAAATTAGCCAAGTGTGGTGGTGTGCACCTGTAATCCCAGCTACTCAGGAGGCTGAGGCAAGAAAATTACTTGAACCCAGGAGGTGGAGGTTGCGGTAAGCCAAGATCGTGCCACTGCACTCCAGCCTGGGCAACAGAGCGAGACTTTGTAAAAAAAAAAAAAAAAAAAAAAATCAATAAAATAGAACTGGATGCACATGAATGTTCCCCTAGCCTGGTACAATATAGCACTCAAAAGCCAGCATCAGTTTGGGCACAGTGGTCCACACTTGTAATACCAGCACTTTGGGAGGCTGAGGCGGGTGGATCACTTGAGGCCAGGAGTTTGAGATCAGCCTGGCCAACGTAGTGAAACCCTGTCTCTACTAAAAATACAAAAAAAAAAAAAAAAAAAGCCAGACATGGTGGTGCAGGCCTGTTATCCCAGCTACTCAAGAGGCTGAGACACGAAAATCACTTTACATGGGAGCCAGAGGTTGCAGTGAGCCAAGATCATGCCACTGTACTCTCACCTGGGTGACAGAGTGAGACTCTGCAAAAAAAAAAAAAAAAAAAAAAGCAAAGCCAAGCCAGCATTAGACTTTAGGCAGGGACTTGTAGAAGGATTCCTACTGAAACCCATCAACATCACCTCTATTTAAAATTGCACTTGAGCTGTACTGTTGAACCAGAGATAAGACTGGAGACGGGTGGAAGAACAAGGTGGGTTATCGTCAGGAATATAAGAAAGAGTGTTGGCTGGGCACAGTGGCTCACGCCTGTAATCCCAACATTTTGGGAGGCTGAGGTGGGAAGATTGCTTCAGGCCAGGGGTTCCAGACCAGCCTGAGCAACATAGCAAAACCTTGTCTCTACAAGAATAAAAATAGGCCGGGCATGGTGGCTTATACCTCTAATCCCAGCACTTTGGGAGGCCGAGGCGGGTGGATCGCCAGAGGTCAGGAGTTCATGACTAGCCTGGCCAATATGGTGAAACTCTGTTTCTACTAAAAATACAAAAATTAGCTGGGCGTGGTGGCAGGGGCCTGTAATCCCAGCTACTCTAGAGGCTGAGGCAGGAGAATTGCTTGAACCCAGGAGACGGAGGTTGCAGTGAGCCGAGATCATGCCACTGCACTCTAGCCTGGGCAAGAGAGCAAGACTCCGTCTCAAAAAATAAAAATAAAAATAAAAAATAAATAAAAACATTAGCCAGCATGATGGTGTGTGCTCAGCAGGCTGAGTTGAGAGGAACTCTTGAGTCTAGGAGTTCATTAGCTGAGACCTATTCTGGAACGTGCTACCTCCCTGGTACTCCAGGCCTGCCCTACATGCAGGTTGAGCAAGATCCCACAGCTGGAGACGCAGATGTCTGCATGAGAAGCCTATAGGACACACAGCAATGTTGAGTGCCCTGGGGCTGCAGGCATGGTGGTGTGTACAGGGAATTCTGAGCTGATACAGAAAATGTCCTAATCAGGCACAATCAGGGCATTGTGGAGCCCTGAGGAGGGACTGACTCACCCTCCGGCCACTCTGGCATGGCTCCTGGATGGGCCATGAAACTTCCTGTCCTGAGGCCTTTGCCTGTGCCATTTCCTCTGCCTGGAAGGCCCCTTCCCATCCCTTCCTGGCTGGGGCCTTGGCTGGCTGACCCCTGCTTGCCCCTTTGGATGAGGCTCCATTGGAACTTGGTGCTGGACTCCTCCCAGACACCCGGCTTCCCTCCTGACGAGGGTCTTTCCACACCAGCTCTGTCTACACCAGCACCGGCTGCCCTGTCGCGCTGGTGTCTGCTCCTTGGATGTCTCCTCCACCAGTCTGTGATCAGTCCTTGAGGTCAGGGATGGTGGCTTATTGATCTGCATTATTAGCACTCAGTTCAGTAAATATTTGTTGATGAATTGTGTCAACCTTAAATAATGAGATTCAGAAAATACGATCAAGTACAGAGTTTATTTGAGCACAAAGCTTGGGTATGGCCACCCAGGAAGGCACCGACTCTAGATGAATGGAGTCAATGTTTCCAAAGTGGAGGAGTTAAGATTTCACTTCCAGAGTGAAATCTGTCACTTCCAGAGACGGAGAAGTTCCAGTAGGGTTACAGCATTTTCCATGCAAGACCAGGTGCATATGCCACAGTGATTTAGTTGGTTACAAGTTGCTACATTCCCAGCAAGATTACTTTATTACTCTGTAAGGAGGGGTAGTGATCTGAGGGAGGTCTTATCTCTGGCGCCATTTGGTCGTAATTATTTACAGAAAAAAAAGGGTAAAAGGTGCAGCTGCATGAGCATGACGCAGGCTGCATAGTCACATTTCTTCGAGGCTTAGGAAAATTTAAGTTCCAACAGCCGTAAATTCAAATTATCTTAAATTTGAATTATTTAGTTTCGCAACCAGATTATTTGGGTATAACAGTTGTGGGAGGGGGAGTTGTGTCTCAGCTGGGTACTGAAGGATGAATAGGAATTTGCCAGAGGGGGCATTCCAGGCAGAGGGAAGAGCCTTTGCAAAGGACATGGTGTTTGAAAAGCAGGTGAGACGGTGCTGCTCAGCAAGGAAGGGTGCAAGAGGGAAGGGCCAGGAAGAGGCTGGAGAGGGAGGCAGTGGCCAGATGATGGCCGGTGAAGGAGCTGGGGCCTCAGCAGGGAAGAAATTCGTGAAGTGCCCCCAGTAGTGCCAATCAAGTCTGCAATACATATTGCTGTGGGCTGCTGAGCAGACGATAGACTGGAGGGTGAAAGAAACCGAGATATTTCACCCCAAAATATACATCTTTGACACATTTCAAGATTGCTATTTGGAAGGGATGGAGCTGTAAGAATAGCCAGAAAACTTTTTTTTTCAGACAGAGTGTTGCTCTGTTGCCCAGAGCTGGAGTGCAATGGCATGATCTCGGCTCACTGCAACCTCAGCCTCTTGGGTTCAAGTGATTCTCCTGCCTCAGCCTCCCAAGTAGCTGGGATTACAGGTGACCGCCACCACATCCAGCTAATTTTTGTATTTTTAGTAGAGACGGGGTTTCACCATGTTGGCCAGGGTGGTCTTCAACTACTGACCTCGTGATCTAGCCTGCCTCGGCCTCCCAAAGTGCTGGGATTACAGGTGTGAGCCACCACGCCCAGCCAGAAAACTATCTTTTGTTGGGGAGATTTGCATCTGTAGGGAAACCTGCATTGATGCAGTCCAGCTTTCTCTGAGGCCTTCCTTGGTCCGGATCTAGGAAAGGTTAACTAAGTCGGACGCCTTTAGAGCCTGAAAGAAACATTTCCCATCTATCCTGAGGACTGCTACCTGCAAGGTTTCCTCCTCTTCCCTTCCATAACCTCTTTTGCTGAGATCCAAGCCCTTATTTTTTCTGTAACTTCAAGATGGTATAAAAACATCAACTATCTTTCCTTTCTTTGAGAGCTTATATTTTGCTCCACAAGATAATGTTTGCCTCTCAGGCCCATTCAAATTCCAAAGAGAACCCTTTACAAGTTAGTGTCTTTTATTTTAATTGTTTTAACAGGTGGGGATACTCAGCACTATACAAATAGGAGAATCATTTACAAGTTGATTTTATTCTCCCTCATATTCAAGTACTGCTCCTCTAAAAATCCCCTACAGGCCAGGCACGGTGACTCACGCCTGTAATCCCAGCACTTTGGGAGGCCGAGGGTGGGGGGTGGGAGGGGATCACCTGAGGTCAGGAGTTCGAGACCAGCCTGAACAACATGGTGAAACCCGGTCTCTACTAAAAATACAAAAATTAGCCCGGCGTGGTGGCATGTGCCTGTAATCCCATCTACTTGGGAGGCTGAGGCAGGAGAATCGCTTGAACCCAGGAAGTGGAGGTTGCAGTGAGCCGAGATTGTGCCACTGCACTTCAGCCTGGGCAACAGAGTGAGATTCCGTCTCACAAAAAAAAAAAAAAAAAAAAAAAAAATCCCTACATTCTTTATCTCCACCCTCCCCTATGAAAAAGGGTAGAAAAGCTTCTGCACCCCTCACTCTGTTGCTCCTCCCAGCCACCCCATTCATATGAATAAACATGTATGCCTTTTCCCCTATCAGTCTGCCTTTGTCTGTCGACTTTCAGTGAGTCTTCTGTGGGTGAAGGGTCCCCATGGCCCCTGCAAAGGAGTGGCATGGTATATAAATGTTACAATTGAGAGAGACTCAGGGTGTTAGCGGAAGGGGAAGCTGGTAGCAGGTAGGGTTTGCTAATGGAGCTCTCAGAAGTGACGTCTGGCTGAGGAATGAGCCTCACAATTCAGACATGAGAAAAGGAAAGCTCTTCTCTTTATGAAACCCAGTTCAGCAATAGGCCCGGCAGCCTCTGCTGGTACCCCAGGGAAGCACTGATTTCCTCTCCCGTTTAATTGCTCGGAAGGGCTTTTATGCTTAGGGACTTGCCCCTCTCGGCTCTGTGGTACAGAAACTGCTGAATCCCAGGCTTCTCCACAGAGCACCCGCCCTAACCCCAGCCAGTCTGCTTGAATGGGTGGGCTACTCCCCCGACCCCAGCCTTCATCCCCTCTGGAAGGTGGAGTTGGGAGGAGGGCAGTGGGGACCAGATTCTGGAATGATGCACCTTTAACTTGTGTAAATTGCATTAGCTTAAGTAATACATGGGTCTCCGGCCGGGCGTGGTGGTTCACGCCTGTAATCCCAGCACTTTGGGAGGCCGAGGGTGGGCGGATCACGAGGTCAGGAGATTGAGACCATCCTGGCCAACATGGTGAAACCCTGTCTCTACTAAAAATACAAAAATTAGCTGGGCATGGTGGCGGGTGCCTGTAATCCCAGCTACTCAGGAGGCTGAGGCAGGAGAATTGCCTGAACCAGGGAGATTCTCCGAGCCTGAACCAGGCTCGGAGATTGCGGTGAGCCGAGGTTGTGCCACTGTACTCCAGCCTGGTGACAGAGTGAGACTCCCTCTCAAATAAACAAATAAATAAATAAAATGGGTCTCATCTCCAGGCAGTGGGGCAGCCTGGGAACCCAGAAAGGGGAGTGAGGTGGATCACAGCAAGGAGAGGCCAAAAAAAAACAGGGTAGGGGAGGGCCCTCCACAGGCACAAAATGAAGGCAGCTTAGGGATGGCTGCTTTGGGAGGGACAAGGGAAGGGACCCAGCTGGCCTTCCTTCGGGGCCAGAAAGAAGTGTACCTGCTAAAGGCATGGCCAGAAGCAATGGAGCACACGCAGTGTTCCCAGGGGGACGGAGACCATCTGGGGAGCCTCGAGAACCAAGGCTGACAGGAAGCAGCCTCCCCGACAGGGAACACCGGGCTCCACCATCTAGGACACAGCCAGCTGTTACCCTCACTAGCACGGTGGAGTGCTGTCCACACAGTCCTGTCCACACAGTTGGACCCACCTGTCCACACAGTTGGAGCCCAGGGGTCCAGTGTCAGTCCTGGTGACCTATTGAGGGAGGTGGGTATTTGGAAGGAGGTAGCCTTGCAGGACCACCCCTGGTCCCCCGTCCAACCTGCCACCTGCTCCTCCCAGGCACATGAGGGGCTTCTCTGATTGGTAAGATACCCGGCTGCCGGTGGCCCACTGTAAGGTGACCTGCACACCAAGCTCTGCTCCTGGCCTCTGGGCAGGCTTGCTCAGAAACACTCCCAGGCAAGATGATGCATCTTATCACAAGCCAGAGTGTGGGGTGTGGAGTGGCATGAGTGACTGGGTCTCTCACCCAGTCGTTGACAGCTGGGTAATCCTGAGCAAGTTACATAGCCTCTCTCTGTGCCTCAGTTTCCTCATTCATAAAGTGGGGACTCAGGAAGGATTGGCCTCCTAGGATTCTCTGAGGACCCTGTGGGGATAAGAGCGACTTTATTTTAAATCCTAATCCAGCATGTGACTCCTGACTAACCCAAGTCCGGGAATGCCTCCAAGATGTCGAGTTGATGTATTGCTCTTTATGTAGAAACACCTCTTCACCAGCCTTTCCTCCAAAACAACCCTTGGTGTTGCATACACGATGGGCTGTGACGCCTGCAGCCACCTACACATTCCTTCCAGAGCACGTATACTTTTTCTCCAATCTGTGGGTCTGTGCGGTTGTGGTGCAGAGATCTGCTGTCTTGTGGCTGCCCGAGACCACATTTCTGTTTGTTAAGTTCCCCCTCATAAATCACCCTTTACTGAGAAACTGGATTTGTCTGCCTCTTTCTTTGGTTTCTTGGCTCCCTCTGCATTTGGGGACCAATTTGCATATACGGCCTTTTCAGGAAACAGGCCCCACGTGGTCAGAGAGGAAGAAATGCCTGCTGTGATGATTCTCTTCTTCACCTCCCATGGGGGCTCCCGGGCCAGGCCCCAGGCCTGGGCTGGAGGTGGGCCTGGAGACCCATGCCCCTGGGCTCACAAGCAGACTTTGTCCCATGCAGCTGCCTCTTCTTCACCCCGCACGGCCAGCTATGACCCTGGAAGGACCTAGGTCCAGGTTTGGGACGAGGATGGGGGTGGGCCACAGTGGAAAACTTTTCTGATCTAAAATACACTGAGCAGGGGCCGGGCGTGGTGGCTCACGCTTGTAATCCTAGCACTTTGGGAGGCCGAGGCAGGAGGATCACTTGAAGCAAGGGGTTCAAGACCAGCCTGGCCAACACAGTGAAACCCCGTCTTTTCTAAAAATAGAAAAAAATGCCTGGGTGTAGTGGTGCATGCCTGTAATCCCAGCTACTCAGGAGGCTAAGGCACAAGAATTGCTTGAACCTGGGAGGAGGAGGTTTGCAGTGAGCCGAGGTCGTGCCACTGCACTCCAGCCCAGGCAACAGAGTGAGACTGTCTCAAAATAAATAAATTAATAACCGAAAAATAAAATAAAATACACTGAGCAATATCTTCCAACTCAGTCATTCCGGAAGCTCTGCATTTCAGGATTTGGGGACTGGTGCATTAGGGAAACTGATCCTTTCCCTGGGCCATGATCCCTCTCCTCATGCTGGTTCTCAGCTCAGAACCCAGAGGGGGCCAA
Source organism: Homo sapiens (assembly GCF_000001405.40). Lineage (NCBI taxonomy): Eukaryota > Metazoa > Chordata > Mammalia > Primates > Hominidae > Homo > Homo sapiens. Next base: position 7,961,958 of record NC_000004.12, read on the forward strand.
GTGCGGTGGCTCACACCTGTAATCCCAGCACTTTGGGAGGCTGAGGTGGGTGAATCGCCTGAGGTCAGGAGTTTGAGGCCAGCCTGGCCAACATGGTGAAACCCCGTCTCTATGAAAAATACAAAAAATTAGCTGGGCATGGTGGCTCAAGACTGTAGTTCCAGCTACTTGGGAGGCTCAGGCAAGAGAATCACTTGAACCTGGGAGGCAGAGGTTGCAGTGAGCCAAGATCTCACCATTGCACTCCAGCCTGTGTGACAAGAGCGAAACTCTGTCTCAGAAAGAAAGAAAAAAAAAGGCCGGGCACGGTGGCTCACGCCTATAATCCCAGCACTTTGAGAGGCCGAGGTGGGCGGATCATGAGCTCAGGAGATCGAGACCATCCTGGCTAACACGGTGAAACCCCGTCTCTACTAAAAATACAAAAAATTAGCCGGGCGTGGTGGCAGGTGCCTGTAGTCCCAGCTACTTGGGAGGCTGAGGCAGAAGGATGGCGTGAACCTGGGAGGTGGAGCTTGCAGTGACCTGAGATCACGCCACTGCACTCCAGCCTGGGCGACAGAGCGAGATTCCATCTCAAAAAAAAAAAAAAAAAAAAAGAACCCAGAGGGGAGGCAGGATGGGCTTAAGTGCAGCCCAAGTGGTCAGCAAAGTCCACCAGACTCTGCCAGCCCTGATGCCCTCTGGGCTCCCCCTCTTCCTCCTCTCCTGGCGAGCATCTCTCCTCCCGCTTCTCTTTACCCATGGCCTCTGCTGGCTCAGGCTTCTGGCTGAGTGTTCCCTGCTTTGCCCACCCCCCCATCAACTCCCTGAGTGTTTCATGACCTCCCTGGGAGGGCTTCGGATCGGGTAGATCAATGTCCACATAGAGCAAAGTCTCTCCATGGGGCACAGCTGTTGCCCTGGGCCACTAGGGATCCACTCTGCCGATGGCTCAGGGGCCATCCTTGATCTGATCACCTGTGCTGGGGACAGCAGGTCACAGAGGAGAACATGGTGCTGTGTGGGTGAAAGCCCTCCAGGAGGGGGCACTGAACATAACAGAGACTTGGGGGGTATGGGGGCCAGGCTGGAGCCAGCGTGCAGATCTGCGTGGATGAATAAGTGAATGGCTCACCCACAGAGGACGGTGGCCAGGGCAGGGGAGGGCTCCAAGTGAGTTCACACCAAGAGCCACCGAAGGCACTGGGGCTTGGACTTGGGGAAGAGAAGATACCCGTGTAGCCTCGGCTGTAGCTGGTAAGGCTTGCTCCCGGTTTTCATCCTCCCTCTTCTCAGACAGACGAATGCCTGTGCTCCCTAGACCCTTTTGCAGCTGGGCAGGGTCATGTGACTAGTTCCAACCACTAGAGGTGACATGTGTCACTTTTGAACCAAACACTAAGACCCGTGTGAGATTTGTCACGTTCTCTTGCCTGGCTGCAGTGAATTCTGAAGCTTTTGGTTCAGATTTAAGTAGCTTGGAATGCACAGCTGCCCTGGGGAGAAGGGCTGAGGATGGAGGCCCTGCAGGCACCGATGTCTCCCTGCCCATCTCTCTCGGGAGTTCCTCACACAGGCCCAGGTTGGTGCTGATCCGGGAAGGTTGGTGCCACCGTCAGACATGAAGACTGGCATGGAAGACTGAGCCAAACCGGCTTAGAACCTGGGGCTCTGAGATTCAGATGGCAGACGTCATGGGCCTGGAGGGCAAGAACTGTGCCAAGCACACCCCTGCACCCAGGACAGTGCCAGGCACAGATGCATGCTCAGCAAGTGCATTCTCAATTGATCCTATAGACCAGGCACCAATGAACACTTGTTGCGAGACAAGAGTGACAGATCCCAAGGCCTGTGGACATGCATGTCTCAGCTTAGGGCAGCAGCGGTTTCTAATCCTCAGGGTGCTGCACTGTCTAGTATGCAGCCAGTAGCCACACGTGGCTCCTTAACTCTAAATGAGTTACATTGAAATCTCCGTTCCACTCGCATTGGCTGCATTTCAAGCGCTGGTGGCTGCCGTGTTGGACAGTGTGGATGTAGAATGTCCTCGTCATCACAGGCAGTGCGATAGGACGGTGCCATGCTAGAAGCACGAACGCCATAAGACTCTTTGGGGAAAGCACAGAAACCAGATGGACTCCAGCCTTGCTACGAAATACTCCAAAGATATTCCCAGTTCATAGAGCGTGGTTACAAAATCGTCAGTCCTCTCGGGCTTAGGGTTTGATGGAGGGAAACGGTCAATAAAGTGAGAAAGAATAAACTGTGGGCCGGGCGCGGTGGCTCACATCTGTAATCCCAGCACTTTGGGAGGCTGAGGAAGGAGGATCACCTGAGGTCAGGAGTTCCAGACCATTCCTGGCCAACATGGTGAAACCCATCTCTCCGAAAATACAAAAAATTAGCCAGGTGTGGTGGTGCACGCCTGTAATCCCAGCTACTCGGGAGGCTGAGGCAGGAGAATTGTTTGAACCTGGGAGGTGGAGGTTGCAGTGAGCGGAGATCGTGTCATTGCACTCAAGGCTGGGTGACAGAGCGAGACTCTCTCAAATAAATACATAAATAAAATAAAATAGAAGAAACTGCTGATACACAGAGGGCATGAGGAGGTACTGTGAGGAGGGTGGGGATGGGTGGCAATTTGGAAAGTCAGCAGAGGGCCCTGTATGACAGGGGAGTTTCTGAGTCGAACTGAGAAGGAAGGGAGGGGCCCTGTGTTGAGAAGAAGCAGAGCTCCCCCAGGAGGGAGATCATGGGTGAAAGCCGGAAGGCTTGGTGTCTGCAGAACTCAGAGAGAGCCACAGTTTGGGGCTGTGACCATGGGGACTTTCCTTCCACTCTTTTCCTTGGCCCTGTGCTCAGCCATAACCAGCCACCGAATTTTCCAGAACCTGGGAGGCTGTTTCCAGCCTCAGCGCCTCCGCTACTGCTGTTCCAGCTGCCCGGGATGCCCTTCCCTTACTGGGGAGGTATTTATTCCCTTACCTCCCATTTATCAAGACTTAGTTTGGGCAGCATCTTGCCCAGAAAGCCTCCCCTGACCTAGGGGTGTATTTGGGGCCAGCTCCACAGAGCAGCGATCAGCCTGGCTGCCCTTGTCTCCCCAGCCTCCGGGGCAGGTGCGTATCAGGTTTCCCTCATCACTGCCATCAGCAGAGGGCCTGGCCCTGGTGAGGGCCCAGGAATGTGTCAGTGCAAGCTGCCTCTGGGGAATGTCCTACAGGGCCCTAATGCAGACACTTGGCCCCTCCCCAAGGCCTCACCTGCCCCATGCGCACACCCAGCATTGAGCCTGGAGCGGGTGCCCTCCGCAAGCACTGCTTGCAGAAGGGGCCTTGCCTTTAAAATCACACAAGTTCATAACAAGTGATCTTGTACTTCCGCAAGTTATAATGCATCGTCTTTTATTTTCCAGGCTTCCTGGGATCAGATATGACATTGCACTAATGAGAAATGGGGGTTTCCAGTTGCTCAGGCTCAGATTGCGCAATGGCAGGAAGCATATTAGGTGCTAAAAACTCCCCCTCCCTAGCCGAGCTGGGCGGGTGAGAAGCCGAGTGCGAAACGGGACTTGGCGTGTCATGGGCGCTAAGGAAACGGAGTAAGGCCGACTCACAGGCAGGAACATCGGGACACACACAAAGAGGCAACACCCACTGCGGACGGGGAAACAGACTTTGGTGTTTCATCCACCTCTCAGCGCGCTTATCAGCATCCTGTGACGGCCGGTGCTGCACCCTAACACACACCTAATGACAGACACCAACGCCTTCGCTTGGGGAGCCCGGCCAGCCTCCTGCTCCGGGATGCCCTGCTGGCTTCAAAGATGAGAAGAGCCACATCTCCATCCTATCTCCATCCTATCTCCATCCTTCTCTCCCCAACAGCGTGTGGTTGTCTGTTTCAGGGAGCACATCGCTCCTGGGGCATGTGGGGTTTATGTTTCAGGCTGAGACACCGCCAGCCACAGCACAAGGACGGTGCATCAAGAGCTACGTCGGGTATTAGGCAGGGTACGTGGAAACCCTTGATTCCAGGGCTTTGGCCATCAGAGGAGGATGTTTTCTCCCCAAGACTTGGAAAAATAACAGCAAGGAAAACAGTGGTGGCTATACCTCACATGTATTTACAAAGCGTTCTTTAGAGGGGTCTGTCTTTAAGGTTACCTGTGTGACGAGAAAAAGAAAAAAGAAAAAGAAAAGAAACTAGACAGGGAGCTCTGTGTATGAGGACCACACCAAGAACAGACTGAAACCACACAGATCCGAGCGGTGGAGAATAAGGCTGGAGGCCGCTCCCCTGCGGAGGGACCGTAAAATTAAACTCTATATATGTCATCTCGCGTTTAAGTAGGCTATACTTTTTAATAAAATAAAAACTTCTGTGTTACTTTAAAGATATTGTGTAGGCATCTAGGGGTCGATCTGGAGGAGGAACGCAGCGCATGGAGGGGCGCTGGCGGAAGGTGCCCTGTCTTGTCCCTTGTTGACATTTGTCCCTAAAGAGACCCATCACAGACGCCTGCAAAAATCACACACCCCACTCTTGGCACTGTCCCAGACGCTCACTGCCCCGTCTGCGAGTCTGCCTGTGAGGCCAGGCTGCCCAGGCTCCGAAGGGCCGTGTGCCCACCCCCGATGATGGTGTCAGCAACCATCATCAACAAGCCTCACAGCTCACGTCCCGGCCACCTCTGTCCCCCACGTGCCCAGCACCGGGGCCAGGGCACCTCGAGAACGCTGGGAAGGTGGGCTGGGCTGCAGCCACCTGTGTGCTCCATCTGATGCCCGACACAGCCACTCTACAGCCTCTCCCTGACACCAAGCCACAGCGGGGAAGGGTGGCGTGAAGCTAGCCGTCTCGGCCCTAAACTACCGGCAGGAGTGTCGCCGGCAGGTGCAGGGGCCGCACCTGCTGGGGGACCCCCTCCCGCCCACCCCATGGACACAGAGAAGCCAGAGCAAGGTGTGTGGGAGGGGTGTGTGCGGTTCTCGCCAGGGGCCCCTGGCCTCGGCGCCCGGCACACACCAGTGGGGCAGGCTGGCAGCCGTCAGAACAAAAGGGCTTTCTTCTTAAGGTCATTCCTCTTCCAGAGGGCCAGGCGGTCAAACTCCTCGATGCTCATCCCAAACACTTCCTGGAACTCCTCGGGCGACAAGTGTCTCTTCAAACAAAAAGGCAAAACAGAAGGGACCAGTTAGCCACGCAGCAAGGGACACCATTGGGCAGTTTGCTGCCGCCAAGCAATCCAGGGGCAGGATTGCATTGAGGATGGGGTGGCCCTCAGCGTGCTCGGCCTCCTGGCGGTTCCTGACACCCTCTCTGCAGTGAAAGAACTGAGCTCAGAGGACAGCGACCCTGCCAGGGACACACAGCACCCAGTGGTGGAGCTGGAGCCAGAATCTTCTGCTCTTGACTCCTACAAAGGTATCTGCTGCTGTGGACCAAGTTCATTAACATGTCCCAGAGCAGGACCCCCACCTGCGTGCAAATGTCTGAGCTTTTATAGATTTCCTTCAGTGGTCATATTTGTTACTTCAGTGAGTGGTCACAGCTGCCATCCGAGAGCAGGAGGTGGAAGGTTTACCCCCGGGACTTCGTAGCCCAGGAGGGTGGGGCGCGGACAGTGAGCAAGAATGCCAGGCACGGCCCAGGCCCAGGCGCAAATCCTCCCTCCACCGGAAGCCCCTGGTGTGTAAGCGTGAGAGAGCTGTTGTGCCTCTCTGAGCTCAGCTTCTTGTCTGTGGTCACCGTGGAAAGGCACACAGCTTGGTGGTCAGGGCGTGGATACCAGTGCTTCTGGGATGCCATAGGAGTGAGTTAGACCCTGGAGCCTCAGTCTGCTCATCTGTGTAATGGGGTCCCCTAGAGCCCACACCCTGGAGCTGTGGGGAGGAAGGCGTGGACATAGGTCAGCACTGGCTGTGGACTGTACCCGTGGGTGCTGGCTGCATGTGTTAGTATGACCTCAGCCACCGCAAGCTCTGTGGAGCTCCTTGCCAAGCAGCCACCTGCCTTCTAGCTCTGCCTTGCAGGGCCTGCAACCCCTACTCTCCTGCCTGTCTTCCTCAGCAGGCTCTGAGAAACCCCGCATCCCTCAGAGCTGGCTCAGGCGTCCCCTCCCCTAAGGAGCTTTTCTAGGGAGCCTGGGACTTTCCATCCACGGGGATGCTTCCCTTTGCTCCCCTCGCCTCGCCTGGGCGGGGCTGAGAGGAGGAACTGGAAAGAGGCTGGAGAAGGCCAGTGACAGGAAGAGGCCAGGCTCTGCCCTGAATCACCATCTGCTGCCTTCTGAAAAGCGTGGCTTCAGTGCAGCTCTGTGGGGAGTTTTCTGTAGTTCTGCGACACACTCCACACAGTTATCATATGCCCCAGCCATCCACTCTTGGACAGACACCCGGAGGAATGGAAAACAGGGACTCAGAGAGATGATGGTCGCCCATGTTCCTAGCAGCATTACTCTAAATCACTGCAATGTGGAAACAAACCAGGTGTCCATCAATGGACGAATAGATACACAGAATGTGACATGTCCATGTGACGGAATAGCCTTCAGCCTTAAAAGGTCGTGAAGTTCCGACACATGCCACAGCATGGATGAGCCCCAAACACACTGGCTCCATGAAGGAAGCCAGACACCAAAGACCACATAGTATATGATTCCACTTCTCTGAAGTGTCCGGAACAGGCAAGTCCATAGAGACAGAGCATGGATTCGTGGTCGCCAGGGACTGGGGGAGAGAGGAATGGGGAGGGACTGTTTAACGGATATGGGGTTTCCTCTTGTGGTGAAGAAAATGTTCCGGAGCTGGAATGTTCCGGAGTTGGAATGTTCCGGAGCTGGAGAGTGGGGTTGGTGGCACAATGTTGTGAATACACTGAACTGTACTGAATGGTACACTTTAAAATGGTTAAAATGGGCCGGGGGTGGCAGCTCACGCCTGTAATCCCAGCACTTTGGGAGGTTGAGGCGTGTGGATCACCTTAGGTCAGGAGTTCAAGACCAGCCATGGCAAACCCCATCTCTACTAAAAATACAAAAATTAGCCAGGCATGGTGGCACATGCCTGTAATCCCAGCTACTCGAGAGGCTGAGGCAGGAGAATCGCTTGAACCCAGGAGGTGGAGGTTGCAGTGAGCTGAGATCACACCATTGCATTCCAGCCTGGGTGACAGAGTAAGACTCCATCTCAAAAAAATAAATAAAATAAAATAGTTAAAATGGTCAATTTGGATGGGTGTGGTGGCTCACACCTGTAATCCCAGCACTTTGGGAGGCCAAGGCGGGCAGATCACTTGAGCTCAGGAGTTTGAGATCAACCTGGGCAACATGGTGAGACTCCATCTCTACAAAAATTACAAAAATTAGCTGGGTGCGCTGGCGTGTACCTGTAGTCCCAGTTACTGAGGAGGCTGAGGTGGGAGGATCTCTTGAAGCCAGGGGGTTGAAGCTGCAGTGAGCTGTGATCACACCACTGCACTTCAAACCTGGGTGACACAGTGAGACCCTGTCTCAAACAAACAAACAAACAAAAAACTCAAGTGCTATATTAGAATCACTGTGATTAGCAAAAGAGAAAATGGAAGTGGAGACATCTGGTCAACTATGAAAAGTGTAAACCATTGCCACTCACGCATTTCACAAGAATCACCAAATCTGTGTGGTATGCCCTGGATTTTGCAGCCCCAGTAGTTGGGGTGATCTGGAGGAGGGACTCAGGAAATCCCCCAGAATGCCATGTTTTAGTTGAATCTGGGCTCAGAGTCAGTCTCTCTTTCTCTCTCTCTCTGACACACACACACACACACACACACACACACACACACACAGCCTATCCAGCAAGTCTGCCAGGAAGAGGCCCTCAGCCGCCTGCTGCTATCTCGAGTTTGCAAAGAGGAAAAGAATCCTGGTGCTTGCCAGAAATGAACCACTTGCGTGGTGCTGAGATCAGGGTTTCTTGGTGCTGAGAAATCCATCAGCCAGTCCACAGAAACTTAGAATTGTCATTTCAGACCGCGTCTCTTAAGACATTTGACACTCAATGTGTCATTTAAGATAGCAGCCCTGCACTTACAGGTACAAAATCACCATCTTCTGAATTATGGTGGAACAATCAAGACGGATGAGATCAAAGGAAAGAAAAAGGAAAATCATTTCTAGCTTTATCCAAGACCTGGTGATACCAGACCTTGTTCCAGACATGGAAAGTCAGAGACACAAGGCCCCTGGCAGGGGTAGGCTGGGGTGGTGAACTGACACGTAAGTAAATATGTAAAGGAGGGGAGGCTGACACCGGAAGGGCGAGGAGAGTTCAGTGCTGGTGCCTGGGGCAGGCCTCCCTGTGGCCACATTCCTGCTTCCTGCTGGGGGAGGCTAAGGGAGGGGCGCAAAGGTGCTGGTGGGCAGAGGGAAGGTGTCAAGGGGGTGGTGTGCCCCCTGCCATCTGCAATCGTGTACTTAAAGGGAGGAGGACTGGTGAGTGAGTGGTCTCTTGGGTTTAGCTGGCATCAGGTCTTTGCTGGAGGAGGGAGGAGTGGAGAGGGAGCGGATGGTGGGCAGGCGTGCCCCGCATGCTGGGGAAGGAGAGAAGGGCAGGCTTGAGGATGACACCATGTGCTCCAGGCTGTGGGAGCCTCTGGGGAGGGCGATTCGAGGAAGACTTGGAGCTGGCGGGCAAGCAGGAAGGCTGGCAGGGTGTTGGGAGGTGGGTGTGGGAAGCAGAGGTGCCCTTGGGGATGACTGTGGGGGGGCGGTGGAGGGAGCATCTGGGTGGCTTCTGAAGTTGCTGGGAATGGTTACCTTCTCTGGGAGTGTGGCACTGGGACTGGGACGCTCCATCACCAGAGGCCCTGGGGAGCAGCCTGGTTGGGCAGACCACAGCAACAGGGAGGGGCCGGGGGTGTCCCGAGCATGTGGGCTGGGCCAGGCCACTCGTATGTGGCCTACAGGGCCCAGGACTTGGGGCCAGGGGTCTAGGGGGCTGACAGGGACCACCTCCCCGCAGGCTCCAGTCCTGTTTTCTGTCTGCAGCGTGAGAGAACTTGGTTGCCTGGGTATCCGGAAGGCTGGGTGAGGGTCACATGAGGGGCTCTCCGCAGCAGGGGGTCTGTTCATAACTCTGGGCTCCAGCTGTGGAATTCTGAGTGTCACACCTCACCTGGCTGAGTCTCCACTGCCTCCTAGGTGAGAGGGGCTCAAAGGTCCTTACTCTGTGGCCAGCTGCAAAACTGGCATTCAATCTCACTCAGGGCCAGAGGCAGGCAGGCTTTCTCCATGGGTCTGCCAGGGCAGGCAGGGTGGGTGAGGCCCAGCTGACCCCAGAGACTGGGCCAGCTTTCTGGCCTCAAGCCAGCTCCTCTGACCCCAGGTTCCTGAAGGCCCTGCAGGAGTGCACCTCACCCCCAGGGCCCGCGCAGGACAAGCACAGCTGGAAGGAAGGAAGCCTGGGGTGGGGGTCTTTGCAGAGGGTGGGGCAGCCTCACTGCTGAGGTGCACTGGTTTCCCCAGGGAACATCCTGCAGGGAGGCATTTTTGCAGCATGGCAGGGGGACTGCCTCAGGAGGCTCAGGCTCAGAGAGGTTGTGTGACTTGCCCAAGGTCACATAGCCAGGAAGTGGCAGAGCCAGACCTGGGAGCCAGGTTAGGTGGCTTGACCTTTCCTCCACCCTTACTTCCTGCCTCCCACCTGGACCTCCAGGGCCATCTCAGGTTTGCGGTGAAGCCTCAGGGACCTATGCCACCTCCACTCCATCAGGGACAGGTTGCCCTGGCCTACCCCCCTACCAACCTCCAGCCCTAAGTCCCCTCAGGGTACTCCCAGCTTCCCTGACCCCACCAAGCTCAGAGGTACCCCTGGGAGGGACTCTGACACCTCCTTCCTCCACACAGCCCACCAGTCACAGCCACCCCTCTGTACCAGCACAGGGCTGGCTGACCGGGTGGGCCTCAGGTCCTAGCCCTGCTCAGCCTGGGCCCCCAGGGCCAGCAAGGGGCCACTTTTCTCCCAAGGCCTGGGCTCCGTGGTGCATTCCACCGGCTCACACTGCCTTGGCCTGCACAAGGAGGCCCTGCATACAGGGGTGAGTCTTGCTTAAGCCGGGCCCAGGCCCGGAAGCTCCAGCCCTCCCAGCAGGAGGTCCCTGCAGGACCTACAGTGACATCACTGTCATAATGACGGTGGCCATTGCCCCTCCAGGAGAGCCTTCCCTCCATACCCCGGGACCTCTTCCACAGCCTATGGGGCACAGAGGGGACAGCGGCTTAGCGGGGCAATGACGTGGCTGTCAGGTGGCCCCAGGGCCCTGCCCCTCCACAGCCTTGCACGCCTCTTCTCCACTCCTCTGCTGCGTGGTGTACTGTGAAAGCCCAGGGGAAGCACCATGCAGTGCTCCCTCTCCCATTCACCAGCAGCTCTTCGTCATCCTACTGGTCCTGACTCAAGTGTCCCCTCCTCCTGGAGGCCCTCCTAGATTGCGCTCACCAAGCAGGCCCTGGGGCTATGCTGTGTCCCTCAAGGCTGAGTCAGTGCTGACCTTCTCTGGCTCTCAGCACCATGAGGGTGGGCACAGGCCTGTCTGCTCACAGCACTGTCCCATCCTCACTGAGGGACAAGATGTCTGGTCTGCATTGTGAATCTGAATCTGGGCTGTCCCCTCTGCAGTGCTGCCTCCCAACACCTCCAGCTTCCACTGCCTGTCCTGCTCTCTGCTGTGGCGCCACGGGGGCTCCCCCGCCACTGTCCTGGCCTACGAGGCCCCTGCATTTGGCCTCTGCCTGCCACTCTCCTGACTCCCGACGCTTTCTCCCAGCCACACAGTTCTGCTTGTGTTTCTCTTCCTTGTCTTGGCCAGGGAGGCTGGGATTCTGGTGCAAACCCATCTCTCAGACACACCCATGTGGCTCCAAACCTCCTATTGTCACCCTCAGTCTACCAGGACACACCCTCTCATCAGACCAGTTGGATGAGTTTAAACAAAGGAGATATTCTTTCACTGTGGGGCCCTTATTTTTCAGGCGCATTCCAACAATTTGGGCTCTCACTGCTTGAGCAAACCCTGGTGTGCATTTGGCCTCAGGGCCTGGAAGACGACAGTTCAAGAAACCACAGGACTCCAGCAATGAGCTGCTCCCCTTGCTGTGTGTGTGTGTGTGTGTGTGTGTGTGTGTGTGTGTAGGGTGAGGGATGGCAAGTAGGAAAGGAATTCCAGGAAGAATAAAGTGCATGTGCAAAGGCCCTGGGGCAGGAGGAGCCTTGGCTGCTGGAGGAAGCATAAGAAAGCTGAGGTGTCGGCTGGGCACAGTGGCTCATGCCTGTAATCCCAGCAGTTTGGGGGGCTGAGACGGGTAGATCAGGAGTTCGTGACCAGCCTGGCCAACATGGCAAAACCCCGTCTCTACTAAAAATACAAAAATTAACCAGGCGTGGTGGTACATGCCTGTAGTCCCAGCTACCCGGGAGGCTGAGGCAGGAGAATCACTTAAATCCAGGAGGTGGAGGTTGCAGTAAGCTGAGATTGTGCCACTGCACTCCAGTCTGGGTGACAGAGTGAGACTACGTCTTGAAAAAAAAAAAAGAGAGAAAAAAAAGAAAGCTGAGGTGTCTGGACCTGAGCCGGGAAAGGTGAGGACAGGATAGGCCCTGCAGGGCCCTGGACCGTGTTAAGCAGTTTGGTTTTTAGCCTAAGAGCAATGGCATTTATGACTAAGTGTGCAATTTACAAAAACTCCTGTGGCTACGGGGTTGTTTTCCTGCTAAGCCCTGCCCTGCCAAGCAAGCAGAAAGGTCTCAGAGTGTGAATCCACGAGCCATGGACCGGGAGGGCCTCAGGCCAGACAACAAGTCCCTTTCCACCCATCCACCTTGCGTTCTGAGATGGCTGAGCTGTATGTGTCGCCGTGGCTGGGCTGTGGGGCCCAGTTGTTTGGTCATGCATTAGTCTAGATGCTGCTGTGAAAGTGTGCTGCAGATGCGGCTCACACTGACAGTCAGCTGACTGCAAGAGAAGGAGATCGCCCTCAATAATGCAGGAGCCTCATGAAGTCTGTTGGCAGCCTGAAGAGTAAATACTGAGGTTTCCCAGAGAAGAAACCCAGCCTGGAATATCAACTCCTGCCTGAGTCCCCGGCTTGCTGGCTTGCCCTTCACATTGCAGAATTGCCAGCCTGCACAATTGTGTGGGCCAAGTTCTTAAAATAAATTTCTTAGTATATGGCTGTGGCTATCTGTCTGTCTGTCTATCTATCTATCTATCCATCCATCCATCCACCCACCTACCTACCCATCCATCCACTCATCCATCTATCCATCCATTCACCTATCCACCCATGCATTCATCCACCCACCTGCCCACCTACCCATCCACCCATCCACCAATCCATCCACCCACCAATCCATCCACCCATCCACCAATCCATCCACTCCTCCATTCATCCATCCATCCACCCATCCACCCATCCATCCACCCATCCATCCACCAATCCATCCACCCACCCTTCCACCCACCCACCCACTCATCCATCCACCCACACACCCATCCATCCACTCATGTATCTATCCACCCATTAATCCATTCATCTGTCCACCCATGCATTAATCCACCCATCAATCCACCTAACCGCCTACCCATCCACCCATCCACCAATCCATCCATCCAATCCTACCATCCAATCCATCCATCCATCCATCCACCCATCCATGCATCCATCCACCCACCTACCCACCTATCCATCCACCCATCCATCCACCAACCCATCCATCCACCCACCCATGCATCTATCCACCCATCCATCCACCCACCCATGCATCCACTCATCCATCTATCCATCCATCTATCTATCCATCCATGCATCCCTCCATTCATCCACCACCATCCATCCACCTAATGGTTCTGTTTCTCTGGAAAACCCTGGTTGATAGACTTTCCTATCTAAGGAGCAATATGCCTGTCTGTACTGGGAAGTTGGGGACACCTAAGACAGGTTAGAAATTCATTTTCAGGCTGGACGCAGTGGCTCATGACTGAAATCCCAGCACTTTGGGAGGCTGAGGTGGGAGGATCACTTGAGCCCAGGAATTTGAGACCAGCCAGGGCAACATAGTAAGACCCTGTCTCTACAAAAAGTAAAAAATTAGCTGGGCGTGGTGGCACATGCCTGTAGTCCCAGCTACTCAGGAGGCTGAGGTGAGAGGATCACTTAAGCTCAGGAGGTTGAGGCTGTGGTGAGTTGTGACTGTGCCACTGCACTCCACCCTAGGTGACAGAGTGAGACCCTGTCTCAAAAAAAAATTCATTTTCCACACTGCAATTAACTCAGAAGACAGCATATTGCAGTGGCTCTCAGCAACACCTTAGTTTGAACCTCAGCTCTGCCTCTTATGAGCTCTGTGTGCTGAACCCCGCTCTGCATGTTGGCACCACCTGATTCATCTGACCCTCTTCCATGGGACAGCCCTCCCAGAGTGGAAGAGGATGATCACAGCTTCTCCACACTCCTGCGTACTTATCCACTCTAACTGAACACCTACTATGTGCCGCGTGGCACCTTTCACTGCTGCGTGGCTGGACATCCTGCATCCCCTTGGCCATGCCCCATCAGTGAGTGTTAATCACATCTGCCCACATGCTGCTCCACTAAATGATGTCCGCTCCATCCCCCTTGAAACCAAGGGACTCATCTGATTGGGCCTCCAAACTTAATCTGCCTGCTTGCTTCTAGTCACTTGCTCCTTAATTTTTTAACATATATAGCTAAAAGTCACGTGGCCAAACAATATCTAACTAAATTCCCACTAGCTCCCTTACGGATAACATCTCTGATGTGTGCGTCGCTATAGTAACGGTTGCTTAAAGTTGTGTTTTGGGAACTTAGAGTTAGCTCTTGTCCATTTTAAGCCAGTAGAGACCATGAGCCCTTCAAGTAGGCCTGAGCGAATGCCCGACTTCAGAGGGCCAAAAACACCTTTCTCGGATCACGCTAACAATGTCTTTTTCTTAAACATATGTCCCACGAAGAACCATGTAGCTCAATCGTGTTCAGGCAAAGTCCCCATGCCCTCACCTTTCCCACCAGCAGTCATCTTTCCCACGCCTTAGACCACCCACTTCTTATTCCTCCCTAGGCCCTACTCTTCTGGGAGGCAAGTTTGAGATTTGTTCTGCAGTCTCCTTGCTCAGCAGTCTTGTGAATAAATTTTTCCTCTTTTGTGAAATCCACTGTCACAGTGACTGGCTGCTGCTCATGGGCACAGAGCATCTGGCTGGGTGTCACCATCGCACCCGCACAGCCTGCAGCGACACCTGGGGTACTTTTCCATCACCAAGTTCCGCCCCTTCGACTTCCCACAGATCATCTGCATCCATCCACTTCTCACACTCACCAGTCCACAAACAGTGTCCAAGATGCCATCATGCTTTGCCCCAGACCCAAATGGCCCTGAAACAGTCTCCCTGCCTCTACGCAGCCAATCTGGGCTTCACCATGTAGCCACAGGGGTTGTTTTCAATTGCACACCTGGTCATAAATGCCATTGCTCTTAGGCTAAAAACCAAACTGCTTAACACAATCCAGGGCCCTGCAGGGCCTATCCGGGCTCAGGTCCAGACACCTCAGCTTTCGTATACTTCCTCCAGCAGCTAAGGCTCCCTCCTGTCCCAGGTCCTTTGCACGGGTACTTTGTTGTTCCTGGAATTCATTTCCTACCTGCCATCCCTCATCTTACACAACACATGCACACACACACATGTGCATGCACACACATGCACACACACGTATATCCATATGCATACACACACATACACATATGCAAATATGCACACACATATACAGACACATATACACATACACACAAGTATACACACATACACATGTATACACACATAGACGCACATACACACATGCACACACATATACACACATACACGTATACATACATAAACATACACACACGCATATACACACATACATGTACACACACACATACACACATACACACATATCCACATACATACATACACACAGTCACGTGTATACACACACACACACTGATATGGTTTGGCTGTGTCCTCACTCAAATCTCATCTCAAATTGTAATCCCCATAATCCCCACATGTGGAGGGAGGGACCTGGTGGGAGGTGATTGGGTCCTGGGGGTGGTTTCCCCCATGCTGTTCTCGTGATAGAGAGTGAGTTCTCACGAGATCTGATGGTATTTTAAGTGTTTGACAGGTCCTCCTTCACACTCTCTTTCTCTCCTGCCACCATGTAAGATGTGCCTTGCTTCCCCTTTGCCTTCCACCATGATTGTAAGTTTCCAGAGGCCTCCCTAGTCATGCAGAACTGTGAGCAAATTAAACCTCTTCCTTTTATAAAATACCCAGTCTCGGGTATTTCTTTATAGCAGTGTAAAAATGGATGAATACACACACATACCCACATGTATATGCACATATCACACATGCACACAGGTATACACACATACACACACATGCATGCACACAGGCACACAAACGTCCCCTGTGGGAACCACATTCCCAGTGGGCCACCATATTGCCATTTAAAAGGTAGGGTAGGCCGGTGTGGTGGCTCATGCCTGTAATCCTAGCACTTTGGGAGGCTGAAGTGGGGGGATCACCAGAGGTCGGGAGTTTGAGACCAGCCTGGCCACCATGGTGAAACCCCATCTCTATTAAAAACACAAAAAATTAGCCGGGTGTGGTGGTGGGTGCCTGTAGTCCCAGCTACTCAGGAGGCTGGGGCAGGAGAATCGCTTGAACCCAGGAGGTGGAGGCTGCAGTGAGCTGAGATTGCGCCACTGCCCTCCAGCCTGGGAGACTGAGGGAGACTCTGTCTCAATAAATAAATAAATAAATAAATAAATAAATAAATAAAAGGTGGGGCAGATCAGCATTGACTGGCCTAGAAATATCCGTGTCAAATTTGAAAGCAAAAAGCAGGATGTCAAACCTGGATATACAGTATGAGCCCTCTTGATCCAAAATAGGATTCAGTTAGCTCTGAGATGATGTGCAAGAGATTTCCAGAAGCATATCTCCCACTGAGTTATCAGCTGTGACTGGGTGGGGGAATTCCTTAAGAGGTTTATGTCCTTCTTTGTATTTTTCTGGACTTTTATGACAGTTAAGATTTTTTAAATATATATTAAAAATAAAGCTCTTTCCTCTGAAAGAAAAACACCAGGGGTCCCTTTCTCTCCTGCTGGGAGGTGGCCGCTCCTGCACCCCCTCTGGCTCACGTCCCACTCTCAGCCCGAGGCAGACAGGCAGCCGCTGCTGAGAAAAGAGGGGCATTCCCCATATGTAGTAACATTTCCAGTTGCCTCCTGGCTTGGCTGAGCCTGAGGAGGAAGGAGGACTAGGGTCGCACCCTTGGGTGTGTTCTTGGAAATCTGAGTGATTAAAACCATTACCCAGCTGTCAGAGGGTGTTTTAAAAGGATACATTTACAAATGTTAACCACTTGTATTTTACAATTTTCATGTTGTATTATTGCCAAAAAAAAGTGAAATAGAAGTCCTGTCAAGCATACTACAGTTCCAAGAGGGTTGCTGTGAGTCCCAACAGGCCCCTGGACGCTGCTGCTGGGCCAGGAGCTGCCAGACCTGCTGGCTGAGCTCACCTTTTGTGGTGAGAGCAATTAACTCCAGCACCATTAGACAGCCCAGAGGGGACACGCCCTTTGAGGAACAAAGAAACACAGCCAGCAGGAACCCTCCCAGCAGTTCCTGACTGGGTGAGCCACCCACCCCACCAGTGATAACCATTTTACAAAGGTCAGTAGTATTCGTGCTTGGGATGGGACCTGACCACAGAACTCAAGGAAACAACTTCAACAGGAGCTGAAGAATGCGTCCCCGCAGGCTGCTAGCAGTGTTGGAGTTCCTTTTGGGGTGCCTTCTCTGGCCACTGGGGGATGGTCCCATGTGATGGTAGGCAGAGGCTACCCAAGAGAGGTCTTGAGGATGAGACGGCAGGGGCGCCTCCTGAGTGTGAGGCGGGCCGTACTGGATTTGCAGCCTCATCTGCGCACTCACTGGATTCACAGCCTCACCTGCACACTCACTCTGCGCAGATGCTGGGCTTCTCCACCCACCTGGTGCTGTCTGGACCCACATGCCAGCTTCCTAGCCAGTTCCTGCTGCCTGGCGTCCTCCTACTGATGACCCATGCACATCCTAACACATCAGAACCTTTTGGTGGCCTTTCCTCTTCTGTGGGGTTAAGTCCAAATGTCCCACAAGCTGCCAGCTCCCCCCGGCAAAGGCCCTTGTGCTATCTGGCTCTGCGGTTCCTTTGCTAGCACGATCCCCACACATCTGGGTGCTCGGCACACCCTGGAGGACTGACCGCACTGACTGGCCACGGCAGTCAAGGGCTTGCCATGTGGCTTCTCCCTCCTGCTCAGCCCCATCTCCCACCCTCCCGCAGGCAAACACTCGCTGCCTGTGGCCCGGCATTCTCTTCCCCATCTTTAGGAATGTGAAAACAAGTTGCTGTTCAAAATCTAAGCTGTTGGAAATTTAACATATTTTGAGCCTTAAGAGAATATGATTATAGGACCTGAGTCATGTGACAGGCAGCTGTAACCTAAGCAGCTGTCACCTTTGTTTCTCTGATTACAGATTAGTCTTTTTCCTTACCTACATTGTTTTGTAAAACGTTGTAAATGACCAAAGGGCACCAGAGAAGACCCCTTTCCTCATAACCATTCACCTTCATTGTAGATTCACTTCCTTCTTTCCTCTCTCCCGGTTATCTAAGATGGAGTGTTAAATACGCCACCCAGCTCAGGTGATGTCAGCAGCCCTGTTAGCCCAGGCACGGGCCTATGGCTGAGCCTGGCCAATTAGGGCATTGCATTCCTTGGGTCAAACTAGCTGATTAAAGGGTGGTCATATTACCTACTCAAGGGCAGAGATGGGGCTTTTTCTGGGACTGCTGAGAGAGAGAAAGATGTGGGTCTCTTCCCCGCAGATTTAGAGCCTGAGAGAGGTGAGGTAAAAGTCTATCAATGGAGCCAGCACAGAAAAAGCACAGTCAAAAGATAGAAGGAAGGAAACTGGGTGCTGGAGACATAATTTAGCCCTTGATTAAGCCACACCTGAAGGAGACATTCAGTCATGAGAGCCAGCTGTAAGCCAAAAATTAATTCTAAGCCCTGCAATGGCTGATTGAGGAGGAATGAACCCCCCCTCTCTGCCAAGGGGATTTCAAAGAAACCTACAAACCTAGTTCAGGCCATGAAGGGAAGAGGGGGCGAGTCAGACATGTCTCATTCTACCCTCCTCCCTTCGGAATTCAGGCACAACTGATAACATTAACATTAAAACAGAGATCTTAAAACTGTAGCCATAAGATACCAAATTCCTGTATGACTCTAGTATAGCATCACATGACAGAGAGCAGGCCCTGAAAGAAATACAAATATTGTACCCCTAAATATATATTTTTTGGCATATTTTAAAATGGCTCTGCAGGCCAGGCATAGTGGCTCACACCTGTAATCCCAGCACTTTGGGAGGCAGAGGTGGGCAGATTACCTGAGGTTGGGAGTTTGAGAACAGCCTGGCCAACGTGGTGAAACCCCATCTCTACTAAAAATAAAAAAATTAGCCAGGCGTGGTGGTGGGTGCCTGTAGTCCCAGCTACTCAGGAGGCTGAGGCAGAAGAATCACTTGAGTCTGGGAAGTGGGGGTTGCAGTGAGCCAAGATTGTGCCACTGCACTCCAACCTGAGTGACAGAGTGAGACTCTGTCTCAAAGAAAAAAAAAAAAAGACTCTGCAGAGCTGTCTCTTGTGGGGGAAATTTACATTCCAGAATCCCTTTCCCTTTCTAGCTCTTTTTCTGATCCTGAAGAGATTAGCTGAGAGTCTAGCACCTTTTAAAAGTCCGAATAGGAAACATTTGCCATCTATTGCCTCTAAGGAAGGCCACCTATGAGACTTCATCTACGTAATAAGAACCATGGTCTCCACAACCCCTTATTTTTTTTTTTTTTTTTTTTGAGATGGAGTCTTGCTCTGTCGCCCAGGCCGGAGTGCTGTGGCACGATCTCGGCTCACTGCAAGCTCCACCTCCCAGGTTCACGCCATTCTCCTGCCTTAGCCTCCCAAGTAGCTGGGACTATAGGTGCCCACCACAATGCCTGGCTAATTTTTTGTATTTTTAGTAGAGATGGGGTTTCACCATGTTAGCCAGGATGGTCTCGGTCTCCTGACCTCATGATCTGCCCACCTCAGCCTCCCAAAGTGCTGGGATTACAGGCATGAGCCACCACGCCCAGTGCAAACAACCCCTTGTCTTAACCCAGATGCTCCTTTCTATTGATTACAGGTCTTAATAACTTAACTCTTTCAACCAAGTGCCAATCAGAAAATCTTTGAATCCACCTATGACCTGTAAGCCCCCACCTCGAGTTGTCCCACCTTTCCAGACCGAACCAATGTGTACCTTACATGTATTGATTGATGTCTTCTATCTTCCGGAAACATATAAACCAAGCTGTAACCCAACCACCGTGGGCCCGTGTTCTCAGGAGCTCTTTAGACTGCACCTCTTGGGTGGTCACTCACATTTGGCTCAGATGAAACCTCTTGATGTATTTTACAGTTTGACACTTTTCATGGACACAGTAAATTCCTTCTCTGCTTAAGTCACTTTAGGTCAAGTTCCTACCATTTGCAACAAACAGGTCAAAATGGATGCATCCCATCCCCAGTGCTACAGTCACACCAGTGTCCTGGTCCCCTCCCTGTACCGAGGGAGTGCTATTTTCCAGGCCCTGGGCAAAGGGCTTTATGCAGCCTCTCGTCTGCAGAGCAGCTTGGTCAAATGGAATCAATATCCTCATCTTAGAGGTGCAGAAACCACAGCTCAAGAGCACCCAGCCAGCTAGTGCAGGGCAGTGGGTGCGTGCTCAGTGTTCCTGGTAAGGACGTACTTCCTATCTGGGGACACAGCCTGTAGCACCTGCTCCCTGCCAGCCTTTGCTCAGGGGCTTCCCCGGGCCTGGAATGCCTT
This sequence comes from Homo sapiens, assembly GCF_000001405.40. Lineage (NCBI taxonomy): Eukaryota > Metazoa > Chordata > Mammalia > Primates > Hominidae > Homo > Homo sapiens. Next base: position 7,981,978 of record NC_000004.12, read on the forward strand.
TCCAGACTTCCCCTTCTGAGGAGCAGCCTGGTGCCTTCTCCCCTCTCTGGCCCCAGCACTAGGGTACTGCTGAGTGCCCCTCAGCTGCACCCATGCCCCTCCAACTCCCTCCCCAGCAGGAGACTGAGCCACTGCCCCTCAGCTGCATCCACGCCCCTCCAACTCCCTCCCCAGCAGCAGACTGAGCCACCGCCCCTCAGCGGCATCCACGCCCCTCCAACTCCTTCCCCAGCTGCAGAGGGAGCCACTGCCTGGTGGGCAGTTTGGGCATAGCCTGGCAGCTGGCCCTGTGCACATGGGGTCATACACACTCTCCAGCCTTGGGGCTCAGATGGTGCTGGGTGTCCCCTTTCCTTCAGGAGCCTCAAGACCCTTCACTCTAGCAAGAGAGTCTACTGAAAGGCAGCAGCACATTCATGACAGGGCTCAGGAGATGAAACCCCCGGGCTGGATGCTGGGACACCGTAGGGCGGTTGTGAGGAGTAACAGAGGATTGCACGTGCCACTTTGGCACGTAGTAGTTACTCAACTAAGTCAGTTCTCTCAGTCAACAGATCGTATTCAAACACCTATTCCTTGCTGACACCTTGCCGGTGCTTAGAAACACATACTTGCTTTCTGCATTTGTCCGGTTATTTTAGATGGGTGTAAGTGTGGTCGGGTGGGAAGCTGGGGCAGTTTACTCAACCTCAGTAGGAGAGAACAGGCACCTCCTGCAGAGCTCATTATTATTATTATTATTATTTGAGATGGAGTCTCTCTGTCACCCAGGCTGGAGTGCAGTGGCGCCATCTCGGCTCACTGCAACCTCTGCCTCCCGGGTTCAAGTGATTCTCTCACCTTAGCATCCTGAGTAGCTGGGATTACAGGCACCTGCCACCACGCCCACCTAAGTTTTGTATTTTTAGTAGAGAGGGGTTTCACCATGTTGGCCAGGCTGGTCTCGAACTCCTGATCTCTGGTGAACTGCCTGCTTCAGCCTCCCAAAGTGCTGGGATTACAGGCGTGAGCCACTGTGCCCAGCCCAGAGCTCATTATTCTTACAAAGCCTTCCCTGCCTCATCCACAAACCAGGGTGGTCTTCTTTGCAAAGCCATCAAGGCTGGGGAACATCACCACATCGTTTGGCCTTTGAGGCAATGTGGGCCTGACTCTGCATCACGGCAAGGCTCTGCACTGTCCCCCACGGTGGCCCCTTGGGCAACGACCTTGACACCACGGAGGAGGCATCTGCGGGGACTCTCGCATGGGAAATGAGTCCCCTGCCCCGGCAGTCCCCCGCTTACCTCCAGTCTCGTCCGGTCCACGTCTTTGGGCAGTTTCACGCGAATTCGGTTTGTGACGATGAGGGAGTCATACGGATAGATCTGTTGGGGGAGGAAACCACAGGGTCACCTCACGAAGCAAGTGTATGCTGGCACCAAAGAACTGAGCAGAAGGTCACCGAGAATACATACTTGCGTCTGCACCTGACACACACATTTCATAGGTAAAGCACAACAGAAAGGACTTTTAACCTGGGCAGGTGTGGCGCGGCACGGAGGTCAGTGTGGGAGCGGCCCCGCTTACCTTGTATTCTGTAAGAGAGAGAGAGCGGAGACCACGAAATGGTTTAGAAAGTGCAAGATGTCGTCCAAGGTGAGTGCAATCCCTGCCCTGGGGTACCCCTGTCTCCCCCCTGCAGTCACCTGGGCCATGCATGGTCCCCGAGCAGCCTGCACTGAGGCCCTAATCTCAGAGCTGCAGGCAGAGGGGCCCTGAGGGCCTCCCCCGGGAAACCAGAGCAGGAGGCATGGTCAGGCTGCAGGCCAGGCTGGAAGCCGGAGGGCGGCACTGTGCTTTTCAGCTGTGATGCTGTCTCTCTGGTGGTCTGGGCCACCCTGAGAAAGATGCCAGCCTCAGTTTACCTGCCTGTACAGCGGGCATTTCAGGGGAAACTTTTAGAGGGTGTTGTGGAGACTGACATCTTGCTATGTTCTGAGCCTCTCCCATCTCTCACCGTCTTACCTTATTAACTCTACATTTTCTCTTTTTCAAACTACTGAGCTCTGCCCCCTAATGTCTTACTTCCAGACTGAAAGCGTCTTATCACGAAAATGAAATAGTGTGGATCGTAGGGCCTCCACGCACACAGAACCCACAGAAAGCAGTATCTACAGAACCTGGTCCTCAAGCCAGTCTCGGAAGGGAGACCCCGTGTCGGGAGCCGGTCCCTGAGTTTCACCACTTGCCCCGTGTGGTTCTGGACCTGCTGGCTCTGAGGCCCGGGGACTGAAGGCCACTTAGAGGGAGCAGGCTGTGGTGCACTGATGCTCTCCGTCCCCATGCAACCCAGTCCAGCAGAGCAAGGCTCCCCCGCCACTCGCGGGCACAGAGGCTGACAGGAGGTGAGCCTGTGGGAGGTGTCAGGCACCTGCCACACGACCAGGTGGCCGCTCTGGTAACACAAACCTCCTAGTAGCCCTGCTGAACCCGGAGAGTTCACGCGGCGTGCCGGCAGCCACACGGGGAGCAAGGCGCAGGCAGGGTTTGGCCCAGCGCCGTCCCGCTCAGACCCTGGAAGCCTTGTGCCTGTGACTCTGCTTTCCCAAGTGACACAGAGTGCCATACAATGCAGGACAGGGCCGCCGTGGCCATGGATGGGACAGAGGGAGCATCGCGGGTAAAGCTAGCTTGGAGTGGAACTGACTTTTGGCCAGGAGAGGCAGGGAAACCAGCACGCCCTCCCCCGAGGTGTCCCCGCCCGGCACTCCCGGAGCCTTCTGCAGGCTGCGGATGGGGTGGTTTCAGAACAAGTCTTGTGGAATGTGTTAGCGACCCCTGCCCCAGCCAGAGACCCACAGGGTCCCCGCTCTGTGTACCTCGCATGCCCCAGCTGGCATCCGGGTCTGCTCCACAGGGGGCCAGATTGGCATTCTGGAAGAGAAAGAGAGGTTGGGCGGCAAGAGACAGGCGGCACGAGGGTGTGTGGATGGGCAGGGACCAGGAGATGTGGCCCCTTGGAGGCCGAGGTCCTCGTGCTGCCTGGGGAGTAGGGTGTCCTTAGCACAGCAGTGGGGCGTGACAGAAGGACAGCAACAGTGGCTTGGGAAGGGGAGAGTCCAGGATGCTGTGCCCGTGGGACTGGCCAGCTTTCTTGCTCATAGGATGCCCACTGCCTGGGCGGTCTCCACAGACCCTTCCTGTGTGGACAGCTCCAACCCCATTTGAAAGCTGCTCCCAGGTGCCTGAGTTCCCCACTCTGCAGCTGGCACAGACGACCACTGGGGGCTCAGCACCATTTCTTTGCGCACGCTGCGCTAGGCACAGCGCTCTGCGGTTCCCCGTTGGTGATCTGTCCCCTCCACATGGTGGGTTCCTGAGCACAGCGCCTAGAACCTGCTGTCCCAGGTGCTCAGGGAGCCCCAGGGTCCACCCTGGGCCCTCTGTTCCCTGCAAGATGGCCAAGGGGGAAGACTGGCTGCCGTCTTCTGGCACTGTGCACGGTTGTGGAACTCCTAGGGTATTCTCAGAGCTACGCGGACGCACGTGGCTGTGCGTGCGAGTCAAAGTCCATCCACCCCAAATGCTCCAAAATGAGGGGGCTCCTACCTCCCTGGAAACCGTGGTACTCACGGCAGCTCTGCGTGTGACTGTTTCAAAGGTTAAAGGAGCCCCGTGTCTGTAAGGCCCCTGGCATGTCACCTGGCATGTTGTAAGTACCCATACAGGGTGGCTGTGTCTCTGACAATGACTAAGGGTGACACTCTGAGGGGGATGGGCCCGAGAGCTCCTGCACCTGTCTCAGGTGCCCGTGGCATTCATCAGCAAACTCTGCCATTTTAGCGCATTGAGACCATTAGTGTCTGGAACGCTTTCCCTTCTGTCCACCTGGAAGCATCATCGACACGTCCTGCAAACCTCTATGGAGGGTTCCCCAACCTGTAAAGCATGCATTGAACCCCCACAGGGGTCGGGCAGTCCTGCCCCTGCCCACTTCCTGCCCCTTGCTGGGGCCCGGGGTTCGCACTATGAGCCCTGAGCCATGCTCTGTTGCGGTTGTGCCTTGGCTGCCCGCGGTGGACGGAGCCTGTTGAAGAAAATGTCTTATTCACGCTTCGTTCCCCAGCACCTGGAACGGGGTCTCAAACGGGGTCAGGGCTCTCGGCCAGTGCTGCTGAAACTGGGTACAGGGATCACATTTCAGCAGGGAGAGTTCTGCAGCCAAAGGAGAGACGGTATGCTCAGCCCAGCGGGTCTGTCACAGGGCAAAGTGTTTTCAACGCGAGCTTTGCAGTAGGAAATCAGTGAGGAGCTGGTTACAGCCTAGAGAGCACGAGAGCAGGAAGACCTCAGAGGGCACCGAGTCCAAAGCCCTTTATCTGAAACAGGAAAACCGAGGCCCCGAGGGAAGCTGGACCTTCTTCCTGATGCAGAGCTGGAGTCAGAGGGCTAGAGTCAGGCTCACGAGTGGGGTAAGCACCCAGGCAGAGGACTGGAACTGGTCTCTATTTACATTTTTGCTATTTTGTTTATCGTGAAATTTTTTACATTAATTTGGATTTCTAAAACTATTGCATTAAACTTATCCTGACTGCATTTTCTTCTTTAGTGCCTTGCTCCCTCACTCTAGTTCTGGGCCTGGACCCTGAGCCAGGGTCCTCTTGCCTCCACCACTTCACAAAATAATTCTTGCCTTCAGGGGTATTCACAAAGAATTTCTTTTTTTTCTTTGAGACAGAGTCTTGCTCTGTCAGCCAAGCTGGAGTGCAATGGCGTGATCTCGGCTCAATGCAAACTCCACCTCCCGGGTTCAAGTGATTCTCCTGCCTCAGCCTCCTGAGCAGCTGGGATTACAGGCGCCTACCACCACGGCGAGATAATTTTTGTATTTTTAGTAGAGATGGGTTTCACATGTTGGCTAAGCTGGTCTCGAACTCCTGACCTCAGGTGATCCACCCGCGTTGGCCTCCCAAAGTGCTGGGATTATAGGCATAAGCCACTGCGCCCGGTCATGCAAATAATTTTTAATTTTTTATTTTAAGAGACAGAGTCTGGCTCTGTCACCCAGACTGGAGTGCAGTGGCACGATCTCAGCTCATTGCAACCTCTGCTTCCTGGGCAATCCTCCCACCTCAGCCTTCTGGGTAGGTGGGACTACAGGCGCATGCCATCACACTTGGCTAATTTTTGTATTTTTTGGTAGAGATGGAGTCTCCCTTGGTTGCCCTGGCTGGTCTTAAACTCCTGGTTTCAAGCTATCTGCCCACCTCAGCCTCCCAAAGCACTGGGATTACAGGTATGAGCCACTGCGCCTGGCCATGCCTGGCTAATTAAAAAAAAAAAAGTAGATATGGGGTCTTGCTGTGTTGCCCAGGCTGGTCTCAAACTCTTGGCTTCAAGCAATCCTCTCACCTCAGCCTCCCAAAGCACTGGGATTACAGGTGTGAGCCACCATGTCCACTCAAGAACAATGTTTTGATACATTTTCTTAGTCTCAGACTACCATCCCAGGTGCACCTGTTCTGGTCAGGGAACCCCCAGTATAAAGCAAGGCAACCAGCCATGGCCTTGTCTTTGCCACCTGGCATGTCTGATGTGAAAGAGAAATGCTGCCCCCTAGTGCCCATCGCTCTGCATAACGGGCTTCCAAAACTCGCAGGGCACCACCTTCACCTTGGACGGTTGGAAACTCACTCTCCAGCAGCAAAACCAGCTTCCTTTGGTATTCCAGGATCTGAGATAAGGTGGAGACTCTAGGACGGAGATGAGGCATCTACCAGGTGGAGAAGGGGGAATACTTTTTAGGTCTAGAGCAGGGAAAGTGGGGTCTACTTCCGGTCTTGTAAGTGCGAAGTGGGGATGGGGTGTGCAAGGCCTCTAAGGTGCAAGGGGTCTTCAGTTACTGCCTTTATGTGTGGACCAGCAGGAGAGCTAAGTGGCCAGAGGGCACCACAAAGACAGCACTGCCTGGCATATTCCTGGCTGACTCCCCTACGCCGCTCAGTGCAGGCACCAGGGATTTTAAAAGCAACAAATGATTTAGCTGTCCCATTTGTTTACTACCTATTTTTATTTTATTTTTGAGCCAGAGTCTCGCTCTGTCACCCAGGCTGGAGTGCAGTGGTGTGATCTCGGCTCACTGCAACCTCCGTCCCTGGGTTCAAGCAATTCTCCTGCCTCAGCCTCCTGAGTAGCTGGGATTACAGGCATGCGTCACCATGCCTGGCTAATTTTTGTAATTTTAGTAGAGACAGGGTTTCACCACGTTGGCCAGGCTGGTCTCGAACTCCTGACCTCAAGTGATCTGCCCGCCTTGGCCTCCCAAAGTGCTGGGATTACAGGCGTGAACCACCACGCCCGGCCTGTTTAGCACTTCTTACGTGCCTGTGGCTCTATAGGTACATTCTCTAACCTTTGCTGCAACTCCAGGAGGTGGGCATGATTATCACTTTACAGATGAGCCTTAGAGAGATTAAATAACTTGCCTGAGATCATATGACAAATACATGGGACTGTAAATATTTGAGCCCATGTGTTTTATTTTCCAAAAACTGTACTGAAATTGCTAATAGGAATTGAGATTATGGCCATTTGCCACTGGTCACCCTTCTTTCCTTGCTAAAGCTCACATTGGAATGTGTTACTTTACTCAGCAGCTAGCGACATGGAAGCAAGATAGAGCAGGAATTGCTTTTTAAATAATTACTCATGTGGGAACCATGCTATGGAGCTTATAAAAGATTTCACAACTCTAATGTTATTTGTCCTCAAAAAGACCTCAAGAGGTAAGGATAATTTTTTAAAGACTAGAAAAGAGAGACTCAGAAAATTTAAGTAACTTGCCCAAAAACAGAGCTGGGATTTGAACTCAGGACTGTCTGATGCTAACACATGTGTTCTTTTCAGCATTACAGTTTGGAAATACCAAACTTTTAAAATTTGTTAATGCTTGTCTTGTAGTCACATGCATAAACATTTTAATAAATATTTTCCAAACATGTGAAAATCTCATTCAAGAGATATATTTTTCATATACCTATTTGATTGTTTGCTATTTGTACTATTTAATTTTTCTGTGTACATTTAATTTTTTGTTCACTAGACACATTAGTCTTTTTTTTTTTTTTTTTTTTTTTGAGACAGAGTTTTGCTCTGTTGCCCCAGGCTGGAGTGCAGTGGAACAACTTCAGCAGCTCACTGCAACCTCTGCCTCCCAGGTTCAAGCATTCTTTATTCTTGTGCTCAAGTAGCTGGGATATTAGGCATGTGCTACCATGACTGGCTAATTTTTCTATTTTTAGTAGAGATGGGGTTTCACCATGTTGGCCAGGATGGTCTCAAACTCCTGGCCTCAAGTGATCCACCCACCTCGGCCTCGCAGAGTGCTGGGATTATAGGCCTGAACCACTTTGCCTGGCCCCATTTGTTTTATTTCAAAAGAGTCATATTCAAATCACCCACCATACTTGTATTTAATCAAGGTGTCTGGCATTGCCATGTTGCTTGGTGCATTTAAGTTGATGAATGCTATAACTGCTTTATTCCATTATGCCTCCATAATGAATTAGTGTTCTCCTTTTATACTATTAATTTTATTAATTCCTTTTAATCTTAACTTTCACCCTATTTGATATTACTATTGTCACTCTTGCTTGCCTTTTGTGATTTTAGTATCTTTCTTATCCTTTTGCTTATCCTTTAAAAGTAGTTTTTAAGTGTGCATCTTATGATAACACATCTGATTTTAAAAATCTAATCTGACAGTCTCTGTCTTTTAATAGGACAGCTCAGTCTCTTCACATTTGGCATCATGCTTTTTCAGAATGGGACTTCTTCCAGGGAGCTACCACAAGGACCTGCTGCCACCAGTCGTCACTCTCTGAATAACAGACACATGGTATGCATCAGAGTCATTACTGCCTTACCCACAGGGAGAGAAGCAGCAGGCCTCTGTTGCTCCATTCACTTCAAGGGTAGGTTATGAGCATCTACCATGCATCAGGCACTGTGGCAGGCTTGGCTATTAGGACGTTTTAATGACCTTTAGGACATATTGTGCTTTAGGTCACTGGGCCCTTGTAACAAATCCTTCTGGAAGAACACCCAGGAAAGCCTTTGCCTCCCATGATGAACTAATTTCCCCTCTTCCATCAGACAGTGAGGCCTACATCACTGACATGATTGCCTCTATGCCTTGGCCACCAGGAAGCTCAGAGATAAGCTTTGACAGCTTTTCTTATGTAATATATATATTTTTTGAGATGAAGTCTCGCTCTGTCACCCAGGCTGGAGTGCAGCGGCATAATAGCTCACTGCAACCTCTGCCTCCGAGGTTCAAGCAATTCTCCTGCCTCAGCCTCCCGAGTGGCTGGGACTATAGGATGCCCGCCACCATACCTTGCTAATTTTTGTATTTTTAGTAGAGACAGGGAGGCAGGCTGGTCTTGAACTCCTGACCTCAAGTGATCTGCCTGCCTCGGCCTCCCAAAGTGCTGAGATTACAGGTATGAGCAACCACGCCCCACCTCTCATGTAATATTTGTTTGTTTGTTTGTTTGTTTTGATGTAATTTTCTCCATAGTTTCCTCCTCTCCTCCTTTGTGATTTGGTGTTCATGGGATTTTGGTCTCACTGCACCTATGCTTGAGGCCACCCAGAACCCTTTCTGGAAGTAAAGGCAAATCAAGAAACGGCCTAGGAAATGACTTAGGAGCACTGTAGGCCATCAGCAACAGGGCAGGGGCACGCACTCCCAGGGCATCTCCAGGGGAAGGTCATGAGTCCAGGTGCTGAGCAGGGCCGCCCTGAAAAAGGCTGGTCATGTGAAAGATCAAGTATCTGGCCTTCTCACTGAGAAAAAGGCATAACAGTACATAAAAGTCGTAGAAAGAGTGAAACAATAGGAAAGAACATTAGCAGGGAAAAGAGAATCCCAAAGCAAAGTCATTAATAATATTCACCAATCTCCCCCAGAAGCAATGTGAAAAGCTAAGAATCTCCACGTGATGATGAGTTCTGCGCATATCAGCTCTCCAAGCACATGCAGAGAGCACGCCAGCTAACGCTCTCCTTCCCACCCCTTAGTCTGCAGGAGAAACATATTCACAGAAAGTTTAGTTCTTAATTCTGTAAAGTTTGAGGTTCTGCTCTCAATAGTTCTAGGAGAGGGAGTGAGGACCATCCCTGCCAGAAAGTCTGAATAGGCTGTTCTCAAAAGAGTGTGGCTTCTGGAGACCATGACCTTCTCTGCAGATGCTGAGAGGCATCAATTTGCATCATTTTAGCATGTGAGCCTAGAGAAGAACCTTCCCAGAGGATGCACAGCCCAGGCGTCAGTGACGCAAGACTACAAATGCAGAGTGTGCTGCTCTCTCGCTTTCCTTCTATATATTGAGGAAAGTCTCCAGGACCTCACTCGGATGGTGGAACACCTTGGCTTGGTCGGACTGTGAACACTGTGCTCACCAGCCCCAGGGCTGTCAGAGAACAGCTGTTCCAGGTGAGAAGGGAACATTCTAGACAGTTTTCCCACTGTCCCCAGGACCCCTAACATTGAGCTCAGGGATTTGCACGTCTTTTGGTGTCGTAGGAGTCCTGTGGACATTGGTCCAGCTCTCTTATCTCCCCTGCTTTCCATGTGGAAGATGAAAAATGGAGAATTCCCTTGGAGAAAATTCAAAGAAGCGTGCCACATGCATGGTCCCCAGTTAGGCCCATTCCAGAATGGGAAGAGCAGTTCGTGGGGTGAGGGGTGTGGTTTGCTAGATTCAAACCATGCAGAGGTGCCTGGGCCCTGGGGGAGATCCGGGGAGGCTGGGCCTTGGACAAAAACACAGCAGCAGGTCTGACAGAGCCTGAAGGAGACGGAGAGAACAAATGCCAGCCCAAGAGGACACCCACGGCTTCTGGAGATGGTGTCCTGTGGCCTTGCCCCTGGGGAGAGTACCTGCTTAGGGATGCCATCCCAGGGTTACACACAGCCACGGCTGCTCCAGCGCAACAAAGAGGGGGCCAGTTTTTTAGTGGCCTCGGTTGAGAGGTGAATTGCCTCTATTTATGAACAAATTTCCAGACTGGGACGAGGCTGCCTTGCGCAATGGGGAGACCCCTGGGCTGTGTGTGTGTGTCTGTGTGTTGGGGGGTCTGGGACCAGCAAGCCTGCCCCACCCTAAGGATCCTCACTGGGGACCCCTGTGACGCTGTGGGCAGAGGAACAAACATAAGCCGCTCTTCCTAAGGCGTTCACTGTCCTGGGGCACAGGGCCTGGCCCCTCTGCAAGGCAATCAGCCCCCAGATTGTCTGGGCTCATATTCAGATGTCCCAAGCATCAGAAAACTCAGGGTAGGAGGTGGCACCAGTCTTCAGCTAGGGGCAGCCAAAGAGCCTGACTTCAAGTTAATCCAATCTCCGTGCAGCCTCAAGTAACAGCCTTGGACGCTAAGGATTATTTGGTGTCATCACGGTAACAGTAATAGCAGGGAAGGCCAGGGCATCCCCGAGAAGGAGGTGGGCACTTGGCTCACACTGGCTCACCAAATGCAACAGCCCTTGGTTATCAGGCTCTGTGCCATAGGAGGACGAAGACGGTTAGGAGGGGCATCTTGGAGCTGCGCCTGATCACTCTGGGTGGCCCTTGTCTCCCCTGCTCCCACACACTGAGCTCTCCCTGGGGTCGGGGGCAGGGAGGCAGAGTGGGGAGGGTGTTGCCCAGGTCTGGTTCGGTCCTGCTAGGGAAAAAGCAGTGGTGGCAGTGGCAGCCCCTGGGAAGGGCATCAGGCAGAGGCAGGTGGGCCGCGGGGTCCCCGGGGCCTCTCCTCCTGCTGTGTGGTCAAGAAGCTGTGGGAAACGTGCTCAGCCTCACAGCAATCGTTAGTACCCTGTGGCCAGGGAGGGGTCAGTACCTACCCGCTGGTCCAAGCCATTCTTTCCATGTCCTGGGAGAGGGTCAGATTTGGAATAGGGGAATCCTGAAACAGACACAGCACAGCTTTGTCACGCGCGCAGACTCGGTGCAGCAATGGGGGTGCAGCCCTGGGGGGGCTTCCCACCGGGGTGGGCAAGGCTGGGCAAGCAACACAGGGGAGGCCCCCTGAGGACCATGACCTGCCTCAGTGGTGACCTTCTGTTCCCAGGGCGCTGACCGAGGAGGAAGCCACAGAGGGGTAATGTCCTGAGCCTGCCCGTGACACCGGAAATGCCACAGAACCTCAGCCCAGCTGGCCCCTGTGTTCAGGGACAGGCTCGGGCCTGGGCACCACCTGGCACCTGGGCCAAGCCCCTCACTTTACAGACAGGGGAGCTGAGCAGAGTCAGGAAGGGGCGCAGTCTCTGGAACCCTGGAGGAACAGCAGAGCTGTGCCATCCTGTGCCAGAGGTGGCAAATGGAGGCCCACCACCAAGCACATGGGGCCTGGAGGCAATCTTATTTTAATAAACTTCTTGGCTGGGCATGTTGGCTCATGCCTGTAATCTTAGAGCTTTGGGAGGCCAAGGTGGGAAAATCACTTGAGGCCAGGAGTTCAAGACCATCCTGGGCAACATAGCAAGACCACCCCTACAAAAAGCAATTAGCCAGCTGTGGTGGTGCACGCCTGTGGTCCCAGCTATTTGGGAGGCTGAGGTGGGAGGATCCCTTGAGCCCAGGAGTTCGAGGCTGCAGTGAGCTATGCTCACACCACTGCACTGCAGCCTGGGAGACAGAGTGAGATCCTGTCTCTAAAAAAATAAATAAAAAAAATCCTGAGTTGCTTGCAATTGGGGGGCTTCATATTAAAATCCAAATTTCTAGCTTCTCGTGAAATAATAGAGGGCTGGTCTGAGACAATGAACTCTGGATTCCCTGTGGGGCAAGGCTCGCTGGGGCTGTCAGGAGGGGGCAGCCTTTCCCAGCCCCCACCGAGCTCCCTCCATCACTCATGTCCCTGGCTGGCCCTGGGTGGGCCTGGGAGCTTGCTGGGAGTTTGAGACCTCCGAAGTAACCTCTTCAATACCACGTGATGGGAGAGCAGGGAGGAAGTGAACGCCTGCCTGGCTCAGAGGTGGTGTGGTTGCATTCTGGAAAGGAAGGGGCAGAGCCTGGACCCTGGAGGGGCAGGACCCTCCACACCCAGGGAAGCATTCTTTTTTTTTTTTTTTTTTTTTTTTTTTTTTATTATACTCTAAGTTTTAGGGTACATGTGCACATTGTGCAGGTTAGTTACATATGTATACATGTGCCATGCTGGTGCGCTGCACCCACTAATGTGTCATCTAGCATTAGGTATATCTCCCAATGCTATCCCTCCCCCCTCCCCCGACCCCACCACAGTCCCCAGAGTGTGATATTCCCCTTCCTGTGTCCATGTGATCTCATTGTTCAATTCCCACCTATGAGTGAGAATATGCGGTGTTTGGTTTTTTGTTCTTGCGATAGTTTACTGAGAATGATGGTTTCCAATTTCATCCATGTCCCTACAAAGGATATGAACTCATCATTTTTTATGGCTGCATAGTATTCCATGGTGTATATGTGCCACATTTTCTTAATCCAGTCTATCATTGTTGGACATTTGGGTTGGTTCCAAGTCTTTGCTATTGTGAATAGTGCCGCAATAAACATACGTGTGCATGTGTCTTTATAGCAGCATGATTTATACTCATTTGGGTATATACCCAGTAATGGGATGGCTGGGTCAAATGGTATTTCTAGTTCTAGATCCCTGAGGAATCGCCACACTGACTTCCACAATGGTTGAACTAGTTTACAGTCCCACCAACAGTGTAAAAGTGTTCCTATTTCTCCGCATCCTCTCCAGCACCTGTTGTTTCCTGACTTCATGTCCAAAACACCAAAAGCAATGGCAACAAAAGACAAAATTGACAAATGGGATCTAATTAAACTAAAGAGCTTCTGCACAGCAAAAGAAACTACCATCAGAGTGAACAGGCAACCTACAACATGGGAGAAAATTTTTGCAACCTACTCATCTGACAAAGGGCTAATATCCAGAATCTACAATGAACTCAAACAAATTTACAAGAAAAAAACAAACAACCCCATCAAAAAGTGGGCGAAGGACATGAACAGACACTTCTCAAAAGAAGACATTTATGCAGCCAAAAAACACATGAAGAAATGCTCATCATCACTGGCCATCAGAGAAATGCAAATCAAAACCACTATGAGATATCATCTCACACCAGTTAGAATGGCAATCATTAAAAAGTCAGGGAAGCATTCTTAAAAGACCTGTCCTGGGTCCCTAAACTGTCTGTCTTTCCACTAGCCTATGGGGCCTTAAAGAGCATGGCTCACACCTGCCTCATCTGGGGGTGTCACCCCAGTACTGGGCCCTGGTGGCGGAGATCGGCCAGGTACAGGGCCAGATGCCCACATTCACTCATGGGAGCTTCCAAGCTGCCCACGAGGCCTCCGAGGGGAAGGTGGCTCACAAGGCCACATGTCTGTAGCAAGGACCATGCCTCCAGGGGCAAGGCAGGTTCTGTGCACAGAACTGCCCACCCGCTCTCTCCGGGGACCTCACTTCTGAGCAAAAGATGCTTCTCCGGGGGCCTTTCATTTGGGGGTTCCTCATGGACTCAATGAGGACAGAGAAGAAATTCCATGAAGGTCACATGGGGACACAGAGAAGCCTGTGGGAGGAGCCTCAGCTGGGGACTTGTTTGCAACACGGTAGCCAGTGGAAAGGTTCCACATGGGGGTCAGGAAGGTGTTTTAAACATCAAGATCAAGGTCCTCAAACTTCTCCTAGCGGAGGAACTCCCTCGACGCATGAGCTTTTATGTGAACCCCGATATGCAAAACAGGCAAACGAGGAGCTGGGAAGACAGACATGTGAGAGGGGCGGGGGTCGGGGGCCAGACCTTCGGGCTATTCCTCCCCCTCCCAGCCCCTCCTCGGCACCCCCAAGTAAATGGCCTAGCCAGCTCTTCTCATGTCACAGAAGGAGAGTCAAGGCCCCGAGACGTGCAGGAACCTGCCTGAGGTCACCCAGCCAGGTAGCGGCAGCCCCAGGATGCCAGACAAGGCCTCCTGCCTTGCAGTCCTGGGGTCCTCCAGGAGACACCTTCCTCCTCCTTCATGCCCAGAGCCAGGCATGCTCTGGGAGCCCGAGGGCCCCTCCAGCTGCAGCGGGAGCTCCTTATCAGCAAAGGTGCTAGAGGGGTGGTTCTCAAACTGGCATCCCCAGCTAGCAGCCCCAACCTTGCCAGGGAACTCGTCAGAAATGCAAATTAGTGGGCCCTACCCTAGACCTCCTGTGTCAGAATTCTGGGGCTGGGGTCCAGGGATCTGTGTTTTTACAAGGCTTCTGGACCATTCCGATGCACACTGGCCTACTGCCTCGAGAACAGAGAACACCCTTGGTGGTGTCCTGCACCCCTCTTAAGCCCGAAGGCCTCTACCTGCCTGCCCCTGGAGTCACCTGGACAGCGTGCCAGGTTCCCAGTGCCCAGGCTGCCGCCGACCGGTCTCAACTTTTAACCACTTCACATGCAGGTGGAAACCTTGCTTCCGCGAAGGCCATTTTATCCTCCCCACTTTGACTATGATAGTCTCAGGGACGTCTTCTGTTTCCCCTGAGCACCCGTATCAGATGGTGCTAGAAATTCTGCTTCAACCATCCAATGTGATATAAGAATATGATTCTTTCCAAGAAGAGGGCTATTATGTTTTGTCCCCGGTTTTACCTATTCCGACGTTCTTCTTTCCTTTCTGAAGTTCCAAGCCTTCTTCTATTATCATTTCCTTTCTGTTTGGAGAAGATTCCTTACGGGTAGCTCTGCAGGATATCTCACTGAACACAGGATTCATGCGGACAGTTCTGCTCTTTCAGCACGTGAAAGACGTCAGGACACTTCCTGCTGGCCTCTGTGGCTTCTGATGAGAAATCTGCTATCGCTTGAATTGGTGTTTCCCCTCTGTTTTTTCTCTCTGGTTGCTTTCAACATTTTTTTCTTTGTCCTTAATTTTCAGAAATTTAATTATGATGTGTCTTGGTGCAGATTTTTGGGGTTTATCCTCTTTCTTTGGGACTCACTTGGTTTCTGGAACTTGTAGGTTTATGTCTTTCTTTTGCCAAAATTGTTAGGTTTTCAGACATTATTTTTTACATATTTATTTATTTTTTTGAGACGGAGTCTTGCTCTGTTGCCCAGGCTGGAGCACAGTGGCACGATCTTGGCTCACTGCAACCTCCGTCTCCCAGGTTCAAGCGATTCTCCTGCCTCAGCCTCCCAAGTAACTGAGACTATGGGTGCACGCCATCATGTCCAGCTAACTTTTGTGTTTTTAGTAGAGACAGGGTTTCACCATGTTGGCCAGGATGGTCTTGATCTCTTGATCTCGTGATCCGCCCACCTCGGCCTCCTAAAGTGCTGGGATTACAGGCATGAGCCACTGCGCCCAGCCGCTATTATTTCTTTGAATAGTTTTTCAAACCCATTTTCTTCCTCCTCTCTTCCTAGGAATTGAATGAAACAAATATTGTCCCACAGGTCCCTGAGGCTCTGTTAATTTTTCCCCCTATTTTCTCTTTTGTTCATGTAGGATAATTTCTGCTCTGTCTTCAAGTTCATGGATTCTCTCCTGTCAAATTTTTAATTTTGGTTATTTTTTCAGTTCTATAATTTCCATTTTCATATAGCTTATATTTCTTTGGTGAGGCTTCCTTTTCAGTTTCAAAAGTATCTGCAATTGCGTGTTCTAGACTCCAGGCCCGGGTCTCCTGCTGCTGCTGGGTGGGAGATGTGGGGTTGCTGCGTATTTCCCCGAGTCCTGAGACCCCCTCATCAGCTACTGTTTCTAAACTATTTGTAATTGCTTGTTGAAGCATTTTTTAGTGATAAATGCCTTAAAATCCTTGTCAGACAATTCCACCATCTGATTCTTCTCAGTGTTAGTATCTGCTGTCTTTTTTTTCTTTTTTTCTTTTTTTTTTGAGATGGAGTTTCACTCTTGTTGCCCAGGCTGGAGTGCAATGGCACCATCTCGGCTCACCACAACCTCCGCCTCCCGGGTTCAAGTGACTCTCCTGCCTCACCCTCCCTAGTAGCTGGGATTACAGGAATGTGCCACCATGCCCGGCTGATTTTGTATTTTTAGTAGAGACGGGGTTTCTCCATGTTGATCGGGCTCGTCTTCAACTCCTGATCTCAGGTGATCTGATCCGTCCTCCTCGGCCTCCCAAAGTGCTGGGATTACAGGTGTGAGCCACTGCGCCGGGCCTTCTGCTGTCTTTTTTCATTCAAATCATTGATCTTCGGTGTTCTTGGTGTGACGGGTAATTTTTCTGCAGTATCCTGGGCATTTTGGATATTATGTTAGAAGACTGATCTTGTTAAGTGTTAAATCCTCTATTTGAGCAGGCTGTCACCCTGTTTAGGTTTCGCGTGTACAGCCTGTTCTTTTGGAGGCTACGGTTCCAATGACAATTTGCTTTTCAGAATGCTTGCTGAAGTGCTATTCTGGTCTGCTAAATTCACCTGGAGCTGCCGGTCTGCCCACCTGGGTCCCTGCCGGTGCTGCCTGTGGGGATAAAATGCCCTTCTTGGGGTGTCCTGTGTCGCTGGGTGGGGGTGGGAGATGCCTGCCACGGGTGGAGACCATGCCCCTGGGTTCACTCCCAGGACTGCGGGGTGCCTGCTGGCCACCTGCCCATCTGCTAGTGTGGCTGCAGGAGGAAAACACCTGCCTCGTCACCTTTTGCCACCACATGGGAGGCTGGGAGTCTGCAGGTCTGGGCCACCTCCTGCCACTGCATGGGAGGCTGGGAGTCTGCTGGCCTGGGCCACCTCCTGCTGCTGGGTGGGGGTGGGAGTGGGCAGGCAGGGCTGCTGTCCCTTGAGGTCCCGAGGCTGCCTCGCCAGGCCACTTTGCTGTTCCCACCTTTAGAGTTGTCCTGTGACCAACCGTCTGCCGTATCATTTGCAGGTCCGTTTAGCTGTATGTAGCAGAGAAGAGCAGAGAGAGACGAGGCGACACTATCTCACCCCCTGGACTGCTGTCTGGACTCCTGAAGTTGGTCTCTGTTGGGGTGGACCAGCAATCTGTAGATGTTAAAGGTCCCAGGGATGCTGTGCACAACCAGCGCTGAGAATCACTGGTTTATTTATTTTATTTTTTGAGACGGAGTTTTGTTCTTGTTCCCCGGGCTGGAGTACAATGGCGTGATCTTGGCTCACTGCAACCTCCTGGGTTCAAGCGATTCTCCTGCCTCAGCCTCCTGAGTAGCTGGGATTACAGGCATGTACCACTGCGCCCAGCTAATTTTGTATTTTTAGTAGAGACAAGGTTTCTCCATGTTGGTCAGGCTATCTCGAACTCCCGACCTCAGGTGATCTGCCTGCCTCGGCCTCCAAAAATGCTGAGATTACAGGCGTGAGCCACTGCGCCCGGCCAAGAATCACTGGTTTAAAAAGTCCCTTTACATATTCAGAGATTTCACTTGACTCTCACCAGCCTACACACTAAACATGAACCCATTTTACAGATGAGGAAGCTGAGACCTAATGATATCAAGCGATCTGTTCAAGGTCAAACAGTTACTAACTAGAGAGGCTGAGATGAGGAGGGCTCCCTAGCTTCAGGAACCAGTAACCCTATCTGCTCCCAAGCCAGTGTGCCCTGGTGTGGGTTTGCAGGCATGTGGGGTCTAATGCATGTCAGATGGAAGCAGACAGCCTTCAAGAGGCGGGGTGTGTGTAGTACAGAGAGAGACCCACAGGGAGAAGGCAGGTAGGGGGCCAGGAGCATGGCGGCAACTGGGTAGTCCTGATGCCAGTTACATGAGGCTCTGCAGGCACCAGAGGCCTACCCACTCCATGCCCAGGCTCAGCCAAACCAGGCTCCTGGCCGCCTCCCCTCCATGAAGCCTGCCATAGCCACCTTGCCCTCAGCACCCCGCCAGGCCTGCTCTTGGGGCCCTGAGCCTCTTCTCCACAGGTCTGTCCTCTTCCAGGCTGGCTCATCAGAGGTCAAAGTCACCGCTGGACATTCAAGGCCGGGCACCTTGTGGGCAGAGGACTGTGGCTCACACAGCATCCGGGTCTGCTTTGTGGACACCTGACCCATGAACCACTCACTTGGGCAGTTCCCATCCGCTCCTGGGTGCACGGGCAGGAGGCTTGGAGGCTGTGGCACTGCACGGGTTCAGGTCCCCTCTCTGAGTCTTGGTGTCTCCATCTGAGGAAGGGGGGCACCCTTCATCCCTGAGCAGTGGTGAATGAGAGGCCCCTTGGCTGGTCTGAGCTGCAGACTTCAGAAGCAAGTGAGATGGGCCCAAGATGTCCACAGAGGGCTTGCCATGGCCTGGCTTGTAGACTCGAGATGCTGAGCCTCAACAACCCTCAGAGTCAGGCCACAGGATCCCCGTGTGCTCACGTGCAAGCTCCTCAACCCCCACATGCTCCCTGGCAGGACTGGATCATCCCTGTTCTTACAGATGAGGGAACTTCAAACTCAGAGAGGTTTCTCTTGTGCACAAGGTCACACAGCAAGGGACGGGCTGAGATTGAATCATGGGTGGACTAGCGCCCGCATGCAGTGCCCAAGGTCACACAGCAAGTGACGGGCTGGGATTGAATTGTGGGTGGAGCAGCACCCTCAGGCAGCACTCTCTGGGGCCCCCTCAGGTGCTCTTCTGGACAGTTCTGCGGCTTTGTATTCTGGGTAGCCACCTTCATGTCCCCCACCCCACAGAATGAATGCTGGGTCCCAGGAAAGAAGGCTGCTGCTCAGGGAGCTGTCCCCGGAGGCTTTGGGAAGATGCGGCCAATCACAAGCACGGATGGCGAGGCTGCTGCCTGGGAACGGGAGGCACCAGACTCTTACGCTGCTCCCAGGCACTAAGAGTCCATGGGGAGAAAAGCACACAGGTGACAGATCTGTGATCCAGGGCCCTGAGCCTGTTCTCTGCGGGTCTGTCCTCTTCCAGGCTGGCTCATCAGAGGTCAAAGTCACCGCTGGACATTCAAGGCCGGGCACCTTATGGGCAGAGGACTGTGGCTCACACAGCGTCCGGGTCTGCTTTGTGGGCACCTGACCCGTGAGCCACTCGCTTGGGCAGTTCCCATCCGCTCCTGGGTGCACGGGCAGGAGGTTTGGAGGCTGTGGCACTGCACAGGTTCGGGTCCCCTCTCTGAGCCTTGGTGTGTCCATCTGAGGAAGACGGGCACCCCTCATCCCTGAGCAGCGGTGAATGAAATGCTGGTTCAGCTGGACTGGGGAGGGGAGGCAGAGCTTCCGGTGTCGGGGCCCAGGCAGCATTGGAGGAGGACAGAGGAGGCCCTGGGGCTGTGGCTATGAGACAACATGAGCTCTCAGAGGGACACGGGGTGCCACCCAGGGCCTGTGCTGCTACCCGCAGAACTGGGAGGCCACACCCTGTTCAGTCCCTAGGTGTGGATAAGCCTGCTGGGCAGGGGGAGGTGTGGGGATTCCGGCTGAAGGCTAGTCCCCAGGCAACCCAACGGCAGCGGCTGCTCCCTGGGGCTCCAGAGCCCAGCATGCTCTGCCTGGGGCCACTGTCCTCGGGGTGGTGTATACCTCCAGCCACAGCATCTTCTCCTGGGCTGGGGTCCTCGCCCTGACCTCTGGAGCTCCCTCTGCTCTCTCTGGGGGCTCAGAGAGCACCCTGCCTGCCCAGCAGGAGGCCAGGCCTTCCAGAAAGGTCATCACTGTGGCCCCAGCTGGCCACTCCTCCCTAACAGCCTCTGTATAGAGGGACCCTCCAGCCACTAGCTGGATGCCAAGGTGGCCACGCCTGAGCCCCCAGCTCTCCCTGGGCTGTCCCTCCACGCCCTTTCTGCAGGATCAGCCCTGCTGGCTGCCCCCTTCCCCACTTCCCTGGCCCACTTCCTCTCCTGGCTTTCTCCCTCCTGGGCGCTCCTCCCCACTTCCTCTGTGGAATCTCCTGCCCCCCGATGGCACCTTCCCACCTGCCCGCTTGTCAGCACACACATGTGCGTGCTCTCTCTCTCTTTTTCTTGCTCTCTCTCCTCCCAGCATTTTGCTGAGATGGGGAGATGGGAGGACACTGACAAAGAGTAGGCTGGGGGCCAGGCAGGAGATCACACCTGATTTGAGTCTCAGACCCTCTTGAGAAAGGAACACAAACTCAGGACACAGCCACGTACTCACAGTTGGAGTGGCTGGGGCTACCAACTCCCACGGTTCCAGTCCCATCTGGGAGCCGGGGACCCTCAGTCTCTGCCTCCAGCCTGGACCTCTCCTCTGAGCTCCGTCTGCCCCCTGGCAACCCCCCGGACGTCTCAGGCTCTCCAAGCCAACATGAAGACACCCACCTGTTCTCATCCCATCTCTGAATAAAGGTGGCCTCTGCCGGCCTGCACCAGAGCCAACCCAGTGTCTTCTTTGATTCCGTCACCCCCGCAGCCAGTGGTTCCTGAGCTGCCACCATGTGGGCCCTGCCAGTGAGATCCTTCCAGGGCCCCCCACTGCTTTTGTGGGAGCCCTTTTCCTCTCGCCCTGACTGGGCAGCCTCCAGTCCACCGTCTATGCAGCTGCCTTCTGATGTTTTAAACACAGAAAATGCAACATCTCCTGTCACGCTCGTGTCGTGCTGACGTTCCCCTCCCTGGCACTGCGCTCCAGACCTTTCCTGATTGGACCTCGGCCTGCTTCCACCAGCTTCTGGCGAGTCCCAGCTCCGCCACCCTCACCGTCTCGGTTTCCCAAGGCCGCCCTGCTCCTGCCTCCAGACCTGTCTACAGGCTGTCTGTGCTGCTTAAATCCTGAGTCAGGCCAGGCTTGAGTCCTCCCAAGGGCACACAAACTGCTCTGTGACCTGACGCATGGCCCTCACTGTTCTTCCAACCCACGGCCCGGCCTCCGCCCTGGGTGATGCGGAATGCTCTCCCCCATATACCGGCCCTATTCAAGTGTACACCCACTTCAAGCCGTGCCAGGTACCGTCTCTCTGCACTGACTACTTACTGTATTTGAAAGTGCACCCTTCCCCCAGCCCTCTCTAGCCCTCTTAGCACAGGGCACTGATATAACTCACTTTCAGCTTGTTTCTCTTTGTCTCCCAGCCCCTAGTAGAATGTCGGCTCCCCAGACAGGGAACTTTGTCTGTTTTGGCCTCTGCTCTGTCCCCAGCACCCAGGACAGCACCGGAACACACCAAGCACTCATGAAATACAGAGAGATGCCCCTTGGCTTACCACGGGCTCATCATATCCCATAAACCCAGTAAGATGAGAAGATCAAAAGTCAAAAATGCATTGAATGCACCTAACCTAGCAAACACCATGGCTTAGCCCAGCCTGCCTTAAACATGCTCAGAAACCTGCATTAGCCTTCGGCCAGGCAGAGTCATCTAGCACACAGCCTGGTGCATCATAGAGGGCTGGCCGTCTCATGTCATTCGCTGAATGCTGTACTGAGAGTGAGAAACAGAATGGGTGTGTGGATACTGGAGGGTGTGTGGGTACTGAGGTTCGCTTTCTACCCAATATACATCGCTTTCACGCCAGCGGAAAGTCACACGGTCCCATGTCAGAAGTTGGGGACTGCCTGAATCTGTTGACTGGCAGCTCCCACCCACTGTCTCTGGACCACTACGCTCTTCTTCCAGTTTTCTTTTTTTTTTTTTTTTTTTTTGGAGATGGAGTCTCGCTCTGTCGCCCAGGCTGGAGTGCAATGGTGCAATCTCGGCTTACTGCAACCTCTGCCTCCTGGGATCAAGTGATTCTCCTGCCTCAGCCTCCCAAGTAGCTGAGATTACAGGTATCCTCCACCATGCCTGGCTGATTTTTTGTGTTTAGTAGAGACGGGGTTTCACCATGTTGGTCAGGCTGGTCTCGAACTCCTGACCTCAGGTGATCTGCCCGCCTCGGCCTCCCAAAGTGCTGGGATTACAGGCATGAGCCACTGTGCCTGGCCCTCTTCTTCCAGTTCTGATGTCTGCATATTCCATACCTAGGGGGTCTCACGTCTCTAAGCCTGAGGCCAGGTGCCCTGCCCGTCCCACCAGATATCCTCACGAGATTGACAGTAGCACGTCAGGGAGGCTCTTCCTTCGACCACGGACTAAGGAACGCGAGAAGAACTCTTCTGCCCCATCTTGCAGCTCCAGAGGAGTAAAAAGGGAAAGGAGGAAGACCACCTCTGCCCTGGTCCCCACCCACCACCTTCCCTTCCACAGAAAAGCTGCAGCAGGGTCGCTGTCTCCTAACCCTCCCTCCCAACGGGCTCCGAGACCAGGCAGCAGAGAGACAAGCAGAGACAAGCACCTCCCACCAGACATGGGACTCCGCCCGGTCCCACAGCGAGAGGACACACAGAAAGTGACAGAAAATGCCAAGCCACAGGCAGGTTGGGGGTGAAGTGCCCCCAACTGGGGCCTCCCCTGTGCTGCTGCAGCAGTTAATTCAGAGCTTTCCTCACCCCCACTCCCACCTGGCCAGACCACCCTTGGCTCCCACTATCCCACCTCTCACACATGCCTCATGTGCTGGGATTGGAGGAAAGGGTCTTATTCCCTTCGGAAGTGCTGGGTCCTTTCTAGGGGCCACTGAGTCCTCTGGGCAGTGCCTCAAGCTGCCCGGGGGTTTGTATTATGCTGACACGCCTCTGACCTTCGAGGGTGGGACGTGAGAGACCTCAAAAGAGAGGATGGGGCCTCAAGGGGCTAGGAATGTGGGACCCCAAGCAGCAGCAGGCCCTACTGCCGGGGACACGGAGTCCACACCACCTTGTGTTCCTCCCCCAAGGCAGCGAGTCTTGTTCTAGAAAACTTCCTATAACATAAAATCAATAGCCTCCCTTCCTGTGCAGAAATCAGGTGCACTGATAATATAAACTACTCTGCACATAGTCCAGATAATGCCCTATGTGTAATATAAACAGGAACAGAAAAGCAGTCAATAATAAAATATAGATTTCACTATGACGCCCTCTTTGGAGGGGTGGCAATGCCTGCTGGGAACTAATGGAATGGGGATGGCTCCCGGGTTTGTCACCGCCATAAAGTCCTCTGGCTTCCCTGCTGGGGAACAGGGACTGGGCCATGCTCACCACTGCCTAGCACCATGTCCAGCACATAGTAGGTGCTCAGTAAGTATCTGGTGGAGGGATGGATGAATGACTGAATGATGAACTCAGTCCCGGGTGAGATGTGCAGATGGTGTTGTGGGTGAGATGAGTTTGTGATCGGGCCCTTGCGAAGCCAAAGAGGTGCCCGGCGGGCAGGCGGCGGCGGGATGCGTGTGCGCTCGCTCTGTCGGCGTCTCTGCCTCTCTCAGCTCCCTGCACGCTTCTCCAGGTCAGGGGCTGCTCTTGTCTTCTCTGTCCCCCTCGGCGCCCCGCTCAGCGTCTGGCACAGAGTGGGTGCTCAATAAATACCCGTTGAATGTAACGCATTTCAATTCAACAGACATTTATTGAGTGCCCACTGTGTTGGGTGTCACAATCCTACCTTCCTTGGGCGCGCTACAGATGGACGTCCCGGGGTGCAGGTGGCGTGCCTTGCTGTGTGCAAATGCTTTGTTCAGTAAAAGCTGTGTGCAAATGGAACTGGTGCCCACGGACTCAGGTCTGGGGGCTACTTGGTGACAATCAAAAGAACCCCGAGAGAAAAAAAAGGGTGGCTCCCTCTCAATCTCCATGTGCTCCCCTTCCCGCCTGGATTCCTCAGGAGGCCGCAGACGGCAAGGCTCACCTGATCCAGGCACAGCCGGCAGTCTGGGTCCTCGCTGCCATTTCCATGCAAATCGGGAAACAAGGCAATGCCATCGGGACAGAAGTAAAGGCACAATCAGAATGGTTAGACACAGCGGGTTTCCTGCTCAGAGGAAGTGGATGTTAGCACACCAGGAGAAAGCGAAGGAAGGACAGCATCATAGCCACATCTTCATAAGCAGGCATGGCCAGGGGAAGGACACATATGTCTGTGCTGGAGCAGAATCTCCCCGGGGAATTCATGAGTGCAGCACGGGCCATTGGAGTCCTGCAGACCCAGCATGCCAGGATGGAGGCAGCCGCAGCCTGCGTGCATCTGCACAGGCAGCCTGGGAGAAGAATGTGACGACAAGGGGTGGGGCTGGCACACATGCCCTTGCCGCTGAGTGACCACCTGACATCCACACACCTGACATGGCCTCTGGGCCTCGCAAGGCTGGCCACCCACCAGGCTCGTGTTCTCCTGGGGCAACTCCAGGGCACCTACATTCTGGCATTTTCAAACGAGGAAGCAGTGCACGAGGTGAAGGCCACATGTGCAGGTCACAGAGAGTATCAGGGGCACGGGGGTCACAGGGGGCAGCCCGTCTCTAGTCCGGCTTCTCCCACACAGCACCCCCCTCTCTTAGTCCTGAGCCACAGGCAGGCCACAAACGTCAGTAGAAATTCTGGGGACAGTAGTTGGCCTCCCTGAAGAGTCTGTGGGGAGGTCATCAAGTGGGGGAGGTCATCAGTATGGCCCCAGCCTTGCAGAGTTCTGCCGGCCACCTGGCAAGGGAAGAACTGAACACTGAACGATGCCACCTTGAGATCCCTAAACACTGATTTCCTGGTTCCCAGGGCAAATGCCTTGATGCCGGGACACTGAGCAAAGTAGGGAGGGTGCTGGGGAAGCTGCCGAGCTGGTGCAAGAGGAGCTCTCCTCCTCTAAACACAACGGCATCTGACACGTGAGTGCAGGGCAGATGGGCCATGAGCCAGGCCAATGTTCCCTGGCCCGTGGGCAGGTGCTACACCAGCCAGGGGCAGGGATTCCTAGGATCCGAGAGAGAGGGACCGGAGGACTGGCATGCAGCTGCCCACGGGGGCACAGGCAGGCGCGCGTGGACCAGCCCCATAGCCCCCTTGCCCTGCCTGCAGATGAGGTGGGCAGTTCCTCCGGAAGGAGCAGGCTGCCATCTGGGGTGAACCCCTCTCCCTCTGGGGGATTTTTGCAGGGGGGGGGTGGCTTTCCCATGGTGACATCAGCCTTGTGCCTGAATGCTGGGATCCTGGTATTTACAAAGCTGCACCCCAGGCGGGGGCAGAGGCCTGAGGGGTGCACAGACACCTGCTTACAGAGATCATACACAAGCAACACACCTTTCTTTGTTTAAAGTGATTCTTTAACACATCATCATTTCCAAGCTTCTGTGTCTTCACTCTTTCCTGTCACATTGAAACACTTTTCTACTTTCATTGTTAAGTAGGACGGTTTACAGTTTGCAGGCATGAGGATGAGGATGAGGATGAGAAACAGTTTCTGTTTACTGAGCAGCTACTATGGCCGGCCGAATGCCACACACATACCCAGTTCCAGTCTCCTAACACCTGGCGCCCATCACACGACGGGTCAGTGGTGAGCTCAGATTTGAACTTGGGACTGCCTCACTGCAAAGCCAGGTCTTTCTTCTGCTCTCACACCCCCATCCATCCTCTCCCAGCCCCTGCTTCGAAGCTAAGCCCAAGCCTTGCCCAATGAAAACTGCCCCCAGCCCAGCTGAGACCCGCAGACCGCTTCTGGGAGGCACTGAGTGAGCACTTGCTACTGGTTTTCACCTATGATTTACAGCGGCCGGAAGCAAACAGCATTATCTGGAGTTTTCTCTACATTTGAAAATCACTCCTGATTCAGTCTTCAAAACACCCCTAGGGTCAGGCAGACACCATCACTGTCTCTCTATGAAGCCTGAGGCTGTGCCTCGTTCAGGATGAGTCACAGGGGACAGGGATGGTGCCCATCACCAACTCCAAGTCTGCACTCATCAGCCGGACCATGCCCATGTCTGCTCTGGAGGGAACAGGCCCTGACTTCCACCCGGCAGCCCGGACGCCTTTCTCCTAAACAGCCCAGGAGCAGGTCTGGGTTTCTGCATTCTTGCACACCTTGGAAATCTGTGAGGGGACATGCAGGCGTGGCCCTCGTTAGCACACTGGCTCGGGGACAGTTCTTGGGAAGCCGGCAAACTGCAAAAGCCCCATATTTCCTTCCGGTCGGTCCTTAGATTTGTGGGCTTTGCTTTCATGCTTTTTAACAGGCAAGGCTTAGATGTAGGGGGATAGCTCTGAGTTCTGGGGCCTCTTTGCCGCGAGGCATTTTGTGCACATCACGGCTCCTTCTTCAAAAGAACCACTCACGTGAGTGAAAGCTGTCCCCTGCCATCCTTTGGAGAGGGTCTCTGTCGGTCCCGCTGCTGTGGGACAAGGACTGGGTGTCCAGGTCTGGAGAATTGGTCCTTGTGTCTGCATCCCCCTTGAGCATCAGCCAGCTGCTCTTCTGCTGAAGGTAAAAAACAAAGTCATGCAAATGTCAAGGTCATCTGCAATGGTGGGAACATCTCACTGGACCCTTCTTGTAGCTTCCTTACTTCTAACATACGAGCTGACCCCACTGTGAGAAAACTCAATATGTGAGAGATGCAGCTTTCAATAAAAATCTTGCCATTTAGTGAGACCTATCCAGACGCTATACAGGTACATGGAGCATCTGGGGGAAACGGAGCTGCCCCATCTTACGGACACAGCCACTGAGGCTCTGGGAGGCCAGGGGCCCACAGGGCTCTGCACGGGGAGAATGAGGGCTGCTGCCCAAGTCCAGCCTCGGGCTCTCCCTATGCACAGCCCTGCTTTCCAGCCCTAGCACAGGTAAAGCCCAGCCTGCAGCCTCCTTTTGTCATGAATACGTTGTTGGAACACGGAGATGCCTGTTCGTGCCCTGGCTCCGGCTGCGTTCACAGAGTTCGGTAGCTGCATCGGAGATGGTTCAGCCCACAAAGCCAAAAGTACTTACTCTCTGGCCCTTTATGAAGAACGTCTGATGAACCTGTCCTAGAATAATGGATGCCCCAGGGATGCACTTTGATTTATTTCCCTTTCACGGTACACATCTCTTCAGTCACAGAACCATAACCAAGTCACACGGGCATATACCCAGGACCTCGGTAGGAGACGTGTGCATCCTAAATGTAGGAAGGAAACTGATGGAAGGGCCTCCTACCTTTGGCCTCGCAGGGCCCCTAAGGAACAGAATGTAAGAGGAAGATTCGAAGTCTCAATCGGAGAAGCCCTCACAAAAGCAATTTCTTTCTGAGCAAGGCTGTTCTCAGCCAGATCTGCTCCCTGGCATTACCTTCCTGTTATCCTGGTCCAAGCTTCCATCCTCCCCATCCGATCGCCTGGCAGCTGGAAGGGAAAAATCCATTTGTAAAGGCCACACACCATTGCTTGTGGGTTTCTGCCTCATGGTTTCCCATGTTACAGTTATGCTCAAAAATGAAAAATCAATCAAAGAGAAGGTCAGTAGTACGAGTGCCTTTCAAAGGGCAAGGAACAAGGTAAGCTGGAGGAGGTCCCCAGGGATCACGACCCAGGGAGCATCAGCAGCAGGGGTGTGAAGTGAGGCCTGATTTCAGTTCTAGCCAAACACCCACACAGAGTAATGTTTTCAGATGTAGCCACTTGGCCTTTTGATTTTGTTTTGTTTTTTGTTTTTTTGAGATGGAGTCTCGCTCTGTCACCCAGGCTGGAGTGCCATGGTGTGATCTCGGCTCACTGCAACTTCCGCCTCCCAGGTTCAAGCGATTCTCCTGCCTCAGCCACCCGGTAGCTGGGATTACAGGTGTGCATCACCATGCCTGGGTAAGTTTTATATTTTTGGAAGAGATGGGGTTTTGCCATGTTGGCCAGGCTGGTCTTGAACTCTTGATCTCAAGTAATCCACGTGCCTCAGCCTCCCAAACTGCTGGGATTACAGGCATGAGCCACCGCACCTGGCCCACTTGGCCTTTTGAGAACAAGCATTTTAAAAACCTCCCACGTAACACAAGGTCTCAGTCGTGGAGGCCTACGTGTCTGACTTGGGCGAGGGGCTCTGGATACGCCACTGACTACCCCGCCCACCCCCGCAGGAAGAAGCTTTGCACCATTTCACAGATCGGGAGACTGAGGCTCAGGGACATGGTATACCTCGCCCAAGGTCACGGGCAAGTGGGCGGTAGGGGCCAACATGAGCCCAGGCCTTCTGAGTCCAAAGTCCTTCCCTGTCTGCCACACCTGGCTAACTGCTGCTGGCAAACTGCAAAATGGTGACGAGTTCTGCTACTGGAAGACATCCACGAAGAGCAGTCAGGAAATGACAAAATTACAGAATGCAACCAGAAATGGACTCAATGAAATAGAACAAGCAAAAGTTCATTTTGCAACAGTTCCTTTACCAAGAATACCATCTGCAGCTGAGCAACGAGGCATCTGGATTTTCCATTTGCCTTTTTCTGGGGGGTTGTCACCCAGCTGGGCTGACATTTCCAGCGAAGAATGAGCAAATAAATCACACAAGGCCATGCTGACATTTCTCGGCATCCAACTTAGTAGGTAAACACCCACACCTTGTGTATCCCTTACAGAAACACTGACCCCATGCACTGAACAATTACACAAAAACCCGTCTCCGTCCCCAGCCCGCCACGAAGACCCAGGCCTCAGGAAGGACACGCCGAGGTGGGCTTCTTACCTGCAGCGGGCGGCGGGCTCGGGCCCGTCTGTCTTTTGCCGTACCCTGCCTCCTGCACCACCAAGGACAAGACTGATACCAGGCCAGAGAGCTTGGAAATTTGGGATTGGGCTACAGGACCTTGACAAGATAAGGCCAAAATTGAAGACTGAGCAGTTCCGTTCCGAATACACTAACATCTCGTTACTCTCAACGGCTACCTGTTTCTCCTTCTTCCAGGAGAGACAGTGATTTTCAGCGTGAAAATACAAAGCCCTGCTCTCCCCACTCACAGAGGCAAATCAACGCCAAGCCTGCTCAAGAAGCGCTTAATGGAGAGGCAGAGGGGGCAGGGAGCTCCGGGGGACGCATGCCCGCAGCTGGACTCTCCTGTTGCCCAGACAACAGCCGTCACCCGGCAGCGGAGCCCTTGAGTGTGCAGCCATACATCAGCGATGACTCTTGGCAGCTGCCCAGCAAGTCCCAGGGAGAAGGCAGGCTAGGGGCTGCTTGGAGCTCTAAGAGCACAACCATTGTCCAAGCCAGAGAAGGGCCCTGGGGCTGAGTTGGCTGGCAAAAATAAGTGCATCGTTTCCTGAAAAGCCAGGAGGTTGGAAAGTGGATCACCACTCTTGGAATAATCTGCACGTGCATGGACAATTAAGTCGTCGCTCCAGCTGAAGGGCCCTTGGGGACCTGAAATCCCAGCCCTTGGAATTCAGGCCTGGGTCCCCAGAGGTCAGCCTGGCTTCAGGGACTTTCCTTGGCCATGGAAGATGGGTTGACTGACACATTCTGGCTGAAAAGCCATCTCAGGTCTCAAAAACAGCCTCCGCCATCTGAGAGAGGGATGCTCTGCCAAGATTTACCAAGTTTCCTTTGCAAACACTGCCAGCTCCTCCAGATGTGCACAGTTTAACCAGACTTGTACCAACGGCTTTTTTAAAAACCAGTTTGCTAGCCCACAGAACAGATGACCGAGTCTCTTGAGAACTAGGAGCTTGGGTAGGAAAAGACAGGAAACTGGCACTTCGGATTATTGGTGGCTTGCTTCCATAACAGCTCTGAGCCTCAGTTTCCTCATCTGTAAAATGGGCAAAGGATGCCCACCCCTCCACGTTGTGAGGATCACATGAGATAACCTGCATGGATGCTGGAACATAATAGGAAACTCAGCTTACAGGTTTGAAAAATTAGGAATAAACAAGAGGCTAACTTTGAGGCTAATTTGCAGCATGCTGCTTTGGGATGTCAGAAAAAGATCAACTCAGGACAATCAGAGAAAGAGAGTTTAATATGTCTTTTGTATCACACAGGCAGCTCCTTCTGAGTTCTGGAATGCATTTGCCAGTGAGGAACCCTCTTGGGAAAGGCTGGCTTTCTACTCCCTGTATTCCTTGGGAAATCTTTGGTTGGAGGCATCTGAATGAAAGTAAGAGGTCTCAAATTTTTTTTTCTGGATACAGAACTGGCCTGCCTTTCCTCCTTCCCAAACCCCATCTTATAATTCATTCATATCTGAACATCCATGCCAGCCTGTGTGCATCCCTTACTGCTTTATTCCTTTCCATATACTTATTCATTCACCCTTTTACCTACTTATCCATGCACCCACTCCTTTAACTATCTGTCCATTCATCCAGCCAGCCAGCCATCCACCCATCCATCCAGCCACCACCCATCATCCATCTGCCCATCCATCCACCCATCCTTCACCCATCCATCCATCCATCCACCCACCCACTCATCCACCCATCTATTCATCTAACTACTCATCCATCCATCTACCCATTCACCCGCCTATACATCCATCTGTCCATTCATCCAGCCAGCCAGGCACCCATCCACTGATCCATCCACCCACCACCCATCCATCTAACCATCCATCCACCCATCCTTCACCCATCCATCCATCCATCCACCCACCCATCCACCCATCTATTCATCTATCTACCCATCTGTCCATCTACCCATCCACCCACCTATACATCCATCTGTCCATTCATACATTCATCTACCCGCCCACCCATCAACCCACCCATTCGTTCATTTACCCATTGATCCATCCATCCTTCACTCATCCATCCATCCATCCATCTACCCACCCACCCATCCACCCATCTATTAATCCATCCATCTACCCACTCACCCATCTATCCACTGCCCATCCATCCACCCATTCTTCACCCATCCATCGAGCCAGCCACCCAACCATCCATCTACCCATCCATCCACCCACCACCCATCCATCCATCTATCCATCCACTTGTGCCTTCACTTATTTTGATATTTATTCATCCAGCTTCCACTTATCTACTCACTCACCTACTCATCTATCCATCCATCCATCCATCCACCCACTCACCCACACTCACGCATCCATCTACCCACTCATCCACCCATCCATTCATCCATTCCTCTCTTTGTCCACTTCATTTCTTTGCCCACTGATGCATCCATTCATCCATGTAGCCCTTAATCCATCGATCAGTCCATCTACCCTCTGTTCACCCTTAGCCCCTCAACCTTTATCCCCATCTCCCTGTGCTGAGTGCCTACTGTGCACTGTACTGTCTTAAGAATGGGGGATGCAGAAAAAACTCAGACATGACCCTTGTCTTTCAGAAGCTCACAGGCCAGTGAAGTCGAGGCAGAGGTGGATGAGAGGGTTTCTATACATAACAAGAACTTTGATGGGAGGAGCAAAGTCAACACAGAGACACTTCCCTGAGAACATGCATGTGATAAACACTTACTGAATACCTACTCATCAGATAAGCACTGTATTGTGGTCTGGATAAACATTTTTCCTTTTTTTTTTTTTTTTTTTTTGAGATGGATTCTCACTCTGTTGCCCAGGCTGGAGTGCAATGGCGCAATCTCGGCTCACTGCAACCTTTGCCTCCTGGGTTCAAGCAATTCTCCTGCCTCAGCCTCCCGCGTAGCTGGGATTACAGGTGACCACCACCATGCCCGGCTAATTTTTTGCATTTTTAGTTGAGACAGGGTTTCACCATGTTGGTCAGGCTGGTCTTGAACTCCTGACCTCAAATGATCCACCTGCCTCAGCCTCACAAAGTGCTGGGATTACAGGTGTGAGTCACTGCGCCCAGCCCTTGGGTAAACATTTGTAAAGCATGTTAACAGATAATAATAGATGCTATGAACCTCATTTACAGATGAGGAGACCGAGGTCCGGAGTCTAAGGTCACATAGCTGGTGATTGGAACCTTGTCTGTCTGACCCTGAAGCCAGAGCTGGAGCCACTTTGTCCTCCACGTCACACGTGTAAATTTTCAGACTCAGGGCTGCATCGCCACTGACTTTGCTTCCTGTGACTTGTACAAATCCACTTTCCCACGGAGCAGCTGAAGAGAGATGCTTCCAGGGAAAGGGCCGCATCTGATGAGTCTCTGCACTCCCTTCAGTAACTGATGTGCCAACCTGCAGCCTCAGGTGCACGGAGGAAGTGAGTGAGATGGACATGGCACAGGGGCCCCGTGTTTCCAAGAGAGGGCCCTACCAGCTCCCTCTTTGGCGGCATCAACACACCGACAGCTCTAACCTCCAAGGATCTCTTGCCCATGTCCAGGGGGCCAGCAGAGGTGTGGGGGCTGTTCCACCACTGTGCCAGGGGTGCCAGCCAAGGCTCTGCAGCCAGCAAGTGGTCTATGCCATGCTCCTCACCAGTTTTCTCTGCCTCCAGTGCAGAATCATTCCTGAGACTGCAAGAACCTGAGGCAAGTCTGGGACTCTGGCAGCCAGGAGCCAGGACCGGCACCCCGGCAGGTGCTCTCTCTGACAAGGGAAGGAGCTGATAGCAACTGGGGAAGGTGCCCGGGGTTTCATCCCTTAGGCCAGAGAGAGACGCCCTCTCCACTCCTGGGACTTCGAATAGCTGTGCAGGAGGCTTTGAGGATTTGTCCCCTCCTACGTCTTCCAGACTTAGCCTCTAAGGAGTTGACCCATCAACAGGATTTTTTTCTGTTCTTCTCAGAATAATCTCTATCTCTACAATTCACATTGAATTGGAATGACATTGAGAGGAAGAGAGAGAGGCAGAGGGAGGGAGAGAATGTGTGTGTGTGTGTATGTGAGTGAGTATGTGGGCAGGGCCCACAGCATGGGCGTTGGAAACTAGAAACCTTGCTGAGCCTCTCACCTGTCTGGCCGTGGGCAAATCCGCTAGAATCTCAGCTCCACAGGATCGGGGGAATGCAGGGTCACCCATGTATCCCCAGCACTGGGACAAGCCTAGCACATAGTGGGGTGGGTGCTTGAAAAACATCCCTTGGACAAATTAATGAAAAAGTCACTTAAATCCCTCCATGCTGGGGTTTCTCCTCTCTTGAGTCAGAATAAGAACCTCTGCTCCCTGGTTGTCAGGATGGAAAAAGACTGCAGAGGACAAGGAAAGTGGGCCTGCAGTCTCGGCCCCAGCCAGCGCCTTTGCCTCCCTCCCTCTCTCCTTCCGGCCTCCCTCTCTTCCACTTTTCTTCCTTCCTTCCTTTCTTTCTTTTTTTTTTTTTTTTGACAGAGTCTCGTTCTGTCACCCAGGTTGGAGTGCAATGGCACTAACTCGGCTCACTGCAACCTCCGCCTCCCAGGTTCAAGCAATTCTCGTACTTCAGCCTCCCGAGTAGCTGGGATTACAGGCGCCGGCCACCACACTTGGCTAATTTTTATATTGTTAGTGGAGACGGGGTTTCACCATGTTGGCCAGGCTGGTCTCGAATGCTTGACCTCAGGTGATCCATTCACCTCAGCCTCCCAAAGTGCTGGGATTACAGGTGTGAGCCACCGTGCCCGGCTTGTCTTCCACCTTTCTAGGACAGCCTCTCTGCATTCACTGCACTGCAGAAGGAGAGGTTAGCGTGTCTTTTGTATCACACAGACAGTTCCTTCAGAGCCCCAAAATGCGTCGGCCATGAGGAACCCTCTAGGGAGAGGCTGAGTTCCTACTCCCCGGCTCCCCTGGGGAGCCTCAGTGGGGGCTTCCCAGTGCAATCCGCACTCTGGACACAGCCTGCCGTTCCTCCCCATCCCGCCGGTCCCCAAACCAAAATGAGACTCCACCCTTTGAGGTCAAAAAGGACCCAAAACCAAAATGAAACTCAACCCCACTAGAATCTGGAATCCCAGAGACACAGCAAGGAGTGATTAATTCCTGCTTTAAACCAGGGCACAAAGACACAGGGAACAACGTGTGTCCCGTGGGGTCACTTCCACTGTTGGCTTTGGGTGGGCAGGAGTGACAGCCCCCACCTGCCGGACAAGTGGTGGGAGGTGTGTGTTGGGGGGTGAGGAGAGAGCTGCATTGCCATCTGGTGGCTCATGTTTGCTTAGAAATGAAACAGCAAATCTGGTGAACTATGAGGACTGTCCCTGCATCTGGAGAGTCGAACTTACTGGGAAATGTTGGGGAGCCATCATTTTTCCCTCATGAAATCCTTTTATTTATTTATTTTTATTTTTGAGTTTTTCATCTTTTATGCATATTTTCCTAAATTTTATATAGCAAATCGATGATAAAATCACCACACTTCCTCATTTTATAAGTTCAAATCAGATATGAGACGATCGTAAGCTACTATTCCTGTCTGTAATAAGAGGTGATTTCTTTTTTGTTGTTGTATTTTTTTTTTTTTTTTTTTGAGATGGAGTCTCACTCTGTCGCCCAGGCTGGAGTGCAGTGGTGCGATCTCGGCTCACTGCAACCTCTGCCTCCCGGGTTCAAGCGATTCTCCTGCCTCACCTCCCAAGTAGCTGGGATTACAGGCATGCACCACCATGCCAGGTTAATTTTGGTATTTTTAGTAGAGATGGGGTTTTGCCATGTTGGCCAGGCTGGTCTCAAACTCCTGACCTCACGTGATCCACCTGCCTTGGCCTCCCAAAGTGCTGGGATTACAGGCATGAGCCACTGTGCCTGGCCGGTCATGAATTCATTTTAAACTGCGCACAGCTTCCCTCCCCTGAGGGAATCGATCCACAGAAGGTCCCTGCCCGATATCAAGTGTCGTGTGTCATCTCCCTGAAACAGCCTCAAAGCCCCACGGGTTATATGGCCTTGAGTCCCATTTTCCAGGGGAGACAGACTCTGAGAAAGGAAGCTCCCCACGATGTAGCTGGAAGCCAGGGGCTGTGGTTTGCACTGGGTCTGCCTCCTGGGAGGGTTGCAGGTCCCAGGAAGAAATCACTTTTTCTCAGACCAGACAAACTAGAGCCAGGAAAGCATGAGGCAGGACAGCTCCTGCCTGCGTGCTGGAGATAAAGACTGTCTCGAGGACTTTCCACAGTAACCTCACCAGAAATTCCTTCTCAAGGACCGCAGAAACCAAGATAAGATGCTCTCCACAGAACACCTGCCCAGTGTTGGCGTCTCTACCAATGAACGGACGCCAGCTCCAGCCTCGAGCCTCTGCCGCCGATGAACTCTGTTTCTAGGCAGCTTATGTGAAACGCTTTTGCTAAGAAGAGCTTCCCTTTACCCTCTCCTCTTCGGGTGCATATATGGCTTGCCACAGCCATGCATCTCGGATTAGAATCCTCTTTTCTAATTCCTCAGTACTTTCAACATATTTGGAGATACTTCTCTCCGGTTTTTTAGGTCAACACTCCTAAAAGTAACTGGGTTTAATACCATGAGTGACCCTAGATGGTGTGTGGAAACACAAAAATGTCCACACTTATTCCTGACCTGTTAAACTTCCTCAACGTTCAGCCCTTGAGTAGATGACATGCTGGTGGGTGCGAGGCCTCCTGCGCCGCCTCCTCCCAGGCCCTCATACAACTAGCCCTGCTTCATGACCATTCCTGACTGTTCAGGGAGGTGCTCTATTCTTGCCTGTCTTGTGTTCCTAATTCCCTATTTATTATTATTATTATTATTATTTTTTTTTTTCAGAGAGAGTCTCACTCTGTCACCCAGGCAGTGGCGCAATCCCGGCTCACTGCAACTTCCGCCTCCTGGGTTCAAGCCATTCTCCTGCCTCAGCCTCCCGAGTAGCTGGGACTACAGGTGCACATTGCCACACCTGGCTATTTTTTTTGTATTTTAGTAGAGATGGGGTTTCACTGTGTTGCCCAGGCTGGTCTCGAACTCCTGAGCTCAGGCAATCGGCCCGCCTGTGCTTCCCAAAGCGCTAGGATTACAGGTGTGAGCCACCACACCCGGCTTACAGCAAAATTTTGGAATGATAAAAGAATTTTGGTCCTTGCTTAGGGTTTAATCAAACAGGAATTAACTTGCCTTTGCATAGGAGAATCATATATAGCCAGATTTTTAAAAATACACAAAGATGGCCAGGTGCAGCGGCTCACCCCTATAATCCTAGCACTTTGGGAGGCTGAAGCGGGTGGATCACAAGGTCAAAAGATTGAGATCATCCTGGCCAACATGGTGAAACCCCACCTTTACTAAAAATACAAAAAAATTAGCTGGCACGATGGTTTGCTCCTGTAGTCCCAGGTACTTGGGAAGCTGAGGCAGGAGAATTGCTTGAAGCCAAGAGGCGGAGGTTGCAGTAAGCCAAGATCGCACCACTGCACTCCAGCCTGGTGACAGAGCGAGACTCCGTCTCAAAAAAAAAAAAAAAAGCACAAAGACGATCACTGGAGACAGTAAAATCTAATCTCTCCACTGGATGGTTCAGGTAAAGGACTGAGGTCGAAACTCTTTGTCTTAGATCTGGGTCTGTTGGATGACAATGAACAATTTCATAACCTGGTTTGCTCTCTTCCCCTTTCTAAGGGGCAGACCCCCTCCTGTCCTGCACATGTTAATCACACATTTTAAGGCACCAATCTGAGACAAAATGGGGGGTTAATAAAAGGCCAAGGTAGTCAATCCCAATCTTGTAGCCCCACCAGCACAGAATACACAGCACTCCAGGCAGGCTGTTCAGGCTGGGTGCCATGATGGAAAGCCAGTCACTTACTGTGGCTGCTCCTTCTTTTGGCCAGGCCTCAGTTTCCCCACTTGTAACCCAAGGGAACTGGTCTGGACAATTTCTAAGGGCCCTAGAGTCTATCTAGCCCATCCCGCTCTGATCCCTCTTGGAGGTTCATGCTCTACGCTTCTCTGGTGGAAAGGCAATGGTAGAAGCCATCATTTCTGGAAACTCAAGACATTTCATTCACTTTTTTCCTTCTTGGAAAGAGGAAAAAAATGCACAAAGTACAGGACCTATTGCCATGATGGAGAAAGTATTTTAAAAGTTTGTATAACCTGATCACTGATTTGTCAGCAAGTCACAGGAAACACACTTTTTATGAGATTCCATCTAAAAGTGTCCATCCAGTTGTCAATGTGGGATGTGGCTATTTGCTTTAGGTACATCTGGACAAGAACGTTTAATATGGAAATGCCTTTTCCCATCGCTAGTGACTTGATACAATTCCCATCATGTGCACAGCACTTTACAGTTTAGAATGCACTTCCCTATTCGATATCCCATGAAGTTCCCACGGTCAGCCTGTGGAAAGGGCGGGGTGGAGGGGATCGGTCCTGTTTTGCAGATGAGTAAACCGAGGCTCAGGATGGTGAAGCAACCTGCTGTCAATCACCCAGAAATCCCAGGAGGAAAGAGAGGGGAGACCATGTGGCCCCGATTCCTGCTCCATGGCCCACGCAAGCTGCTCCCTGCGCACCTCCCAGGCAGGTTCACGTGGAGCAGAGCTGGGCGTCAGCTCCTATTTGCTTATGCAAGAAATCTCCGTAACGGAAGGCAAGGTCACCCATCCCATCATCAGAAATTCTCAAAACTCAAGACTAAAGTCTCCCTGAGGAATAAACGACCGATTCAAGTTTGTTCTATATTCCAAAGATCGGGCCTGGATCAGATTGTGGTTCTAGGAGCCTCTGTCCCTCACCATCTTGGCTAAAGTCTCTCTGGCTGCATAATTGAAGGCGCCACCACCAGGCTCTTGGCTATAAACCCCCATCCCAAGCCCTGGCTGATGTGCATTAGCCTCGGCGTCGTAACGCACAGAAGTTCCTTACTCAGACATACCCTTCATCGTAATTTATCAGAACAGGACTCTCGGGAGGCTGCTAGTGAATTTGCATTTAATAGTCAGACTGCTAAGGGCCTTGGTGGTGCCTTCACTGCATTTATCAGAACACAACAAAAGGATGCATTCAGAAGCAGATGGGTATTGACAGGCATGCGGGGCAAACCACAGCAGCGGGAGGAATCCAACCGTACCATGCTGTCTGTAGATAGGGGGTTTCCTATAGATGTTATCTTTTACGCCAGTGTCTGGGGAAGAAGAAAGAAAAAAAAGGAGAGAACAGGAGGGTAAGCAGCAAGTTGTGATGGTTTCTGTTCTACAGCTTTTTGTAAGCAACAAGCACTCACCCAGATTTAGAATCATCAGGCAGGAACTGGCACCCAGCGAGCGACAGACACCCAGGCCCCAGATCAAGCCTCCCTGACTCCAGATGCCACCCTCATCTGCAGGAGATGGGGCAGCAGCCAGGAACCTTGTGGTCCCCCGGGAAGTGTAGCCAGCTCAGACAGCCCTTTTCCTTCACCCCATTCCCAGGAGGACAGGTGTATCTCCCTGCCGTTTGTGGGAATTTGGAAGAAACTCAAACACACATCGGTTTGGGGTTGTGAAAACCCGTCTGATGGTTTTAAAGAAATCTCAGTGCCTGGGGAGCAGTGGAGGAGCCTGGAGTGTCGTCTGGCGCCTGCTGAGTCAAGGCAAGCTGACAGTTTGGGTGTGGCCAGTTTCGGTGTGGACAGTTTCAGTGTAAGGAGCCCAGCCAGCGTGTCCCGGAGCCTACCTGGGACGTGGAAGTGGCGAGGTGCCTGCTGGTAGGTGGAGGGGGGCGGCTTGCTGTCAGAGAGCACGGAGAGGCTGGGGGTGCTCCGGCCACTTTCACTGCCTCCAGACGGAAGGGCAAAGGCAGCAGATAGAAGGGGAAACGGGAAAGCAAAGTAGAATATTTCAAGCATGAAAAGCTTATTTGCAGCGAGCCCCATCTCTCCTGTCTGGTGGAGCAGCCCAGATCCCCTGCCCAGGGGAAGGAGTGTGGGCCTCATCCACGTTCCCAGACTGTGTCCAAGGACTTGCTAATCCAACCCTGAGTTGAAGTCTGTCCAGAGTCCCAAGGCAGAGGAGCGACATTGCTGAGGGCAGAGGGCTGGGCGGTGAACTAAGAACACCTTAGGGGGCTCACTCCATCTGCGCCTCTGCATCCTGGCTGGTGTTTGAATCCAACCAACTGCAAATTCGCCAAAACAAAGGCCCCTCTTCCTAATTATCCTTGTATATAAACATGCTGTTTTCCTTGAGAATCTAAAAATTAGCTGCTCAGAATAGGATTAAAGCACTAAAATGATCAAAATTGTCCTTTAAAAGCCATTGAGTAAAATTTTGCCAGCTGCAGAAGATAAGAAAAGAGTAGTATCCATCCATTACCACATTCTTTTTTTTTTTTTTTTTTTTTTTGGGACAGTGTCTCACTCTGTCACCCAGGCTGGAATGCAGTGGCACAATCACGGCTCTGCAGGGTGCAGACTCCACCTTCTGGGCTCAAGCCATCCTCCCACCTCGGCCTCCCAAGTTGCTGGGACCACAGGTGTGCACTACCACGCCTGGCTAATTTTTTTAATTTTGTAAAGATGGGGTTTTGCCACGTTGCCCTGGCTGGTCTTGAACTCCTGGGCTCAAGCAATCTGCCCACCTCTACCTCCCAAGGTGCTGGGATTACAGGCATGAGCCACCGCACCCTGGCCACATTCTTAAATACAACTGCTTTTTGGCAAATTAAATGGAAAGCATCCTCTGACCCTGCTTCAATTGCTGAGCTCACCTGGAACTATAATTCTGTTTTGCGAACAAGGTTGGATTATCAAGTCACGCATCCAGAGGGCCGAGGTGACCTGGGTGACGCCCCTCCCCCCACACCTGTTTGGGGAATGAGGTGACAGACAGATGCAGGGTATTGAATGCTTGTGATGAGAGAAGGTGTACGCTCCCTGCAGAAGACACTCCCAAGGCCCCGTTCCTCCCACCTGCCAGCCCCAGGAAGCCCCCTCAGCACTAGGCAATGGGCTGCAAGGGGTAAGGCGCTCTTCACCTGAGAACGTTCCCTCAAGCTGCACAGCCTTTCAGAGCAGCAGGACCCTGCGGTGACATCGAAATGAAACAGAAATAGAACTTCTGCGGTGGGTGAGTGATGTGCTGGGCCTGAAGGTGGACTGGCCAGGGACCCCACAGTGGACTCGTGAGGAGGGCTCGACAGACACTGGCCCAGAGGGGGCTCTTGCCTGGTGGTGGGCTGCATGCAGCGGGAGGTCACCTAGGAGCAGGGTGGCCCCAGCCAGGCTGATGCCGTAGAAAGGACTGCAGGCTCTAACTTTGAGCATTTTCTCGTGCTTGGGCATGGGTGCTGATTTTGCCTGTCAATGCTGATGGAGCGTCAGATAACTGCCCTTCCCTTAGCAACCTCCCTCCAGAACAGCATGGAACCTTCTAGAGCCTCAGTTGGCTCTACAGGTGCCCTT
The DNA here is from genome assembly GCF_000001405.40 of Homo sapiens. Lineage (NCBI taxonomy): Eukaryota > Metazoa > Chordata > Mammalia > Primates > Hominidae > Homo > Homo sapiens. The sequence goes on from NC_000004.12 coordinate 8,021,928, forward strand.
GCTGGCCGTGGCACCCTTGCTGGTCAGGTCACGCTCGTCAGGATGCTCCACGGTGGACTCCTGCACCTCCTGGTGGCAGCAGGGGCCTCACAGCAGGGAGACTGGACTCACGTGCCCGGAAAGGACACCGCGGATCCCTCCTACCGACTACGGCTGTGCTGGACCCATCCCCACTGGCAGCAAAACAGGGCAGGTTTTAAAAACTGCACCCACACGAACTCTGAACAGAGGAAGACGGTTTGCTTCAGGCACCATCTCTAAGCTGTGTGTGCTCTTGGCACAGCTCGTGGACCTGGGAGGCCAGGAAGGGCTGGTTTCTTCCTATCTGGAATCATGGCCCCTGATCTGCCTCAGCCCCCACTCAGTGGGCCGAGGATCTAACACATCACAGTGTACCTGTCCCTCCCCAGTTCCCAGCCACAGGGCAGCATCCCCTGAAGTTTCAAACCAGAGTCTGTGGACACATGTGCACGTCTATTTGAGGAGGGTCCGGAGACTCATCAGCTTTCATCAGATACTTGGAGGGGCCTGAGGCCGCAGGGAAGCTGGGGACACAGCCATGTTGGCCCACCTCATTCTGGCCCCCCAGGGCCCTCTAACACCAGCCCGAGTCCTGCCACCTCGGTCCCTCCCTCCCAGCACCCCGCCCCTTGACGAGTGTCCTCTCCAGGGCTTCCCACCTGTCCGGACCCTTCCTGGGTCCAGGTTCAGGCTCTGCCTCCTCTGCTCAGCCTTCTGGTAGGACTTGGTCTCTGAGGACCTCTCCCTCCTCTGCACTCATGCCTGCCTGCTGCCTGTGAGGCTTCGTTGGAACAAAATGCATCGCCAGCTCCCACCTGGAGCACTGTGCTGCTAGGCTCACATCCCAGGGGGCTTCTGATATGCTACAGACGGGGATGCTTCAGCATCCTTTAACCTGGGATGCTGCCTGTTAGGAGAGGAGCAGCTTCAGCCCTTTCGAAAAGTCTTCCTTCTCCTCTTCTTCCTCCTCCACTTTTTCCTCTTCCTCCTCCTCCTCCTCTTCTTTTTCCTCTTCCTCCTCTGCCTCCTCTTCCTCTTTTTCCTTTCTCCTCCTCCTCTTCCTCCTTCACTTTTTCCTCTTTCTCCTCCTCCTCCTCCTTCTTCTCTACTTTTTCCTCTTCCTCCTCCCCCTCCTCTCCTCTTCCATTTTTAAAAATTTCAGTAAATGTTTCATTAGGAACAGCTTCAGGTAGTCCAGGGGGCTCCCGCACCCTCCCGGCCCGCGTCCCTGCCGTCCCCTCTCCCATCACTAGGGTGCCCACAGATTGGTGCCACCTGCACGCCGCACGGGATTCGGGTTTCCCCGGGTGTCACCTGATGTTCTTCCGCTCCAGGATCCCACCCAGGAAACATGACGTTCTGTCGGCACGTCTCCCAAGGCTCCTCTCGGCTGCGACCTTTTGCAGACGTTCCTTGTGTCTGAGGACTCTGGCAGTTTTGAGGAGGGCTGCTGAGGGTTTTTGCCTGATGTTTTCTCATGGCGATACTGGGCTTATGGGGTTGAGAAGGAAGCCCATGAGGTGAAGTGTCCTCACCACATCCTATCAAGGGCACCTGCTGTCAGCAGAGCGGATCACTGGCCGTGGCGGCCTTGCTGACCGGGTCATGCTCGTCAGCCATGGTGGCCTGCTCCACGGTGGACTTGCTCCTTCTCTCCCCTCCCACATGGCGCTCTCGGGAAGGAGCCACTCTGTGTAGCCCACACTTGTCCACATGTCAGGAGTGGGAGTTACGACCCCCTCCTGGAGGACGAGGCATCTACTCCCGTTATTTGGAATTCCTCTGTGTGGGAGATCTCGCTTTCTCTCCATTTATTTGTTTACTCAACATTTATGTAGATCCTTGTGGACTGACGGCTCTTGCTATTATACTCTAGTTTACAATCCAATGACACATCCTTCATCGTGGTGCTCCCAGTGGCCCAGTGTGTGCCTGGTGCTGGCTCAGCTGGCTCCTGTGGAGCCTCCTCCAGGTGACACCGCAGAGAGGCCAGCTGGTGGCCACGGGCAGGCCAGGTAGGATGATGCCCATGCTGCAATGCACAGCCACATCCTGGGTCCTCAACCACAATCACCCTGAGGACGATGCTTCAGTTATGAGGACCTTTTGCAGCTGAAGGAATGGCCGCTCAGCAAGATGAAGAGGCGCTGCCGGGGTCTGGGCAGTGGAGGGTGCGGGCCTGGACCTGAGGCTCCATCCCAGGGCCCCTCCCTCCTTCCTTCTCAGGCCAGGGGTTCAGAGTGGGCCCACCGCTCAGCACATGGAGGCTGCCTGGCCAGAGGCTTCAGCAGCACCGACTCCCCTCCCAGCCTGCACTTCCTGCCCCCGCTGTCGGCTCCTCCACAGGGGACACGCCAAACTGAAATTCACACAAAAGTGCCCATGGCTGTGGCCAGCACCACTCTGGAAGCTGGGTCTTGGTGGGAAGGTGTGCCGGGGGTGAGGCCCTGCCAGCATTCGGTGGGGGGTGGGGCCAGGCCTTGCCTCGGGCAGCCGCCCCCGTACAGTGCCGTCCGGAGGGAAATGTCCACTGAGAGGGGCCAGAGACGCCAGAGGAGCCCGGGGAGCAAACAGGAAGGGCTTTCCCAGAGGGCAGGCGACGCTGCCTGGTGTCCAGCTGACCCCTGGGGGCTGCCACCAAGAGGTCCTAGGCTGGGACACACTGGAGCCCATGGCTGCAGAGGAGGACAGGCACCTTCGTGTGGCCTCCGAGGTCGACCCAGGACCTGAGGGTGAACACAATTTGTGAACGGGACCCCGGGTAGAAGCCTGACCTTGGGCTCTGCCAGAAGGAGCTTTGGGATCTTGGCCAGTGGCTTCTCTTCTGAGCCTCAGTTCCCTCAGGAGTACATTCTGGAAAGAGGCTGGGTGTTCCCAAGGTTACGGACAGCCAGGGGAGTCTAGTAGGGGCAGAGCATGGGTGCCAGGCTCCCCCACACCAGACACCAGAGAGGTGGCCAGGTGGCTTTTTGTGATTTCTTTTTTCTCTTTTTTTGAGATGTAGTCTCGCTCTGTTGCCCAGGCTGGATGGAGTGCAGTGGCTCAGTCTCAGCTCACTGCAACCTCCGCCTCCTGGATTCAAGCAATCCTCCCGCCTCAGCCTCCCTAATAGCTGGGACCACAGGTGCGCCACCACACCCGGCTAATTTTTGTATTTTTAGTAGAGACGTGGTTTCACCATGTTGGCCAGGCTGGTCTCGAACTCCTGACCTCAGGTGATCCGCCCACCTTGGCCTCCCAAAGTGCTGGGATTACAGGGGTGAGCCACCACGCCTGGCCTCATGTGATTTCTGAACGAAGGGCACTGGCAGGCAATGTGGCCGGGGGAACCAGGGCAGAGATGGGCATCAAAGAGGCAAAAACCTGGCCCCACCCAGGGGAGGTCTCAAAGGGAAGGTGCCTCCTGGCCCCGGGAGATGCCCTTGGAGGGGCTGTGGCATAGACGGCTTCGGAGCCACATTGTGGTGGGGGGTGGTGGGTAGGTGGGTAGCCTCCAAACTGGTGGTGGGTAGGTGGGCACCCTCCTCTGCTACAAGGCGTGGAAGGAAGGGGAGAGGGCTGCCAGTCCTTGGGCTCTCTCCTTGGCTGTCTCGGGAGCTGAGGAGGGGGCTGCTCCCCAGGGGGCCTGTCCTGGGCCTTCTTCACCCTGAAGTGGTAAGAATTAGACGGTGGACACTCAGGACGGGGCAGAGGAGGGGAGGGTCGCCAGGGCTGGCTCTGGCTCTAGGACCCACAGAGGCTGCTCACAGGGGCTGCCTGGGGAGCGGGGTGAGCCTGCCCTCGGCTCTGGCCACTTCCCTCTCAGGGACTCACAGTTGGGACAGCCACACCAGAAGGAGGGCTGAAGGTGGGAGGAGAGCCGGGTGTCCAGGGCCTCCTGGCATGGAGCAACAGGAGAAGCGGCATCTCCTTGGGTGCCCTGCCGTGACTCACCCAAATGGTTGATTCACTCTGGGTTTCAGGACCGCCCCCTGCCACACGACTGCCGTGGACCACACGCAGCAAAGCCCCTGCTGGCCATGCTTCTGTTCTGGGGAGGGGCCCTTTCTGGCTTTGCTTGTTTGTTTGTTGTTGTCTGAGACAGGGTCTTACTCTGTTGTCCAGGCTGGAGTGCAGTGGCACAATCGTAGCTCACTGCAGCTTCAAACTGCTGGCCGAAGCAATCCTCCTGCCTCAGCCTTCCGAGGAGTTGGGATTACAGGCATGCACCACCATGCCCGGCGTTTTTCTTTTTTCAGACAAAGGGTCTCACCAGGTTTCCCAGGCTGGTCTTAAACTCTTGGCCTCAAGTGATTCTCCTGCTTGGGCCTCCCAAAGCAGTGGGATTACAGGTATGAGCCATTGCACCCAGGTGAAGACTTTGCTTCTTCTCAAAGGAGTCAGATCATCCCAAAGCTGTAGGGACAGGCCCTCAGAAAAATGAGGACGGCCATGTCCATCAATGGCCAGGAACTCTCAGTAGGCCACGGGGCCCGCCCAAAGCAATGATGATGAGGTACACGGAGAGGTGTGCAGGTCTGAATGAACCCTGTTTGGTGACCATCCAGTGATGGAGAGTCCAGCTGCCTGCCCCACCTTCTCGCTGCCTGCGGCCTGGGAGGCTTTTCCAGAGACATTCCCACTCAGCAGCTGCTCAGGATGGGGAATTATTGCATTGCTTGGGGAATTGGCAAGAACATCATTGCTGCCTCCTCTAATGTTCTGAGTGTCTTTCTGTGGTGCACCAGTCAGCTGGGCTGTGTCACAAAATACCACAGCCTGTGTGGCTTAAACAACAGGCATATTTCCTCTCACAGTGCTGGAGGCTGCACATCTCTGAGCCAGGTCTGGCAGGGTGTGGCTTCTCCTGAGACTGTTTTTCCTGGCTTGCAGACATCGCTGTGTCTGCAGTGGCCTTTTACCTGAGTGTGTGTGTCTGCAGTGGCCTTTTACCTGAGTGTGTGTGTCTGCAGTGGCCTTTTACCTGAGTGTGTGTGTCTGCAGTGGCCTTTTACCTGAGTGTGTGTGTCTGCAGTGGCCTTTTATCTGAGTGTGTGTCTGCAGTGGCCTTTTACCTGAGTGTGTGTGGAGAGGGAGCGAGCTTTGGCGTCTCTTCTCTTCTTATAAAGATGTCAGTACTATGGGATCTGTGCCCACCCTGAGGACCTCATCTAACTGATCACCTCTTTAAAGGCCCCCTCTACAGATACAGTCACGTCAGGAATTAGGGCTCTATGAATGTGGGGGATGCATTTTTCAGTCCACAGCATACAGGAAAACATGAGCGTGGCCGTTTCCCTGCGTGACCAGCATGTGGGTGCCCGTGCAGGGATGTGGATGGCTCATCCACTCCTGGAAGAGCCGAGAGTTGGAGCCACACTGGGTGTGAACCCTGCCCTGGGCCCCAGGAGCTCTGGGGCTGTGGAAGAGTCAGGGCCCTCCGTACAGCGTAGCTTCTGCTCCTGAACACAAACCCTGAGAGCACCTGTGCCCCCCGGCTGACACATGAAATCAGAGGTGGTGACTTGGGTAGGGGTTCTGAGGACAAAGCCTGTGGGCGGGTGTGCAGGAACCCGGGTCCCCTCTTCCTGTAGCTTTCCAAGCCCTCTCTCCCTTCTGTTCCTTTATGTAACAAGGTACCTAAGTTTTCCTTCCAGGAACATTTGCTCATGGACACACGGAGCCAGACACACAAGACACACACAGAGAGGGGCACAGGGCATGAAACAGGGGCTCCGGTGAAGCCATGCGGCAGACATGGACAGCGAGCACACAGACGCCGGGCGTGGACACCCATGAGCACCCACAGCCCACATCACTGCGTGCCTTACCTCGGAAGTAGGGGATGTAATGATGTCTGAACACGGATGTAGGGCTTGGGTGTTGGGACAGGGAGAGGCAGCTACTGGTACCCACACTCACAGTACCAGCTACGGGGTAACAGAGAGCAAGTCAGAGTCAACCTGGGCTGGCTGGTGCAACGCCACACATATTCCTCATCCCCACTCTGCTACGAACACTGTTGCTTCCTCTCTTGAGGAATGCACAACTTTTTGCACCTGAAGGTGGTCACCAAACATGCTTTAGACCACTCTCCTCCAGGAGCGAGGAAACCGGACCTCAGAGGACCAGGCAGAGGCCCAGGGTGCTGCATAGGAGCCTTGGGCTGGGGTTCCCCAGGGGGGGTTAGGCCCCTAGCCAGGCCTGTCGCTTAGCATTTGGGGTCTCCTGGGGATCAAGGACTCAGCTGGAGAGCAGTTCAGGGAGTGGTCTGCCACCAGACATCGTCACCGGACTCGTCCGGCGAGATGCAAGCTTGGCTCTTGGGTTAGCCTGGGCCAAGCGCAGTCAACAAGCCCAGGCTGTCCTTGTGCTATGGGGATTGAGCCAGCAAAGGGCCCTTAGGACGAGGAGCTCAATAAAGTTGACTGCCCTTAGCTCACCTGCTCACCTGCTCACTCACTCACTCATTTATTCACTCATTCACTCACTCACTCACTCATTCATTCACTCACTTACTTGCTCACTCAATCACTCATTCACTCACTCTCTCATTCCCTTATTTGCTCATTCATTCAATCACTCATTTACTCGCTGACTCATTCATTAATTCATTCACTCACCAATTCACTCATTCACTTGCTCACTCACTCATTCAATCACTCATTCACTCACTCACTCATTCCCTTACTTGCTCACTCATTCAATCACTCATTCACTCACTGACCCATTCACTTGTTCACTCACTCATTCATTCACTTGGTCACGCATTCCTTCACTCACTAATTCAGTCATTCATGCACTCACTCACTCATTCACTCATTCACTCTCTCATTCACTCATGCACTCACTCCTTTACCCACTTTCTCAACATTTATTGAGCAGAATGTACCAGGCACATTGCAAGGAGTCAATGGAAATAACTTTGCAAATGAATGAGTTTTGATTTTTCCACAAAGGCTGCAAAAATAAGAGCCATAGTCCATGGATGTATAAATGGAGGCATGCAGCAGCTGGCCAGGAAGGAAGCAGCTTGGAAAAATCCCTCGAAAGGCAGTGTCCGTGTGGAGCGTCCCTGCTGTGGCTTTGACACGCTCAGGGGGTCGAGGAGTTTCACAGCTACAGGGATTGATACACAGCTGGGCGCCAGGCAGGGGACAAGGTGACACGTGTGGAAAGGACCTGTCTCGGGGCTCTCTCCTGACTGGCGGGGACCTCTCACCCATTCTCCCGTGAGGACAGCTGTCACTGGGTGATCAACCTAGCCACAGGTGAAATGTTAATGGGCTTCATTTTTCCACCACTGACTTTGCTTTCCCAGCTCACATCTTCCGAGACCCACATGAGCTTGCAGCCGGCCAACGTCTGCTCTCCTGACACATATGCTGTCTTATCTTCCTGACGTCTCTTGCCACCCAATCATTAGCTGGAATCTAAGCGCTCAGCGTGTGCCCCCTAGGCTGTGTGCTCCACGGAGGGCTCCGCTAACCAGCAGGGCAGCCTCTGCAGCTCACCTCGCCCCAAGGCATGAGGAGGTCCTTTTCTTTATGCCACTAAATGAACAGGTTCTCAGCCACCCACCCGCTGGCAATCCCACCCATTTCCATCATATTTCCAGTTGTATAAGAAAAATGCCACTTATAACCGAAAAAAAAAACTAAAAAAAAAAAAAAAAAAAAGGAAAAGGACAGCATCCTGGGGGCTCAGAGGAACCAGGGGGCCAAGTACCTGGACGGCTGTAGTGCTGTGGTGACCGTGAGGTCGGAGTGTAGCGCCCGAGGCTAACCGACCCAGTGGAGCTTGGGCTGGAGGTCCGACACTGCTTGTAGGACCGGTCATCCTGATCCCCCTGGGAGGGAAGATGCAGCTTGTGAACACTGGAGCCGGGAGCACTTCCCACCCCTTGTCCACCCATCCCCCGACACCATTTGGTGTTTGCCCTCCTGACCCAAGTGGATGACTCAACATGGCCCCATGTGGGAATCTCCTGCACCTGTCAGGGCAGGTCTGAAGAGCCGAGTGGGGCTGGTGTGGTGCAGACACACTCCCCGCTGTGCCTGCTGGATCCTTGCCACAGGGTGTGGTACAGGGACCCACTGGCGGGGATCCCCCATCTTCCCCTCCTGCCGGTGGGGGCTCCAGCTTCATCCTCCAGGTCTCCTCCTGCCTGACCCTCGCCAGCGCCCAGCTCTTAGAACACAGTGTGAGAACCACGGAGACTCCCCCAGTCCCTATGGGGGTTTCTCACGTGTGAACTGGGGGCTCTAACGGCCCTGGAGGCACATTTGGAGGTAGAAAGTTACTCCACCCCAGGCCGGGAAGCCCAGTTGAGTCAGACCCACAAGCACCGACATGGCAGACTTCATCCAAGCAGGAGCAGCTGTTTGCAGCAGGCAGAGTGGGAGGCAGGTGGTGTGGGGTGGCGTGGCACCATGGCACGGGGGAGAGCAGGCTGCCTGGCCCACCACAGCTTGGCATGCTGTCCCGGGTCATTACATGGCCCAGCCCAGTGTCCTGCTGCAGGGTGGAGGTTGCAGTTTTGCCCTCAAGGCCAGCACAGTGATGAGCAAAGGAATTCCCGGTCTGGGCCCATGGCTCCCCTGGCCTGTCAGAGCACGTCTCCCACCCCGAGGTGTGCTGTCCCTAACGCCTGCCTGGTGCGCCACCTCCATGCGCTCAGGCCAGCCCTCATGCTAGGTTCCTACCTGCGCTTCACCCTGCTCCCTTTGGCGACTGTCTAACCCCAGCCCGGGGCGCACTCTCTCGGGCCGGCTAGTGCCCTGCCTCTCTACCCCGGGCGTCCTCTGCACAGCCCTGTCCACCTTACAGGTGTCCTGGCTCCTTGTTCAGCTTGGACTCAGGGCTTCCAGCTACATGTGGGTTTGGCAGCTCGGTGCAAGTGGCCCCTTGTGTGTTTGGCCGTCACATCGTTGGATCCAAGAGTTTGATGCCCAGCTGCTGCTGGCTCTGCAGGTGGGCCATGTTCTTCCAGCAGAACAGCACCACCAAGGCCCACACTTGCCCTGTTCCTCTACCATCCCCCAGCACTGTGTCTATGGGGACAGGCTAAGGAGCCAAGCGGAGAAGCCACGGAAGGGGCTCTGCAGAAGATTCCGGTTCTCCAAAGCTGTCAGGACCTGGGGAGGGCCTCAGCCTCGGACCACTCCTAAGGGCTGGACTGGGAATCCTGGCTGTGTGCAGGGAAGGAAGGAAGCAGGCAAGTCCCAGTAAGGTTGGCCGAGGTCCTGTGACCACCTCTGGACCAGAAGCCTGCAGGCTGTGCATGGCTGTGCACCCTCCCACTGAGCAAGTGTGCATGATTTTGTGCCCCACTCTGGGGTACAGCCTGAGACAGGGGCCTCTGCAGGGAGACCAGGCTCTTCCCAGGAGTGTGCTCTGTGTCAGGCAGACCCTGCACCTCATCTGGAAGGGAAGCTGACATCCCTCCCTCAGGGGTTCCCTGTGCAGGTAAATGAGGAGATGAAAAGATGCCCGGCCCCAGGCCTGGGACATCAAAAGTCACCGGTACATAGGAATCACTGCTCTAGGGATACAGCACCCAGGTACCATGGCCGTCACAGCTCCCATGGGGCAGGTTGTCTGGAGCAGGAGGCTGGAGATCCCAGTGGGTGAGCATAGGCTCTGAGCCGACCGCTGGGCTGAAATCCTCCTGCACCTCATAGTGCGTGACCCTGGAAAGGTTATGTGACTTCCCTGTGCCTCAGTTTCTCTGCGGTAACCTGGGGAAAATCACAGAACTTGCCTCTGGGTGTCGTGGTGGGGGATGAATAAATATACATTTTTTTTTTTTTTTTGAGATGGAGTCTCGCTCTGTCACCCAGGCTGCAGTGCAGTGGCGTGACCTCAGCTCACTGCAACCTCCGTCTTCCGGGTTCAAGCGATTCTCCTGCCTCAGCTTCCGACTAGCTGGGATTACAGGTGTGTGTCACCCATGCCTGGGTAATTTTTGTATTTTTAGTGGAGACGGGGTTTCACTATGTTTTGGCCAGGCTGGTCTCGAACTCCTGACCTCTGGTGATCCGCCCACCTCGGCCTCCCAAAGTGCTGGGATTACAGGTGTGAGCCACCACGCCCAGCCTATGAAATGTTTACAATGGCATCAAGCACAGGGGAAGAGCTCAGGGCACGGTCACTGCCCAGGCTGTCTATTCCTGGCTACCATGACACCTTTCTGCTGTGGCCACCCGTGCGGCCGCACAGACTGCAGTCTGATTGGCAGCTCTCTATGTCACTGATTAATTTTGAGAAACAGAAAAAAAAAAAAAAAACTAGACCACTAACAGTAAAAGCTCTTTTGTAGAGAGACACGTCCAGTGTTTCTCCACGAGGACTGGGTGCTTCCACACAACCCACGTGGAGGGGCAGGAGGCAGGAAGCGCTCCCAGGCTCAGCCAGGATCCTGAATTTTCCCCTAAAGGAAGCCACGGCCCAGACCACGATCTGCTCAGGGTAGACCCGCGTCCCAGGCGGCCACATCCGCAGGGCTGGCAGACATATCGGGGAGGCATGCAAGTGCGGGGTGATCATAAAAATAACCAGCAGCCAGGAGGGTGCCCCATGTCACAAGGGCCGTGGCCCCGGGCCCCATGGTGAAGAGCCACCGAGGAGGCCCTTCCCGGGAGTGCGGCTGGGTGGTTATGTTTATAACCCAGGCAGCAGCGCCACGGCAAGCGGGGACAGGCGAGAGGGTGGTGGTTACCTCGGTCGGCGTTGGCGAGAGCAACTGAGGGGACTGTGGACACAACACACAAAGTGGCCATTAGTGCTGGCGCCAGGCAGAGAGGGAGGAGGGCAGTTCCGTGACTGGCAGGCAACACAGGCGCAAACACCCACACAGAGCCCTGATCCTCCAGACAGGAAAAGAACTCTACCCCGAGAGACACAAGTCAGGGTTCCAGAACCTTCTCTTTGGAGAAACATGGTTAATTCTTCCCAGAGAAAGAGGCCCCCGGGGAAACTGATTTCGTGCCAATGAGCCCAGAGCTTGTCTCTACCTGGCCACCCCCACGTCCCACTGTTCTCCCACAAAGATGTGTTTTCCCAAAAGGAAGACACTGGCTCAGGGCACAGGCAGCAACATCCTGAGGGCCCATCACCTCGGTTTTCTCTGGACAAGAGAGAAAAGGTGCTCAGCAGAGACAGAGGGTGACCAGAAGCCTTTGGGTTGGAGACGGCTCTGCCGTGGGGGTCCTGGGGCCCTAGACAGCAGGCTGACCCGTCTTCCCAGGCTGGCACCCCATCCACCACCACCTGCACATATGTTCAGTGAGGAGCATGGAGGTGGGAGGGGCCCAGAAAGAGCACAGCCCTTGTGAGGTGAGCAAGCATTGGGAAAGAGAACGCCGTTCCCACAGCAGAGCGGGGAGGCACTCTGTTCACAGGAACCATGGTTATTACAGCGCAATAACTCGACGGCCTCTGGGAGGCTGCCACGGGCCCTGTGAAGCCCTGTGCCATGGGAGGTGGGAAGCTGAAGGCCATGGGTGGAATGATGGAATCAAGGGAGAAACCCTCAGGCTGCTCCCGGCCATCGGCATAGAGGAAGCTCTGTATGGACACACCTGACCCAGGAGCCCAGCCCTGTCCACCTGCCGAGGCAGGCCCCATGGGGTCGCACTTTATGGCTGAGAGCGGAAGCTCACACACAGGTGCCACTGTTTAGCAGAGCGGGAGGCCAACCCAGGTCTCCCCAGAGGGAGGGGGTGACTCCCGAGCCACAGTCCCTCCCTTCCTGCCCCTTCTCTGCCCTCTGGGGACAGGTCCTGGGGTCAGGATCATCCATGGTTCACAGATGTCCTGCCATTTGAGAGGCGCAGCCCCAGAGAGGCTGAAAGAAACCTCAGTGACAACAGCTAAGGGCCCGTGTCCACTTGGGCCTGGAAGCTGTGTCCTGGTCATACCATGAGACCCTGGAGCAGGACAGGGAGAGATACCAGCCCACCCCAACACACATCACCTCTGCATGTGGCCCTTCATGGCCACAGAGCCCTCCCACAGGGACACACGCACTCAAACCAGGAAGGGGTGTGCCCGATGCCCCAAGGCTGCCAGGAGGTGGAGGAGGATCGTGAGGCCAGTCCTCTAGGCTTGAATCGCACGTCCCAGAGAGAGCGCCAGGATGTGCTGAGAAAATAGCCAGCACATCCTGTGGTCTTTGCGGGGAAGAAGGGACTGGATTTGGGTCTTAGCCCTGTGGCCGAGACGCGAGTCCTCACGGACTCTCTTCCAGCATCTGGTCCAGGTGCAGACCAGATGTTGGACAATAAAGCCAACACACAGCCTGGGCATGTGGTAGGTGGGTACAGGTGGGTGCAGTGGGTGGGTGCAGGTGAGTGCAGGTAGATGGGTGTAGGTAGGTACAGGTAGGTGGGTGTAGGTGGATGCACATGGGTGCAGGTAGGTGGTTGCAGATGGGTGCAGGGGGGTGTGTGGTAAGTGGGTGCAGGCAAGGTGCAGGTAGGTGGGTGGTAGACAGGTGCAGGTGAGTGCAGGTGGGAGGGTGTGTGGTAGGTAGGTGCTGGTGGGTGGTAGGTGGGTGCAGGTGGGTGGGTGGTAGGTAGGTGGGTGCAGGTGGGTGGGTGGTAGGTAGGTGGGTGCAGGTGGGTGGTGGGTGGTAGGTAGGGGCAGGTGGGTGGGTGTGTGGTAGGTGGGTGCAGGTGGGTGGGTGGTAGGTAGGTGGGTGCAGGTGGGTGGTGGGTGGTAGGTAGGTGGGTGCAGGTGGGTGGGTGCAGGTGGGTGGTAGGTGGGTACAGGTGGGTAGTGGGTGGTAGGTAGGTGGGTGCAGGTGGGTGGGTAGTAGGTAGGTGGGTGCAGGTGGGTAGGTGGGTGGTGGGTGCAGGTGGGTGGTGGGTGGTAGGTAGGTGGGTGCAGGTGGGTGGTGGGTGGTAGGTAGGTGGGTGCAGGTGGGTGGTGGGTGGTAGGTGGGTTCAGGTCGGTGGGTGGTAGGTAGGTGGGTGCGGGTGGGTGGTGGGTGGTAGGTAGGTGGGTGCGGATGGGTGGTGGGTGGTAGGTAGGTGGGTACGGGTGGGTGGTGGGTGGTAGGTAGGTCAGTGCGGGTGGGTGGTGGGTGGTAGGTAGGTGGGTGCAGGTGGGTGATGGGTGGTAGGTAGGTGGGTGCAGGTGAGTGGGTGGCAGGTAGGTGGGTGCAGATGGGTGGTTGGTAGGTGGGTGTGGGTCGTGATGCCTTCCCTCAGCTCCCCCCACTGGTCCCTCTCATTGTCAGTGGGGCTTGTCACCCACATCCTCAAATTCTGTGATCCACAGGGGCAGAAGCAAGTCAGGAGGGCACCTGCTGGCCCTGAGCTCTTCTCACCCTCCCTGCACAGCCCTTGAGCTTGGCAGGTGCACCCAGCAGCCATGACTTTCTCGCCCCACACCATCCGCATCGAACGCGCTGCCCTGGAGTCTCAGCTCTTGCTTCCCTGGAGGCCCTTGTTGAAGTCTCAAAATGAGAAGGCCCAAGGGAAACGTGTTTGAAAGGACTGAGCTTCCCCACCCCGGGGAGCCCCCCATGCCTGGCGGCACGCATGTCAAGAGCACACACACTCGGGCCAACAGCCTGGCAACGCCTCCTCCTACCTCAGGCAGCTGCGGTCATGTTGAAACCTCAGAACCACAAGAGGAAAAGCAAAAACCAACAAGGCATTCCACGGGAAATGGACAGAGCAGCTCTGAATAAGAAACCTCTGAGGAGTAGGAACGCCGTCCACAGGCAGGCCAGGAAATAAATAATCTGTGGTTCAACCAGGTCGGTTACATTGGCTCATGAATTCATGGGGCAGAGGAGCATGGGGCAGAGCCATGGCAGCGAGGGTGGCACGGGCCAAGAGTCCGCTACAGAGGAAATGCATCTCATGCTTTATGAAAATAATCTAATACTTAAGAAAATTAGGAGATTTTCACTGAGTCACTATCATCTTTCCTACAAACCAGCATGCTTCCTACTTTCTACTCCATTTAAGGAGGCATTCCAGGCTCACTCCTTCAGCAACGGCAGCTTTGGGGCCACAGTGCCTTGGGCATTACTGAAATAGGATGTGCACATGGCTATCTGATGGGCGTGAAGAGGCTGAGCGTGTGGGTGAGTGGTGAAGATGGAAGTGGCTCTGGCCCCATAGGACACATGCTAGGGATGACGCCTGTCCTGCAGGGCAGCACTTGGGGACACAGGTGTCCAGGGCCATGTGGGCAGGGTCCATACCTCGCCGTAGCTCTGCCTGTCCCCTGCAGAGTGGCTGATGTAGGGTGAGTAGGAGATCATGTCGGGGCGGTCGATGTCATAGATGGCCTTACTTTTAGGAAGGGCTGCCAAGTCCCTGTAGTCCAGGATCTCACCACCAAGCTTGGCCTGAGAGGGGAAAGAGAATTGGGGAGGGGACAGTCACCAGATGCACCCCAGAGGGCAGCACCCCCAAAGCCGGATGCATCCCACAGGACAGTGCCCCCAAAGCCAGATGCATCCCACAGGACAGTGCCCCCAAAGCCAGATGCATCCCACAGGACAGTGCCCCCAAAGCCAGAGGGCAGTGGCTGCTCCAGCAGCCGTGAAGAGGGTGCTGGGGTCACAGCGCTTTGGGCAGAGTCTGAGCTCACCCCCAGCTCCTGGTATAGGTGAAATGGGGACGGGGTCAAAAGCACAGGGAACTCCAGAGCAGGCAGGCTTGGGTCCTGAGGCCCAGCCACAAAAGAGCCAGTAGGCCTTGCGGAAGTGTCTTCTCTAAGCCTCAGTTTCCTTCTGTACAAAATGAGGGAAATGATCACACCCGAAGGCTCTGGGGTTAAGGAGGCCATGCCTGTGATGTACCTGGCATGGGGTCTGGCAGGCAGTGAGACTCAGTCCATGGCTTAAACATGTGTACATGCACGCACACGTACAAACACAGACACGCACACATGCAAACACACACACTGCACACACAAACACACATATAGGCAAACACACACGCATCCCTTACTATTCATGTGGGATTGGCCCCAGGACCCTCCTCAAATCCCCAAATCCTCATATGCTCAGGTTGTTAAGTAAAATTATGTGGTTCTTGCCTGTAGCCTGTGCACATCCTCCCATTTGCTTAAAACCATCTCTTGGTGATTTGTAATGCCTAACACAATGCAAATGTTGGGTAAATCGATGTTATACTGTATTATTTAACTTACATAAATAAAATAGTGTATTATTTTTATATTATTTTATTTGTATTATTTTTTATTGTTGTTTGCTATTTTTATTGTTTTTTAAGAATATTTTCAATCTGAGGTTGGTTGAATCTGCAGATGTGGAATGCATGGATACAAAGGGTGATGATACATACCTACACATACATGTGCACACACATACGCACACATGCACACACACACGCACATGCATGCGCACACATGCACACACATGCAGGCACACACACACATAAGGCACACACATGCACTACACACATGTGCATGTATACCTCCACACAGAGAACATGCCTGTCTGAGACTGTGGAGGTATAGACCCCCCTCACATCCTGGCCCACTCCCACATACTAGCACACACATGCCCACACCCACACACTGACACGTGCTCACACATGCAATCACTCCCCAGGCCCATGGCTCACTCACACACAACCGGCACACCCCCACACACTGGCACACACCTGCACACCCAGATTCACCCACAAACGTGCATGCACATCTGCCCACACATACTTGCACACAATCACCCCACCCCTACCAAGCAAGTTCACATTCACCACCCCCCATGCCCACACGCACTCACACACATTCACATGCTGCCTGCAGCAAAGCACCTGGCATTTGACAGGCCAGCTGGGACACCCCTCAGCAGGGTCGGGGGCCCTTCTGTCCTGTCTACCTCTGGCCTACCCTGGCCCACAGTGGCGCTCCTGCCCTTGCTGAATGAATGCGGGACGCTGGGAGAACCCCTGTGTTTGCTCAGGGAGGTCCAGCTGGTGTGTGCTGCCCTCTGCTCTGATTCTGCCCAGCCTTCCTCCGCGGTACCCCACTGTGCACTGTGCACGTGCTCTTGCCCCTGCCTGTCCCCTTCTCCCTGGCTCTGGGCTCCCCAGGAGCTGCCGGGGGCATTTTCCAGCCACAGGTGACTCTGGTGGAGATCCCTGTTGCTGCTTCTCGATTCTGCCTCAGCCTCCTCTGGACATGATGAGCTGTCTACCCCGAGACATGCACTGGGCTGAGCCCTCCATCATCTGCTCGCAAAACACAATGATGCCACAAAGGGGTGCTCACAGAAGCTCCTTTTCACAATGTAGAAGCCAGAGCCCAGAGAGGTTGGGTAACTTGCCCAGACTCACAGAGCCAGGAGGGTGCAGGGCAGCACATGACCCTGGCTGTCTGACTCTAAAGCCCATGCTCCCCACCACAGCTCTCCCCTTTCCAGGCTTCACTGCTGGGGGGAATGCCTCTCAGGCCCAGATGCATCCCAGTGGTCTCAGCTCAAACCCTCTGGGAGCCCCCTCTTCAGCTGGACAATGTAAGCCCTCATTATGGCCCCCAAACTTGGCCTTCCTGTTCCTGGCAGCTTCACCCTAAGCTGTCTCTTCCCCATGTCCCCAGGTGTGCCAGGTTCAGCCCCCTACTCCAGCTTTCCTGTATTCTTCAGGGTCTGTTAGCCTCCAGCCCACCTCCTCCACGAAGTCTTCCCTGATCACCAGGCTTGAGGGTTCTCCTGAGATGTTGGGTCTTGGGGTGAACCCTGACATTTGTGATATGCATGAAGAGAAAGAAGTTCTGACATCTCAGACCTCTGGCTGCCCCTTTGGAGCCTGGGGCAGGGTTCAAAAGACCCGAGATCCAATCCCGAGCCAGCCATTTGTAATCATGAGATCTGATCCTGCAGGATTTTCAGCAGCTCCCCTCTGCCTTCTGGGAAATTGGAACTCTGGCGCTTGTTTACCCACTTATCCATGCCACTTAGCACTCAAGTCCTTTCAGCTCCCAGTCACTCACAGCCTGGGGGCTTTGCACCTGCTGTTCCCTCTCTGGGATGTGCCCCTCCCACACCTCTTCCCTAAGCTCTGCCTCTGGTCCTTCCAGGCTCAGCGAAGGCCCCTCCTCGAGGCTTCCTTCCCCACACCCCCGCAACAAGTTAGTGTTGATCTTCATCTGTTGAGTTGTCCCTTATCCCCTCAAGACTGTGGCTCCTAGAGGCCCAGGATTCATCACTGAGACCCTTGCCCAGCTGTGAGGTTGACAGCAGGCTTGTGAATTGAACAAAAGCCAATCAAGCATTTGCAAAAGTCAGGTGAACTCTCAGCCAGATGCCTGGCGGGGTGTGTTTTGCATCCTCCCTTCCCCACCTCCGTCCCCTCCAAGCAGCGATGATCACAGCATTCACCTGTCCAGCCCCACAGCATAGGGGGCCGCCTTGCCCTGGGTTAGCTCCCAGCCTTCCTCAGGCTTCCCTGAACCACCCAGCCCTGACAGCAGGGGTCAGAGAGGGCAGCCTGCACGATGCCAACAGCCCCTGCCCGACCCCTCAGACAGGTTGCTAAGTGGCCTTGCAGATCCACTTTCCCCCATGCCAAGTCCTTGGGTGGTTGCCATGACAACGGGCTGCACTCTCTAATTGGCGGAAGGTCTCTGGAGTGTGTGTAAAGGGTTTTTCCTCTTTGCCTTCTTCCTTCCCACACTCCACCCAGCATAATACACACTAATATGGCCACTTACAACAGTATCATTACCATATAACCCAGTCAATGATAACACAGAATGGAAGAACGTTGCTTTTATACTCTGCACTATTGCCATGTTGAAATAAAGGTTACAAAATAATATGTTCAGTGTGACCCCATGTTATAAAAATTACACACACACAGAAGCGAGACCTGAAGGGTATCTCAGAAGCATCGGCAGGGCCACTGTGGCTGGCAGGATGTAAATGCTTTAATTTCCTCTGGTGTGCTGATTACTGTTTTTTTTTTTTTTTTTTTTTTAATAAATGCAGATTGCTTTTGGCAGAAAGAAAAGAGCAGTAAAATAGGTGATGTCCAAAAGCCCCATGGTTTATGGAGGGTCTACTGTGTGCACATTTTATCCTGGAAACTAAGATGAACGAGGCCCAGTCCCTGCCCGCCAAGCCCTCACGGTCCGTGGAGGAGATGCAGCCACTTGGTGGATTCTGGTGCATTCCTGTGCACGTGAATGGCAGGGGGAGCCGGTCTCTTCCTCACGGTGAAGGAAGGGGATGCTGCATTTGACAACCACCCACAGCAGGCAGGGGTGGGCAGCTGCAACCTGCAAAGCACCCGACGGGGACATGGAACGGCCCCTTTCTGAGACCGTGGGGGTGCTCAGCACAGAGCAGGGGGCCAGGCGCACAGTAGGTTGATGACAGACACCAGCAGAGGTGAGATAAAAAGCAGGGTGGCCAGGCGCAGTGGCTCACACCTGTACCCCCAGCACTTTGGGAGGCCAAGGTAGGTGGGTCACCTGAGGCCAGGAGTTTGAGACCAGCCTGGCCAACATGGTGAGACCCTGTCTCTACTAAAAATACAAAAGTTAGCCAGGCATGGTGGTGGGCGCCTGTAATCTCACAGACTTGGGAGGCTGAGGCAGGAGAGTTGCTTGAACCCGGGAGGCAGAAGTTGCAGTGAGCCAAGATCGTGCCACTGCACTCCAGCCTGGGCGACAGAGCGAGACTCCATTTCAAAAAAAAAAAAAAGAAAAGAAAAGAAAAGCAGGGCAGAACCCTGGGATAAGGAGGGCTTGCCCACCACATCACATCATCTTGGTGAAGAGCCGGACCGTGTGCAGTGCCCACTCATGTGGCACCAACCCCAAGGTGGGAGAGAGAGCAGGGCTGTTCGGGCTTCTGGCCTGTCTGGCCCCTGGGAGGGCTGGGATGCAGCCAGGCTGGGTGCTGACCATGGTGCTTGGAGCACGTGTCAGAATTGGGAGCACGTGTCCTTGCATTGTGGCTCCATTACTTAGAGGCTGCAAAGTCAGCTCATATCTCAGAGTGGCATCAGCGACGTGGGCACACTGATGGCAGGTCCCTGGGCAGCTCTGAGGCCAAGAGGAAGCAGCATGGCACCCCACACATTCTCCCTTGTGTCAAACTAAGAGCCGGGAGACTGGATTAATTTGTTCGAGGCCTTCTGTTTAAAACTGGAATTGTGAGCACACCTACTTGGCCGAGCAGGAAGTCCATCAAAGCTGAGACACAGTGCACCACGCTGCAGTTGACCTGGGTCAAGTGCATGCCCCACTGGTGCAGAAATTCTTTGCCCACCAACATCCCTTGGCAGGCGTCCCACCTGAAACCCCCACTTGGGTCTGCCCCGATCTCTCCTGTGGACGGGAACTCCTTCCCCTACCCAGAACAGGGATGCCATCTGGCCTGATCGTGGCTGGGTCCCCAGGGCTCCACAGGGAGCTTGTGCTCACCCATGCTTGTAACTGCCTGATGCAAGAAGAAAGGAGCCACCATGGCTGTTTACAGCACTGAGCAGCAGGGTCTCCTGGAAAAAACCTAAGCCTCGGAGTCACGGAGACCTGTGGGCTCCAAGCCCAGCTCTGCCTTGAAAGTGTTGCATGGCCTTGAAAGTGGGACCATGACAACAGAGGCCGCTGTCACTGCTCACTGCATGCACACACAGTCACTACCATCCCACGCTCCTTGCAAATGCCAGTTTGTTTAAAAAAAAAAAAAAAAAGAGGCTGGGCACGGTGGCTCACGCCTGTAATCCCAGCACTTTGGGAGGCCAAGGTGGGTGGATCACCAGGTTAGGAGATTGAGACCATCCTGGCTAACACGGTGAAACCCCGTCTCTATTAAAAATACAAAAAAAATTAGCCATGCATGGTGGCGGGTGCCTGTTGTCCCAGCTACTCGGGAGGCCGAGGCAGGAGAATGGCGTGAACCTGGGAGGCGCAGCTTGCAGTGAGCTGAGATTGCACCACTGCACTCCAGCCTGGGCGACACAGTGAGACTCCACTTCAAAAAAAGAAAAAAAAAAGAGCTCATATTTAATGAGCAGTTACTATGTGCCGTGCAGGTTCCAACAACAACAGCAGCAACAACAGCAACAGCAACAGCTACCACGAATGAGCGCTTAGCAGGCACCAAGCCGGATGCCAAGTGCTTTGCAAATGTTGGCGCTCAGAAAACAATACCCCAAAGTACGGAGCCACAGCATGCTGAGGACTTTGACCTAAGGGAGAGTGGAAGGCCTCGGAAGCAGGGTCTCTCTGACCGCCTCCTGCCCTCCTGTCTCTCACCCTCTTCCTTCCTACCCCCGCTGAAGTGAGCCATACCAACCAGAGTTCCTCTTCCCCAAGGCGGGTCATAGAAACTAGAAGTTCCTCCCCAAAGCCAGCCATGAAGCCTAGAAACATGAGTCTAACCTTTCCCTCATTCTGTGCACAACCTGGCCATGGAGCCATTCTCTGACCTAGCTTGCCTGAGAGTAGGTCCTAAGACCCCCTGTGCCCTATACCTGGAGGAAGAAGGACTCCCCAGAGAGGCCAAGGAGCATCTGAGCAGACGGCCCTGCTGTTTCCCCACTCAGTCTGTTCCCATCAGATCACACACATTTTGTCCAATCATATTTCTACATGGCCACCCAGTTATCATCCAATCTAAGCATAAAAATAGGCCAGGCACAGCGGCTCACGCCTGTAACCCCAGCACTGTGGCAGGCCAGGCGAGTGGATCACCTGAGGTCGGGAGTTTGAGACCAGCCTGACCAACATGGAGAAACCCCGTCTCTACTAAAAATACAAACTTAGCTGGGTGTGGTGGCACATGTCTATAATCCTAGCTACTTGAGAGGCTGAGGCAGGAGAATCGCTTGAACCCAGGGGGTGGAGGTTGCAGTGAGCTGAGATGGAGCCGTGGCACTCCAGCCTGGGCAACAAGAGCGAAACTCCAACTCAAAAAAAAAAAAAAAAAAAGAACAGTGTTGGCCAGACGTGATGACTCAAACCTATAATCCCAGCACTTTGGGAGGCTGAGGCAGGTGGATTGCTTGAGGCCAGGAGTTCAAGACCAGCCCGGGCAACATAAAAAGACCTCATCTCAACAAAAAATACAAAAATTAGCCAGGTGTGATGGTGCATGCCTGTAGTCCCAGCTACTCGGGATGCTGAGGTGGGAGGATCGCCTGAGCCCGGGGAGGTTGAGGCTGCCATGAGCCATGATCTCACCACTGCACTCCAGCCTGGGCGACAGAGCCAGACCTTGTCTCAAAACCAAAACTAAAAAGGACAGTCCTCCCTGGGTCTTTGGACCTGCGTCCCTGAAGGCTCCTGTGTCACCTAAAACTTTGATTAAATACGTCTGTCATGCTTTTCTCTTGTGAACTTGTCTCTCGTTATAGGAGTGTCAGCTGTGACCCTTTCAATGGGTGAGGAAACAGACCATACCTTTGTGCGCCTACACAAACATGATCTCATTCACATGATAATTGTCATAATCATTATTCATGAGGATGATGATGGTATTATGGACTGAACTGTGTCTCCCCGAATTCCTGTGTTGGTAAAGTCCTAACCCTCAGGACCTCAGAATGTGACTGCATTTGGATGCAGGGCCTTAAGAGAGGTCATCAAGTTAAAACAAGACCGTTAGGGTGGATCCAATCCAATCTGCCTGGTGTCCTTATGGGAAGAAATCAGGACCCGGATGCACACAGATGACCCGTGATGATGCAAGGAGAGGACGGCCGCCTGCGGGCCAGGGATGGGGAGCCAACCCTGCTGACTCCTTGATCCTGGGTTTCCAGGCTCTGGAACTTTGAGACAATTTATTTCTGTTGTTCAAGCCCCCAGGAGGCTGACACAGATGATGGTAACAGTAACGGCAGCAAGCGTTTCCCACAGCCTTCTTCTGGGCAGGCGCTGTGCTCACTGCCACCCAGGCAGCGCCTCAGTGAGCCCTGGACCGAAGGTGCCTGGGGGTCTCCGTGGATTACTGAGGGGCTCCCAGAGGCTCCAGGCGGGCGGCACCTCGCCCAGGGCATGCAGCCAACCTGGTGCCTTCATGCGCCCGCCTAAGCTTCAGAGTGCACATCCCAAGCGCCACAGTGCCACTCACTCTCCAGGCCAGCAGTGCGTCATGGTAACTGAGGACTCGTGCACCCCTCAGTGGCACTGTCAGGATTAAGGTCAGGAAGGACCCTGTGTCCAACCACTATGAGAGAGGAGGGTCGAAAAGAAGCACAGCAGACAGCAGATCCAATAAACTGTCTTAAAGTTCTGGAGCCTAGAAACCCAGTGGATCCAGCCTCCGCTGAGGCATGAAGAACCCAGGTCCTGGCCTGGCGGGGACGGGGAGGGGAGAAGGGGCTTGTCCCAGTCACCAGCCATTCCAGTGCTGGGTTCTGGTGCAGGGGCAGCCTACATGGCAGTCCCGGGTGACCCCTGGCCACCACCGCATAAGCCATCCCTCACCTGGCGCCTGGGGGTCCTCGCCTAGATAAGGAATTTTGGTATTTACACAAGCAATATTAGCAAACATTAAATACAATATTAAATATTAAATTTACATATACATATGTATATGTATGTATACATATATAAATTTAAATATACAATATTAAATGTATTAAATATTAAATAGAATAATCTCCCATCTCGAATCCCACCACCCAGAGGAAATTTCTGGTAACAACTTGTTAAAATGTTTTCAATCATTTTTATATTTGTATGTGATTATGGAAGCGTGTGAGGCGCACAGACACACACACACACACACACACACAGAGTCTCTCTCTCTCTCTCTCTCTCGAACGAACGAAAACGGGATCACATAATTTACATCACCCTTAACTTGCTTCTTTTAGGGAACACGCTGGGAGAGCGTGCGTGTTGATGTACACAGATCCGTGCCGTTATTTGCAAACTCTGCAGGGTCCCGCCTGGGTGTCTGGCAAGCCCCAACTGTCGGCTGTTGATGTGACGTGTCTGCACCACTATAAACAACAGCTGTGTACACACCACTGTGTGGCTCTTGTCACCAGATAATTGGGGACAGGTTCCCAGGGGAATTGCCGGGTCAAACAAACATGTCTGTGTTTCAGACTCATAAAGCCTGTACCAACCTCCACCCCGAAGCAGGGACAAGAGCAATGGCCGTACCTCAGGCCCCAGATGATAGTTCTCGGAAAACTCTCTTAGGGGTGGGCTTAGCCACGGCCACCGGGCCCCCCTTCTCTCTCCACCCTCCCACCGCCGTCCCCATAAAAAGGCCCTGACTTACATAAATCACACGGCTCGGAGACCCTGAGGTGCTGGAAGCAGGGACAGAAATGATGCTCTCTGAGGAAGTTCTGGTTTCCTGAGAAAGGAGAGAGGAAGAGATTGAAGGCAGGTACCAACATTCGGGGCCTTCAGAGGCGACTGTCAGGAGTTCCACTCCAGCAGCCACGCCAGCGCACTGCGGTGTTTCTTTAAAGTTGGGGCTGGGCCGGGCACGGCGGCTCACGCCTATAATCCCAGCACTTTGGGAGGCTGAGGTGGGCGGATCACGAGGTCAGGAGTTCGAGATCAGTCTGACCAACATGGTGAAACCCTGTCTCTACTAAAAATACAAAAATTAGCCGGGTGTGGTGGCGGGCACCTGTAATCCCAGCTACTCAGGAGGCTGAGGCAGGAGAATCGCTTAAACCTGGGAGGCGGTGCTCAGTGAGCCAAGATCGCGCCACTGCACTCCAGCCTGGGTGACAGAGAGAGACTCCATCTCAATGAATGAATGAATGAATAAATAAATAAATAAATAAAGTTGGGGCTGAAGGAATTCTTGGAATAAACACACAGGCTTGGATGAATGACTGAAAAGCTAGCATCAGGCAGACATGGTGGGCCACATGAGACCAGAGTGATGCACAGGCCAAGCCATTCTGCAAGCTCCGGTTATGCTCAGAGGCGTCATTTTCCACCGGGATTATGGGGACTCGCTGCAGCTTAGTCCACTGGCCCAGGTTCCTGGGAACACGGGACCATCTTGGTCACCCTGAAGACCCTCTCTAGCTTGGCCCCCGGCTCTGTCCTCCATGCCCTCTGACCCTCCATGGGCCCCCAAGCCTTTCTCAGCTCAAAGAGCACCTGCTCCCACCTGACACACAACTTAGAAATGGCCCTTCGGAGCCCCCTGGCAGCCACTCTCCCAACTGCACCTGTGGGCTTGTCCTGGCCTTTTTGCTGCTGTCACGCCTGGGACCTGTGTCCTCCTTACATGCTCGCTGCTGTCTGGGGCCACTCCTCCCTTCCGGACCACACCCGCTGTGTCCCCTGG
The DNA here is from genome assembly GCF_000001405.40 of Homo sapiens. Taxonomy (NCBI): domain Eukaryota; kingdom Metazoa; phylum Chordata; class Mammalia; order Primates; family Hominidae; genus Homo; species Homo sapiens. Next base: position 8,046,199 of record NC_000004.12, read on the forward strand.
GCTGATGGTTTTTGTGACTGTCCTGCCTCTCCCCCCACCTCAGCCCCCTCCAGCCCTGCGGACACACTCCTTCTGTGGTCCCCACACCTCTGGCTGCACCTGCTGTCCCTCCCCACCTGCAGGGCAGGGGCCTCTCCTGGTTCAGCTCTCACTGGAGCTGCACACCCCTCTCCTGGTTCAGCCCTCACTCCTGGGCCACCTGCCTGGCCTTCCCCACGCCTCCTATTCACCCTGTCCAAAAGAAGCCCATATCCACAGAGGCCTCCCCAGCCCTCAGCAGCCAAGAGCTCAGCCCTCACTCTCCCCACGGCCCCCACGTCCTCTGCTGCTTCGATGGTTTCCCACCCCGACCACAGCCCCCACTGCAGCTCCCTCCTCTCATTTTCTGAGTAGACCCTTTTCTTGCCACCCCCAACAATTCTGTCCTGCCCATTTCAGGGGCCCATCCATGCAGCGGTGCCTGCAGCCCAGGAGGCACCACAGTGGATGGGCTGATCTGTGTCCACATTCGTAGGTTGAATCCTAACCCCCAGGACCTCAGAATGTGGCTGTATTTGGAGACAGGGTTTTTAAAAGGTCACTAGGATGGGCCCTAATCTGTTATGCCTGGGGTTTCTACGAGCAGGGATCAGGACACAGACACACACAGGGAGTCCATGTGGAGGCACAGGGAGAAGGCAGCATCTACGAGCCAACGAGGGAGAAACCACCCCAGCTAACCCCGTGATCTTGGCCTTTTGGGCTCCAGAGCTGTGGGAAGGTGGGTTTCTGCTGTGCAGGCCACCCAGGCCGGGTGCCTTTATCGGGGAAGCCCCAGCTGCCTGACTCAGGCTGGGCATCGTGCAGCGGCTGGCGTGGGTGACAGTCAGCACCTCCTACACTCAGCGCACACCAGCGAGGATGGGCAACATCAGCGCCGGATGTGGGGCCACGTGCAGCAGCAGGAGGACAACCCTGTGCGGCATGTGGGTGGCGCCTGGGCAACCCTGAGTGCAAACTTGATTCTGTATCTAGAAAGGAAGGAGAGGAGGGAGTGGGCATGACACTCCACCACCTGTCCGCCACCTCTGCACTCGCCTCCGCTCCACCGGCCCAGGTCCTCTCCATGCCCCGTGTCTCCTTATATCCTAAGCTTGGCAACTGCCGCTGCCACCGCCTCTTCCTCCTCCTCCTCCTCCTCCTCCTCCTCTTTCTCCTCCTCCTCCTCTTCCTCCTCTATGAGGCCTGCCCAGCTTCCTTGGGCTTCCCTCAGCCCTGGTGCAACACACCAGGTGGGCATCAACTCTGGGGTCTGCCTGCCTCCTGGGACCACGGATTTCTGCAGGCTGGCAGGGGCTGGGTCCTCAGTCATGCCCACGATGGCCCAATACCACCTGCTGTTTGCAAAGTAGACAGCTAGTTCTGAGGTATGTGACATAGGATCTGCTGTTCCCACTGTTCCTGGGCCAGGTCGAATGTTTTACTGGCCAAAATGATGGCTGCATACATTTTATATGAATACATTGAAACACCCTTTGAGTCTCAGCATCCTCGTCCATCCCCCGGCAACAGCTCCCTGAACGGGCTTACCGTTTCTGAGGATTAGATCAGGGATGAGGCACGTGAGGTGCTTAGCACTGAAAAATTCTCCCCACTATTATTTCAGCTCAAGGTGGGCTCAGGAGATGACCTTGACAGAGAACCCTCTCCTCTGCAAAGCAGATGAACATTGGGTGTTTTAGAAGAAAGATTCTCTGAAGCCGAGCACACCAACAGCAGCACAGGAAAGTCTCCCAGGCTCCCGAGGAATGTTTCACAGCCTCCAACTGTGCCTTGGTACATATGGGAGGGAGGGAGCGTTGGCTGGTTTCAGCACGGGGCCAGGGGCCAGGTTTGCTCTCTGCATGTTTGAGGGGGTCTAGGCGGGGCAGCCAGGTCATTGTCCTCATTCCCTTCTCTGGGCTCAGTCCCCAGCTCTGCGATGGGTGGGGATGAGTCAGAAGGGAGCTGAGTAGGCCTGATTTTCCCCAGTGGGAGGAGGCTGGAGCTTTTTCTGACTTTCTCCCTACCCAACTCCAATCGCACAAAGGTGCTTGGCAATGGAACTCAATATCCATATGTTCTCCCAGGCCCCAGTACAAGCGCCTTGTTCAGACCCACAGAAATGGAAGGGCTGGGAGCTCACCTGGCTCCAATCCCCACCGGCTTTGCCTGGCCCCAGGGAGGCAGCTGTCCTTCAACAGTCACTGGGGAGGCCTGCCATTACGGTCACATGGTCTGACCCCTCTCATCTCCATGTGAAAGCTGAGGGGCTGAGGCTCAGAGAGGGCTAGTGACTTGCACCAGGTCACACAGCTGGGAGGAGGCAGAGCAGAACTCCAATGCCAAGCCTCGCTCTACCGCCCTTGGCCACCGTGGAGAATTGCCGGGACCGTCTCGCTCCCATTCAGCCGGAACGGCCCCGCGTTTGGTCTCCACAAGCCTGTTTCCTCGTTCCTCAATGGCCCCAACAGTCTCCAGCTTCCTCCTGGACTCCCACCCACAGTAGCCACCACTGAGGCCTCAGTCTTAACTTTTCCAAAGGAGACCCACCTTGGAAACCCACAACCTACAGGACCAGCCCGGCCAGTCCAGGCTCCCTCCACTGAAGTCACCCAGCCCCTGGCCAGAGCAGGGACCCCTCTGAGCTGAGCTGTCCCTGTGGCCACCTTCACCGTTCTCGGGGCTTACCTTGGGCTACCCACAGGCACAGGGCCACCCCCTTCTCACCCCAAGGTCCTGAAACCCACATTCAGTCCCCTGAAGATCACTGGTTCCTCAGACACACCACCCAGAGCCAGAACCAGACTGGACCATCAGCCGCAGCTCCAGGAAGCCGCCTGTGACCACTGCCAGCTGGGCCCGGGCCCCTCTCGGTCACGGCGCCTCTGAGCATCCTGCACATCGGAGGCTGCCCATCCACGTTTGTCTCCCCCACCAGACAGGGGGCTCCTTGTGGGCAGGGACCCCTCAGGTCTTATTCACCTCTATGTTCACAGTGCTCAATCCCAGAGCACACACAGTAGGTGCTTCGTGGCTTGTGTGTTGAGTGACCATATGATCAAACGCCTGAGGCGGGGGCATTTGCACTGGGGACAGGGCAGCTAGGACCACATCCTTCTCACCTCCGCTGAGCACCCTGGCCAGATGCCAGGGACGTCTGACATGCTGTCTGTAAACCAAAAATTAAATGCTGGGGCTCCCCAGCCATCTCAATGGACTCTATCCACTTGGCCAGGGCATGCCAAAGTTAACCTGAAAGACTGGTTCAGGCCATGATGGGAAGCGGGGGTCAGACATGCCTCACTATGCCCGCCTCCCTTTGGAATTCAGGAAAAGCTCACCAGCATTTAACATCAACGCAGACCTTAAGTCTGATGAGAAACATTTACAGTCTATTCTCTCTGAAGCCTGCTACCTGGCAGCTTCATTTGCATGACAAAACCTTACACTCCACAGAGACATTCCTTTCTACAGATATTAACTCTTTCAACCAACTGCCAATCAGAACATTTTATTTTATTTTTTTTGAGACAGGGTCTCACTCTGTTGCCCAGGCTGGAGTGCAGTGCCATGATCTTGACTCACTGCAACCTCTGCCTCCCGTCTCAAGCGATTCTCGTGCCTCAGCCACCTGAATAGATGAGATTACAGGCAAGTGCCACCATGCCTGGCTAAGTTTTGTATTTTTGGTAGAGAGCGGGTTTCACCATGTTGGCCAGGCTGGTCTCGAACTCCTGACCTCAAATGATCCACCAACCTCAGCCTCCCAAGGTGCTAGGATTACAGGTGTGAGCCACTGCGCACGGCCAGTCAGAATGTTTTAAAATCTACCTATAACTTGGAAGCTCCTGCTTTGAGTTGTCCCACTTTCTCGACCAAACCAATGTCAATCTTACATGTATTCTGATTGATGTCTCGTGTCTTCCTGACATGTATAAAATCAAGCTGCACCCCAACACCTTGGGCGCCTGTTCTCAGGGTCACATGAGGGCTGTGTCATGGTCACTCATATTTGACTCAGAATGAATCTCTTCCAGTATTTTACAGTTTCACTCTTTCCGTGGACAGGTCCTTGTCCTGGGAGAGCTCCCATCCCCATGGTGCAGAAGGGGCAGCCATGCGATCAGGGCCACCTTCCAGGCTGCAGAGAATAGTGAGTGCTCCCTCCTCCCTACTGCAACCTTTCCTGGGGCCAGGTGCTCAGGGGTTGGCCTCTTGCTGAAGAGCAACCCTGAGGCAGGGATGGACTGGCTCCTGTGAGGGTCCTGGAGTCCCCCAGGAGCTGGCACAGAGGGGCTAGGACCGGGAGTCATTTCTCCTCTTGACTAGCAGGTAGCACTGAGAAGCTACTTCCACCTGGGTGTCGGGTTTCCAAAAACAAGTGAGGTTGATGCTGCCGGGAGCCGGCCAGGTCTGCCTGCCTTCTGCATATTCTCTCCTTAACTGGCTTGCACCTGACGGAACAAAACAGAGCAGGAGGGCTCTCCCTCCCACCCCCAGGCCAGGAAGCGCCAGGCCCTCCGGACAGTTAGCTCCAAGGGGACCGAGATGTGTATGAGAACCATTAGGCCGGGAGCCACGCCAGTCCCTGGACTCGGCGCTAAGAGGCCAGCCGCTCTCAGCCTGCGCCGCCTCCTCCCTGTGTTGGCCAGAGGCCAACTAGCCCTCTGTTAAAAATAACTGCTTCAAAAGCAACTTCAAACAGAGCCCAGGAAACAAGGACGCCTGCACAGGCCCCCGAGCACAAGGACTCCTTCCTCCTCTGCTGGCAGCATCCGGTGGTTAAGTGACCCCTGCCCGCTAGGCCAGTGACCCGGAGGTCAGCACGGGCTGGCATCAGTGGGGACAGTGAAGCTGTTGCTGCCGCCTGGCCAGTCAGGCCTCCTGCAGGTCTCATGGCCGCTCCACAGTAGGGGTCAGAACCCGGGAGCTGTCGCCAGCCACCCCCCACCCCGCCCTTGCGGGGACCTGGCTGTGGCCGCGGAGCTCCCTTTTCTAGCCCTGGTCGGTTTCAGTGTGGTAGGAGTTATTAAGAAATTATTTTAGGGGCCGGGCGTGGTAGCTCACGCCTGTAATCCCAGCACTTTGGGAGGCCGAGGCGGGCGGATCCCGAGGTCAAGAGATTGAGACCATCCTGGTCAACATAATGAAACCCTGTCTCTACTAAAAAAAAAAGAAAATACAAAAATTAGCTGGACGTGGTGGTGCGTGGCTGTAGTCCCAGCTACTTGGGAGGCTGCGGCTGAAGAATAGCTTGAATCTGGGAAGCAGAGGTTGCAGTGAGCTGAGATCACGCCACTGGCCACTGCACTCCAGCCTGAAGACAGAGCGAGATTCCATCTCAAAAAAAAAAAAAAAAAGAAAAGAAAAGAAATTATTTTAGGCAGATAGAAAGGAAAAGGGGTCCTTGGGCAGTTTTCGTTTTCAAAGCAGCTCTTAGAACCAGGCAGGCACCGTTTGATATGCAAATGCAGGCCACTAGAAACTGGGTCCACCCAAACATGGCGATTCCTGTGGCCTTCTTGCCCTTGCCCCACATGTCCCTGGCACCATGGCCACCCCCACATATCCACATGTATGTGGAACATCAGGGCGCCCTGCATTTGCATATTAAAAGACTAGGGTGGGAGGGCCAGCTTTTCCATGGGCTATGTGAATGACACGCCTGGTCAAACCAATCGCCTAAGCCCTATGCAAATCAGACACTGCCACCTCGAGCCCGTGTATATACCTGACTGGTATCCACCCCACTTGGGGTTCCCTGTCTTGGCTTTGGAGCCCCCCCTCCCTCTTTCTCTCTACCAGGGAGCTTCTTCCTTCTGCCTTTCTTCTTTCTTGCCTATTAAACTCTCCGCTCTTTAAGACTACACCACGTGTGTCCGCGTTGTTTTTTCTAATTCTACTAGAGATGAAGACCCTGGTGTTTCTCCACTCATCGGAGCCACATCATCAGGAGACAGGGTGGTGTTCCCATGCACACATGCAAGCCACAGTGTGGTCTGGTGGCCTTGGCGTGAGAGGCTCCCTCACTCAGGTCCCTTCCACAGGCCTTTGGTGGGCATGGAAGGATCTCACAAATGGTGCGGGCCCTGTGGTCACTTCGGAGTCACACACTGTGGCTTGCTGAGGGAAGGGCTGCTGCCTTGCTCATCCCTGAGACCCAGCGCAGCCTCAGGGTAGCTTGTAGAATGAATCATGGACTGCAGCAGCTATTTGAGAGGACAACAAAATTCACAATGTGCCAGCTAGCTGCTGCGATCCTGGCCAAGCTCACAGCGGGATTTCATCGCGTGACTCTTCTGCCACTGTGGAAGGCAGAAAAGGGCAGACTTCCCCTGGGACCCCCTCCCCTGCCAAAAGCAGAGCTGCTAGGAGAGCATCAGGGACACAGGTGGGAAGCCAGGGCCCCTGCCTGCCCCCGTGCAGGCCTCCAGCCCTGCCTGCTCTGCTGGCCAGCAGGGGAGCTGGCCTTCCAGGAAGGGTCCAGATGCTGGGCATCCTGCAGCTTCGCTCAGACGGGCCTGCATCGGAATGCTGTCCTGAACCCCATCAGACACTCTGAATGCCCCACTTTGTTCCCTGCAGGCACAGCTGCTCAAACAAGAGCCCAGACTTGCCGCTACAGGACATCAGAGTCACTCAGGACCCCCAAGGTAGCCTGCTTGGTGGAATGGATGAGGTCTACGGGATACCCCACATTCGAGAGTAAGTGGGAGGCCAGGGGTTGCTGAGATCCGCAGCAGGATGAGGACATGGCCTGGCCTGTGGGCCTTAGGGGTGTCCTCAGGTCCTGGACCACCAGCCAGATGGGGCCATAGACCACCCTTGGGTCACAGACCACCAGCCAGATGGGGACTGCCCCAAATCACTAAGCTAAAGGGAAAAGTCCAGCTGGAAACTGCTTGGGGCCAACCTGCCTCCCATTCTATTCAAAGTCACCCCTCTGCTCACTGAGATAAGTGCAGATCTGATTGCCTCCTTTCAGAACTCAAAAGAATGCAATCACTTGTCTCCTATCTACCCATGACCTGGAAGCCCCCTCCACGCTTTGAGTCATCCTGCCTTTGCTTCAAGTTTTCCCGCCTTTCCAGACTGAACCAATGTTCATCTTGCATATGTTGATTGATGTCTCATGTCTGCCTAAAATGTATAAAACCAAACTGTGCTCTGACCACCTTGCACACATATCACCAGGACCTCCTGAGGCTGTGTCACGGGTGCACATCCTTAATCTTGGCAAAATAAACTTTCTAAATTAACTGAGACCTGTCTGGGATTTTCGGGGTTCACAGACATGAGGGGGGTCTTGGGGACTGTTTGGGCCCCCTAACACTGTAGTTGTTCTCAAATTTTCACAGCCATTGGAGTTCACCAAATGAGAGAAAAGCTCAGCAGGCCAGTCCACAAAGGCTCTTAGATGCCTCTTTGCTATGTACACTCCAAAATTTGTGTGTTGGAAACTTGGTGTCCTTTGTGACAGTGTTGGAGGTGGGGCGTTTGGGAAGTGACTGTTCATGAGGGCTCTGCCTTCCTGAATGGACTGATGCCATTACTGTGGGAGTGGGTTAGTTATCTCGGGAGTTTGGCCCCTTTTTCCTCTTTGTTCATGAGTTCCCGCCTTCTCTCCCCGTCCTGCCACGGGACGGCTCTCATCAGATGCCGCACCCTGCTCCTGGATTTCCCCACCTCCAGAACCATGAGCTGAATTAACTTCTTTTTACGTAGATTACCTTGCCTGTGGTATTCTGTGATATCAACAGAAAACAAAGATGCCCTTGTTCCATCTGTATTATTGCTCACCAGTCTACTTGTTTACCCTCCCCACCTCCTAAGCCTGGCTGCCCCCATCCTGCAGCCCGTGGGACTGGACAATGAGCCTGTAGAATCTGGTCAGTGTCCTCTTAACTGTACAAAGATGGTGCAGGAGCAGTGAAGGGTACATCAGAGACACCAGTGAATGCCACCAACCTTGTTTCTGTCTTCAGTTCTGGCTGCTTGTCGACACGCCGGATGCCAGATGGAGGAACCTGTTGACAAATTCCCAAGAGGGAAATGATTAGAGTTATTTCCCATGTTGCAGGGGCCTGTGTGGAAACGCAGAGGAGGGAGCTGGTCCATGCACAGACGTGCACTCGGACTCCACCCTCCAAGCGGCCCTGAGCATCCTCTCTGTGCTGGAGTTAGTGCCGGGCAGGGGGTACCCAGATCACAGTCCCCGCCCCTCAGGGGCTCACAGCCCAGTTGTGGGACGGAGGCAGCAAACAAACAGGGAAATGGCTGCTGTGCACTAACTGCTCCCACAGGAGGAGGCATAGGGTCTTGAGGAACCTGGGGGGCAGCTGGAAGATTCTTCTCTGAGGAGGGGGTATTTGAAGGGGTTTCAAGTCCCTGCCTAGGATGTAGGATTGGCTGCCTGCATGTTGAGGGCAATGGCTGGGCCCACCTGCAGAGACAGCTGGTGCTGCAACCTGGGTGGGAGCCAGCCTTGGGGAGGAGGACTTGCAGGGCAGGGCTCTAAGCTGAGAGGTAGGAAGAGAGAACCTCAGCTGGGAAGTGGGCCTGCTCCTTAGGGTATGGGGTGAAGAACAGGTGTGTTCGGTGGGAGCTGGGCACAAGGCTCAAACACCAGCCCCACCCTGTTACTAATTTACTCAGTCTCTGTGGCTTCTTGTGTCTCAGTTTCTCTAGCTGTCAGTTCTGCCCAGTCACCCATGTCAACAGCCACTACCATCAACATAACAAGGCCACCCGGCACCAAGTGCCCCCAGCATCCCTGGCACTCTGGTCTCTACTAATTCAACCTCAAACTACCCCAAGTCTTTGTTTTTGTTTTTTTTTTTTCCACCTAAGAATAGAGCTAATAAGAATTCTACCTTGTCAGGTCACTGGGTGAATTTAATAAAATCAAGCAGAGGTAATAAAGTATCAGAAAAGTGCTTTGTGAGTTGCTGCATACAAATGTTAGTTGCATTAGTGCGATCCTTCTTGTGCATGGGGGACTCAGTGAATGTCAACTCTCTCTGCCCACCTTCCCATCCTTCAGGATCTGGGGCACTTGCTCCTCCTGGGGCCTCCCTGAACCTCAGCCTGACCTGCCGCTCCCTGTGATGGGCTGGCACTGTGCTCACACACCCAGCCTGACCTGCTGCCCCCTGCGATGGGCTGGCACTGCACTCACACACCCAGCCTGACCCGCCACTCCCTGCGAGGGGCTGGCACTGCACTCACACATCCAGCCTGACCCGCCACTCCCTGTGATGGGCTGGCACTGCACTCACACACCCTCTGCTAGGTGCATGGCTGTGTCTCCATCTCTCACCCTTTGCTCCCACGAAGGTGAGGGCTGTGGCTGACTTGTGTATCCCACAAAAAAGCCACACAGGCTAGCACATGGTAGGGGCTGAAAAGTGTGTGTGCAATGAGGGAACTTATCCCATCTCCTGCCTGCAAAGCCCTCTGGGTCATGTGGATTTCATGGCGGCTCGTTTCTAGGGACATAGCAGCAACTCGAAGCTCTGAGAGATGGTGATTGGACTACATGTGTGTGTGAGTGCATAGAAAACATTTCTTGTTTATAAATTAAAAATAAATTATGACCATAAAAGTAATAGGGCTGGGCGCGGTGGCTCACGCCTGTAATCCCAGCACTTCAGGAGGCCAAGGTGGGTGGATCACTCGAGGTCAGGAGTTTAAGACCAGCCTGGCCAACATGGTGAAACCCCATCTCTATCAAAAATAGAAAAATTAGCCAGGCATTGTGGTGGCTACCTGTAGTCCCAGCTACTCAGGAGGCTGAGGCAGGAGAATCGCTTGAACTTGGGAGGCAGAGGTTGCAGTGAGCTGAGATTGCACCATTGCATTCCAGCCTGGGTAACAGAGCAAGACTCTGTCTCAAAAAAAAAAAAAAAAAAAAAAAAAAAGTAACAGATGTCTCTTATTAAAAATTATAGAAACCTTAAAAAATGTAAATGAAATTAAAATCATTTCTAATCTCTCACCCACTTTTTGTTGGCTGCCTTATAGTACAGGTGTACCTACAAATGGAAGGGGTTCAGTGTAATACACAGTTTCTTCTTTCTTTCTTTCTTTTTTTTTTTTTTTTTGAGACAGGGTCTCACTCTGTTACCCAGCATGGCAGTGGTGCAAATATAGCTCACTGCAGCCCCCACCTCTTGGTCTCAAGCAATCCTCCTGCCTCAGCCTCCCAAGTAACTGGGACTACAGAAGCATAGCACCATGCCCAGCTAATTTTTCATTTTTTTGTAGAGATGGGGTCTCACTATATTGACTAGGCTGGTCTCAAACTCCTGGGCTCAAGCAATCTGCCTGCCTTGGCCTCCCAAAGTGCTGGGATTACAGGCATGAGCCACCACACCCAGGCTACAGACACAATTTCATATCCTACATATTTGCTTAAAAATGTCTTGAACAGGCCGGGTGCTGTGGCTCACACCTGTAATCCCAGCACTTTGGGAGGCTGAGGCAGGCGGATCACGAGGTCAGGAGATCGAGACCATTCTGGCTAACATGGTGAAACCCCGTCTCTACTAAAAATACAAAAAATTAGCTGGGCATGGTGGCGGGCGCCTGTAGTCCCAGCTGCTCGGGAGGCTGAGGCAGGAGAATGGCGTGAACTCGGGAGGCGGAGCTTGCAGTGAGCCAAGATCGCACCACTGCACTCCACCCTGGGCGACAGAGCGAAACTCCGTCTCAAAAAAAAAAAAAAAAAAAAAAAAAAGTCTTGAACATTTCCCAGTTAATTAAATTAAATATCAAAACATGCAACTTTAAGGGCTATACAATGTGGACAGATAAGAATTTTATCTCTCTACTCCTCTCCTGATCTTTCTTTTTTCTTTCCTTTTCTTTTCTTTCTTTCTTTTTTTTTTTTTTTTTTAAGACAAAGTCTCACTCTGTTGTCCAGGCTAGAGTGCAGTTATGCAATCTCAGCTCACTGCAACCTCTGCCTCCCAGGTTCAAGAGACTCTCATGCCTCAGCCTTCTGAGTAGCTGGGATTACAGGCATGCGCCACCACACCCAGTTTTAGTAGAGATGGGGTTTCGCCATGTTGGCCAGGCTGGTCTTGAACTTCCGACTTCGGGTGATCCATCCACCTCTGCCTCCCAAAGTGCTGGAATTACAGGCATGAGCCACTGCACCTGGCCTCCTCTTTTGATCTTTCTAACGTTTTATTTATTTCTAAATGACATTGCAGGGGCTCCACTGCACACAACTGGCACATACTTCCTAGAAATGGAGTCTTGGCTCAAAGAGTGGGGTCATGTTTAGGGCTCTTGAGATTTTTCTGTCAGTTTCCCAATTTTCGCCCCTACTAGCTGCATAAGAGGCCTGTGTCCTTGACTTCTCACCAACATGGGGCTCACACTTCCTTTTTATCTTTTCACCCCAGTGGGAAAAAGGAGTATCTCATTATTTTAATACGGGCATCTTAACAATTAGCAGGATCTAATGCCCCACCCCATGTTTATGGGAAAGTCCGCGGCAGGAACGGTGGTGGCATTGCGGGGGTTGGCCTGCCTCATCGCCCAGGAGACCGTGGGGGTCGCTGGGGCCCATGCTTTTCAGAGCCTTTATTGCAGCAGGATTTGCCAGCCAAATAACATCTGCATGGAGCCCCGACATCCCTGGAGGCCACACAGAGGGTCTCAGGATGACCAGGCAGGGTGGGTGCCCCAAGGAGGCCTGTGCCAGGGAGCAGAGCCTCAAAGCCACACAGCTGGTCAGACCTGTCATGATTCAGACTGAGAAATCCAAGTTAGGAGAGGGGACAGGCCTGGGTTCGACATCCCACAGAACCTCACAGCAGAAGCGGGGGCTGGCCTCAGGCCAGTCCTGAAGGGCGCCTTTGTTCCTGAGATGAGGTTACCCTTGATGTGAACTCGTGTCCCCGAGCTGCTGTCCCAAGGCCATTGTGCTCAGTGTCCACCGTGCCCCACTGTCTAAGGGTGCCCTTTACTGTGGGGGCCAAACCCCATGCAGAGCAAGGCCCCTGCCCAGACAGCCTGGCACTGCTGGGACGGTCCCAAAGGACCCTTTGACGGGCTCTCGAGCAGAGACTCAAGGAACAGGCGACACCGGGGACGAGGCTGTCCTGTCTGACATCACCCCGCTGGGTTCGGCCTGAGAAAGGCAGGCCTGTGTGATCCACGGCCCTGTGACAATGGCCGCATGAGGTCATTCAACAGCCCGCAGGCACCTGCACGGCAGACGCTCTGACAGCAGCTCTCCCAGACCTGGCCGGGCCCAGCTGGCCTCTGGGAGCACTGGTGACAGAGAATCTTCAAAAGGGAGCTGTGGCTAAAGAGATGAAGTCACAATAGCAGACCTGTCCTCGCCGGGGCCCCTATGCCCCGTCCAATCCATCATCAAGTCTGGGGGCTGCACTCCAGCACATGGCCCCTGTCCCACCAGTGCTCGCTGGGACCAGACCCTTGGGTCAGGCTCCTCTGAACCCTCTTCTCAATTAGGCCTCGAACTTTGCCCAGGTCTCCACCATCACCCTCCCAACCCATCCAGTCTTAGGCCTGCCTGGCTCAGTTTCAGCGAGAATACTGCAAAATCAGTCTGGCAGGAATCCCCTGGCCTAGAAGCCTAATCTCCCTCCACTTCTGATTGAGTTCCTCATCCCATCTTTGACGACTCAGTCCTTAGCCTGTCTTCGGCAACCATCTTGTGGGGTCAGTTCAGCAAGAAGCCCAGTACCTCGAGCGACTTTCCACCTGCTGCCCCAACCCTGCTCATTGGCTGCAACCCCCACTGTCTGCCATATTCAAAATCTCACCCCCTCTCTCATCCATTGCGATGGTCCTGACTCCTGTTGGGAAGAGTCTTCCTTACCGGTTTTAATGAGTGCCACAATAATTTTCCTTAGCAGGGAGTGCTCAGGGAATGAATAAGCAATACATAGCGGGGTGGTCAGAGTGATAAGATGAAGCATAACTCTAGGTGCCTGTCTGCAAGGAGAGTGATGGGGCTCAGAACATGCCACCCCAAACAGGACTAGCAGGCCAGAATTTGCTGCCCCTGACATGCCCCTCTGGCATAAGGGTTATTTTGAGTTGATTACTGGGGGAAACAGCAGACTCAGAAAAGCATTGAAAACCAAGCAGAAGTGACCATTTTGTAAGGGGAACTGAGATCTCCAAAGGAAACCTCCAACTCTAACGGTGTCTCCTCTCTGCACCAGGAAGATGAGGATGACCGGAAGTCCCTGGGTCTCTTCTCAGTGGAGAAGGCACACAGCACTCCTCCCCCTTGCCTAAGGTGCCCCCTGTCCCCCGGCCCCCCCACTTGACATAACTATGCCTCCCCACACCTTTCTTCTTTGTTGTAGGGGATGCCGTTGTCTCAGCCTGAGGTCAAAACTGCCTCTTTGATGGCCGGGGCATGGTGGATCATACCTGTAATCTCAGCACTTTGGGAGGCCGAGGCGGGCAGATTGCCTGAGGTCAGGAGTTTGAGACTAGCCCGACCAACATGATGAAACCCCATCTGTACTAAAAATACAAAAAAAAATTAGCCGGGTATGGTGGTGCATGCCTGTAATCCCAGCTACTTGGAAGGCTGAGGCAGGAGAATTGCTTGAACCCAGGAGGTGGAGGTTGCAGTGAGCCAAGATCTTGCCACTGCACTTCCAGCCTGGGCAACAGAGCAAGACTCTGTTTCAAAAAAAAAAAAAAAAAAAAACCCCAAAAAACCCCAAAGCTGCCTCTTGGAGATCTGCCCCTGCGTGTCCTGTGTGTCCTCATTTCTCTGGGCCACCCTTTGCACGTACACAAGGTGCACATGTTAATAAGCTTCTGTTCATCCTTATCTTGTTAATCTGTCTTGTTACAGGGATCTGTCCCAACTAAGACCTATAAAAGGTAGAAAATTGTGTTTCTTCCCCTTATAAGAGTCGTTGTCTCCCTCCTCCCCTGCCACTGGATACCTGCATTGTGAAGGTATAAAGGGTAGCCGAATGCCGCCATCAGAAGCTTAATTTAATTGTGAAAATGAGAAGCTATGAGCTAAAAAGGGTTAATCTGGGAGGAGGAGAGACGACCAGTCCTCAAGTCTCGCCCTTTCTTCAGGTCTGGCAGCCCACAGGACGCCCCGCCTTTGTGATGACACTTATTTTTAATGGTGAGGGGGCCTGGGCCATTTCCCATGGGGCCTGTTAGAAGTCCGCTACATTTTCCTCCAAATCCTCCTTTCGTCAATGCTCTGTGGGGCTGGCTCTTCCCTTGCTCCTGGAAGAAAGCCTCGGCTGCTGCCAGTGACCCTCAGTACCTCATTACCAACCTCCTTTGTGGACAGAGGGGTTGCAGCAGGCTGGGGTGGCTGGGGCGGGAAACACCTAAAACTCCTAACTTGGACTCCCTGAGCTGGGGCGGCTTTCTAGAAGGGGCCTAAAGTGGCGACGGATGTGATCAGGCCGTATTTGTTTAAGCTTTGCTACTTGGAGCCAAATAGCCAGCACTTCTGGGTGCTGGTCTTTGGCTCGGCCCTTTTCCTTTCTTGCTGGTCTCGGGCTCGCTGAGATCATTGGACAGACAAGGCAGGCTGACGAGGCTGGCCTGGCACGTGCCACCGCCCTGCCCTGCCGGCTCCCCGCTGTGGCTGGGCTGCTCGTGACCTAGCGAGATGACACTGTCACCAACCTGTTCACACCCAGCATGTGTGTGGACATCGAAGAGGGTAGTTCCTTGCTCTAGGGGACCAAACAACACATTTTAATTTGTACCTTGAAGATACATCTCTTCGCCTTCTGCAAACATCTGGCCGCACCTGACACATAGCGCGCAGGAAGGGTGGTAGTGCTTCTCTCCGGCCTGTAAGAAAAGCACAAAGCAGAATGTTTCTACTAAAGCCAGAAAGGTCGGCTGGGTCCCAGCGCCCGGCATGGATACAGCATGCCCTGAGCACAGGTACTCAGGGGATACTGGAAGGGCCAGCCCCCACCATCGGGACCCAAGACCCCTGAGCAGAGCCCAGACCCGGGGGTGCCCCCGGGCTGTCCAAGGCGCCCTGTGGGGAGGCAGGGGGAGACCTGGCTGCACTTGCCCAGCCTGCAGGAGCCCAGCATGCAGCTCCCTGCCGGGGTAGTCCAGGAGGGGTCAGCCTCCTTTACCAGGCGGCATCCAGAGAGAGGTCTTGGTATTTCCAGAGGGAGCGGGAGGGACAGGAGGAGGAAGAAAAGGGGAGAGGGAGGGGAGGGAAAGATAATATGATTTCCCTAGGTGCAAGAATTAGGGGAGTGGGGTGAAAAAGGATGAATACTTTCCTTTTCACATCTCTGTATTGCTCAGTATGTTCAATGAGCATTTTGTTTTTATCATTCTTGAAGTTTATTAAATTAGACTACAAATGCTAATACTGAAATAACCCAAACAAACCACATTGCCTGGTTTGGCTTATTTTTGCCTGGAGCAAAAAAAAAAAAAATCACCCCGAAATGCTCCCTTTACCCCCACGTTCCAGCACACACTTCCTACCCTGAGGGCACGGCGGGTGCAGCCTATTGCTAAATGTGGATGCTAAATCCCCGTGGCTCATTCTTTCCTAAAACGGGAAGAAGTTTCCTAATCCCTACCTACATCTGAATTTATAATAACCAGTTTCCTGAATCAGTAAGTAAAGGGCTGAAATGTCATTTTGAGCATCCCGTTTTCCCTGTCCTGTGCCTTCCCTAGGATGAAAACAGCCCCGAGATGGCCCCTGTGTATTGGGAGGAAGAGCCCAGAGCAGGCTTTTCTCCTGCGCAGAGCCTGGTGTGGCCTCCTCTGCCAACCTCCGGGCCAGGTGATAAGGCCGTGAATCTTCCAGCAAAGGGGCTCTTCCCGCAGGGCCCAGGCCTCGGCACCAGCTGTCCCCTCCACTGGAGCAGCCCTCCCACACTCCCACCCCTGCCACCCTGACTGCTATCTCATCCCACCTGCCACCTCCACTCGGGAGCTTTCTCTGAACCCTTCCCCAATCTGGGCATTCACAGCCCCATTTCCACACTGTTCAGGGATTACTTGGGTGTATTCTTCCCCACTAGATGGCCAGTCTCTCAAGCGCAGGGCCTGGCACCTGGGCCACGTCAGGGAGTACCAGGTGCAGGGATCTCTCTGGATAGCAGGTCACACCACAGCATCTGGCCCCAGAATGTGGGTGAAACAATCATTTCGCTGATCACAATTATTCAAATGCCCAGTGGTCTGGGTAGCACTCTTTTTTTTTTTTTTTGAGACGGAGTCTCACTCTGTCGCCCTGGCTGGATGGAGTGCAGTGGCGCGATCTTGGATCACTGCAAGCTCTGCCCCCCAGGTTCACACCATTCTCCTGCCTCAGCCTCCGAGTAGCTGGGACTACAGACCCCCACCACCACGCCTGGCTAATTTTTTTGTATTTTTAGTAGAGACGGGGTTTCACTGTGTTAGCCAGGATGGTCTCGATCTCCTGACCTCGTGATCCGCCCGCCTCAGCCTCCCAAAGTGTTGGGATTACAGGCATGAGCCACCACGCCCGGCCTGGTCTGAGTAGCACTCTTAAGTGTAAATCAGAGATTGAGACAGCTCTGTATTTTTAAAAATAAAAGTCACCAGGTATCAACGTCACAGTTGTCAACTGCTGGCTCACTGCATTCATAATGAGTATTCCTGAGTTTGTGGCCTGTGACCTGTCCTCACACCTGCTTAAATCCAGGTGCCCCCACTTCACACTGACTTCCTCTAACAGCAGGAGTTCTGTGACAGCCACAGGGGACAGAAAGCAACCCTGCAGGGCAAACAAACCCTGCTGTCTACACAGCATGTCTACATGGCACGTCCACATGTGAATCAAGGGAGAACACTGCTGGGACAGCTTCTTTTTTTTGAGACAGAGTCTCGCTCTGTTGCCCAGGCTGGAGTGCAGTGGTGCAATCTCAGCTCACTGCAACCTCTGCCTCCCGGGTTCAAGTGATTCTCCTGCCTCAGCCTCCCGAGTAGCTGGGACTGCAGGCACACGCCACCACGCCCAGCTAATTTTTGTATTTTTAGTAGAGATGGGGTTTCACCATTGTTGGCCAGGATGGTCTCAATCTCTTGACCTTGTGATCTGCCCCCCTTGGCTTCCCAAAGTGCTGAGATTATAGGCGTGAGCCACCGTGTCCAGCCTTCTGGGACAGTTTCTAAGACGATGGGCTTGAGCCCTCCACAGCAGCAGTGGCTATGGTCTCCACAGCTCGGGCCAAGAAGCCTGTTACACACATTAACTTGTCAAGTCCTTGCAGCAGTGCTATGGGTATATTATTACTCTCACTGACCATAACAGGCACAGAGAGGTGGAAGAGCTTGAGCAAGGTCACACAGCAGCAGGTGGTAGAGCTGCGGTTACAGTCCAGGAGCCTGGCCCCCGAGTGCAGAGCTTAAGCCCATGCCCAGGCCTGGCAGGCACTCAACCCCCAGCCTGGCTGTCCGCAAGTCCTGGTACAGATCTCAGGTCTGGGGTGTGCACCCCCTGCTCACATGCTCACTGCTAAGGCTTGAATGTTTGTCCCTGTTAGATACAGTTATGTTCCCTCTTCAAACAGCTTATCCAGTTTCCCCATTCTCTGTACTATAATTCCAAATACCCCCCTTGCCTTTGCTGTGCCCCAACTTGTCTGAATAAGCCTAGGCATGCCTGGACTTGCTACAGCCCCAGTCCACATTCCTTTCGTTACCAGGGAATAAGTTACCTTCCTAGTCGCTCCATAAATGACCCCCTTTCTCTCTCTTCTCACCTCCCTTACATGCCTACCTTATCTAAGAAAGTTTAAATGTTTAGCCCATTGGGACTAGTTTAGACTGTGCAGTCCGATCCTAGCCAATAGAGGAAAGACACAGAAGCAGAAGCTGCGTTAGAGATAATAAAAACCCTGATTTCCTTTGTTCTGTGTGCTCTCGCCATTGCTCCACAAGCGAGACATGCTCTTCTGCAGAAATAAATTTGCCTTGCTGAGAAACCCTTTGTCCTTTGTCCAGTGCTCATTCTTCTTTGTGGCACCGAGCATTTGTTTTCAACATCCCCTTCAAAACTCATGTTGAAATCTAATCACCTGTGTGGCAGTATTGAGAGGGGGGCCCTTAAGAGGGGAGCAGACCGTGAAGGTCCTGCCATCAGGATGGACTGATACATTCATGGATTAACAGGCCATCATGGGAACAGGACGGGTGGCTCTGAAGACAGGAGGAAAGCTCTGAGCCAGCCAGCATGCTCGGCCCCTCACCATGGGACTCTGCAGAAAGTTCCCAACAGCCACAGGATGTGCCCCCTTCACGCTGGACTTCACAGCCTCCATCACTTTAGGAAATCCATCCTTTTCTTTATAAATTCCCCAGGAGTTTCAGGTATTCTGTTACATGTCACAGGAGTGAACTAACACACGCCGCACCCTCGTGTCCTGAACGAACAACATGGAGGATGCTGGTGAACTGATCCAAGCCAAGAAGTCGGACACAAGAGAACAGGCCCCAGGTTTAGGATGTTCAAAACCAGGCAAAGCGATCTACCTGGCTAGGGTGCCCTTGGGGACTCACGGGGGAGTCTGGGGCACCAGACCTGTTCTCTTTCTTGACTCGGTACTGGTTCCATGGGTGTGTCCAGTTTGTAAAAATGTACCAAGATGCACAGGTATAATTCACGCACCCCTCTGTGTGTATTACATGCCAACAAAGCAAAGACCTAAACGCAAGAGCTAAAACTGAAAAACGATTAGAAGAAAACATGCTGTTAAGAGGACAGGTGCAGTGGCTCACACCTGTAATCCAAGTGCTCTCAGAGGTCAAGGCAAGAGGATCACTTGAGGCCAGGAGTTCAAGACCAGCCTGGGCAACATAGTGAGACATGGTCTCTACAAAAAAAATTGAAAAATTAGCCAGGCATGGTGGCTTGCACCTGTAGTCCCAGCTACTCAGGAGGCTGAGGTGGGAGGATACTTTGAGCTCAGGAGCTCTAAGTTACAGTGAGCTCTGATCATGCCACTGCACTCCAGCCTGGATGACAGAGTGAAACCCAGACTCTTACAGAAACGTTTTAAAAAGGTGGGCAAAGGACCTGAATAGACACTTCTTCAATGAAAATATACAAATGGCCAACTGGTACATGAAAAGATGCTCAACATCCTTGTCATTAAGAAATTGCAAATCAAAACCATAGGAGACACCACTTCATACCCATGAGGGTAGCTACAATAATAACAACACAGAAAGGAAAAGAAAAGGTGTTGGTGAGGATGTCAAGACACAGGAGCCCTCGTGCGCTGCTGATGGAAACACAAAACAGTGCAGCTACTGTGGAAGACAGTGTATTGGTTTTTCAAGAAGTTAAACACAGAATTACCAGGAGCCAGGAAATTCACTCTTTGGCATTTAAAGAAAATGAAGAGAAAAGAACAAGAGAAATGAAAACTTGGCTGGGCACAGTGGCTCAAGCCTGTAATCCCAGCACTTTGGAAGGCTAAGATGGGCAGATCACCAGAGGTCAGGAGTTTGAGACCAGCTTGACCAACATGGTGAAACGCCATCTCTACTAAAAATACAAAAATTAGCTAGGCTTGGTGGCGGGTGCCTGTAATCCCAGCTACTCAGGAGGCTGAGACAGGAGAATTGCTTGAACTTGGGAGGCGGAGGTTGCAGTGAGCTGAGATCGCGCCACTGTACTCCAGCCTAAGCAACAGTGCAAGACTCCAGAAAGAAGGAAAGGAAGGAAAGAAGGGAATGGAAGGGAAGGAAAGGGAATGGAGGGGAGGGGAGGGCAGGGGAGGGGAGGGAGAAAGGAGGGAGGGAGGGGGCCGGGTGCGGTGGCTCATGCCCGTAATCCCAGCACTTTGGGAGGCTGAGGCGGGCGGATCATGAGGTCAGGAGATGGAGACCATCCTGGCTAACACGGTGAAACCCTGTCTCTACTAAAAAAAAATTACAAAAAATTAGCTGGGCATGGTGGCAGGTGTCTGTAGTCCCAGCTAATCAGGAGGCTGAGGCAGGAGAATGGCGTGAACCCGGGAGGCAGAGCTTGCAGTGAGCCGAGATAGCGCCAGTGCACTCCAGCCTGGGCAACAGAGAGAGACTATGTCTCAAAAAAAAAAAAAAAAGAAAAAAGAAAGGAGGGAGGGAGAGAGGGAGGGAGGGAGGGAAGGAAGGAAGGAAGGAAGGAAGGAAGGAAGGAAGGAAGGAAGGAAGGAAGGAAGGAAGGAAGGAAGGGAGGGGTGGTTCCACATAAAAACCTGTACATGATGTTCACAGAAGCATTCTATATAACAGCGAAAGGATAGAAACAGCCCCGGTGTCCATCGTGGATGAAGAAATAGTGGCGTATCTATGCCAGGGAGTATTATTCAGCCACAGACAGGAATGAAAGCACTGATCCTGCTACAACATGGATGAACTCTGAAAACGTGTGCAGTGAAAGATGCCAGACGCAAAGCCACGGGGTAGAGGATTCCTTCACTATGGAAAATCCGGAGCAGGCAAATCCATGGAGACAGAAAGCAGGTGAGTGGCTGCCAGAGGCTGGGGGAGGAGGGAATGGGGAGTAACTGCCTAGTGGGGGTGAGGTTTCCTCTCGGGGTGACGAAAAAGTTTTGGAACTAGAGAGAACTGGAAGTTGCATGATATTGTGAATGCACCAAATGCCACCGAACATTTTAAATGGTTAATTGTACGTTACGTGAATGTCACCTCAACTTTTTAAAGAAGAGCTGATCCCCAAATGGCCAACTTTTGAATGACCAACCACATACCAAGCATTGTGTCAGGTGCTCTGCCTGCCTCAAGTTCATCCTCACAGCAGCCCCTTGGGGTGAACACTCTTGTCTATCCTTGTTTTCCAGAGGAGGAGGTCGAGGCTCAGAGAGGCGAGGGGGGCCTACCCAAGGCCATGTCATTGAGAGAATGAGGAGCCAGGATCCAAAGAAGGCAGGCTGGATGCTACCTCCTGGGAAGACTCCATGGGCCATGGGGACAATCGGGGACATTTGTGGCTGAGCCCCTGCAGGTCCGGGGCCTCAGAGCACGGAATTAACTGCATCCTCAGCTCACCGGCTCCCTGTCAACAGCCCTCCTCCCACACCCAACGCACAGACACAGGAAAAGGAAGGGTCGCAGAGCTCCTAGTGAGCTGGGGGCAGAGACGGAAGCCTTCCACGCTGTACACGCCACGGCCTGGCCCATGGCACAGAGGAGCAGCCTGGGGTCTGAGAAGTCACACAGCAGAGTTAGAGCCAAGTCTGAGCCAGTGCCAGCTCTGCACCCTTTCCAGTGATGGCACAGCCGCGTGGCCAGGGGCAGCCGGCACCCTCACTCACAGTTCGGGCCACTCATAAAGTATGAGAGTCAACAGCCAAACCCTTACATTTTAAGGACGCTCCATGTTCTGGAACAATCCACCCATGGTGGAGGGGCAGGGCTGGAGGGCCTGTGTCTTCAGGCTCTGAGGAACACCACGGGGCCGTCAAGTGGACGGAGCAAATGTGCCTGCCGGTGCTCAGGCCTGTCCCAGGCTCGTGGCCAAAGCCATGGAGGTGACAGATTCCAGCCTGAGATTCTCTCTTCCTGGCTGTGTGACTCAGGCCCTGTGTCACGTGCTGGGGTTCAGTGTCCCCGTGTATAAGATGGAGAGGACTGTCCCTCCCTCTCAGGCTGGGGTAGTATAACCGGGCTCTGTGATTCCAGAGGACATTTAGCTGGAAGGTACCGGCATGGCACAGGTCACCCCCTCCCTACCCCATACTTCCTGCTGAGAACCAGTGGGTCACAGGCGGCCATCGATGGGCTGATGGAGTCAAAAATTAGAAGTGTCCTCATTCCCTGTGTCACCTCCTGTTGTCATTCCCATTCTCTCATAGTGACTGGGGCGTCCCAGTCATCGGTACAGTGGCCACATCCTCCCAATTGCCACCCGAGGAGTGCCTGAAACCTCGGCCGCTGGTTGTTCCAGTGGGCGCACGGCTCCCCAGGCAGGCGGAAGTCCCACCCTCGCCCGCGTGGGGCTCATGATGGCTCGGATTTCAAAATATATGAGCAACTGAAAGACTTTGCAGTGAGTGGTTTTAGGAAGACATCTTGTGCCTTCTGAAGGGTGGCTGTCATCTTTAATAAGGCAGAACGAGGTGCCAGGGAAGCACACCCACAGCCTGTGGTGGCTCAGGGTGACCACAGGTCCTCAGCCAGTGCTGGGTCAGAGGGCAGCGGTTTAAGGGACGTCCCCACTGTGACGTGCAGAATAGGGCCAGCAGGACAGAGGTGTGGCAAAGCTGTCCCGCCTCCAGAAACCCCTCCTGTCCCAGCAGAGGAGAGCTAGTGGTCCCCCGTCTTTGGGCTTCTGGAGAATGGATCAGCCCTCTCTGCCATGAGCCCCTCACACCTGAGGCAGGAGGCCCCTTTCCTCCCTGAATCCAACCACGGAATCCGGGTGCAAAGGCCTCCTCTGCCCACTGGAGAGCTGCCACACTTCCCCTTGCTTCTTCCCCGCTGCGGGCTCCCGCTCAGCCGAGGGCCAGGGCTGGGCCTGCGGGCTGCACCTCCCTGCAGCAGGCAGCTCCCAGCAGCTGCTCCTCACAGTCATCGGCCCAGTTCAGAGCTCTAGTTTCCTTTCTGAACTTCCAGAACTGAGTCCAGGTCTTAAAAGACCTAATCACCATGATGCACAAACAAAATGAAATTTACAAAGAAACAAATGAAAGCTGTGAGCAGGGGATCCCCCTGGGGGTGTTTGGCGGCCAGGACAGAATCCCCAGAATCCCCAGGGGCCACTGCATCCCAGAAAGAAGGGCCCCACTCTGAGCAGTGCCCAGCAAGGCCCCTTGAGATCTGGGCCCTCCCCAGACCTTCCACACCCTCTGGAACACAGCTCCTCTTGGCCCCAGGCCTGTCTAGCACACTCACTCCTGGCCCCACTGCCTCTTCCTCTCTACCCAGCTCCCGTTAAGGCGTGAGCCTCAGGAGCGCTTGGCCCAGCGGCCTCATTCTCTGCTGTACCCCGGCGTCCCCTCCAGCAGTGGCACTGGCAGACGAGCCGTCCAGTGGGGACGTTCTGAACAAGGCAACACGGTGCCCAGGAGGCCAGCCTGAGCGGCCCTAGAGGACCAGAGAACTTGACTAAGTTTGGGAAAGGCTAGGGCAGAATCCCGCCTGTGGATGTTCACACGCACTGCAGCGTGTCCAGGCTCGGAGGGTCCCACCACGAAGACAGTGATGAGCACATTGCCCGGGGACCAGGGGACGCAAGGGAGGACACGACAGGCCAGCGTGGAAGGGTAGGACCAGGGGCTCTGATGCGCTGCCGGCATGAGGCAAGGCAGGAAGGCAGAGATGCGGCAAAGGGTGTGTGCGCATGTGCGTGTCTGTGTGTCTCTGTGTTTTGCCTGGTGTCTGTGTGGATGTCTTTCCGTGTGTCTGTGTGTGCATCGTGTGTGCTGTCTTGGTTGTCTGTGTGCATTTCTGTGTGTCTCTGTGTGTGTTTGTGTGTTGTCTGTGTGTTGCTATGTGCAGTCTCTGTGTCCATGTGTCCTTGTGTTGTCTGTGTACGTTTCGGTGTGTCCATGCATGTTGTCTGTGTCTCTCCGTGTGCTTGTGTGTCTCTATGTGTTGTCTGTGTGTACGTGTCTGTGGGTGCCGTGTGTGTTTTCTGTGTGTCTGCGTTGTCGATGTCTGTGTCCCTGTGTTTATGTTGGTTGTGTGTGTCATGTGTTTCTTTCTGTGTGTTTATTTCCATGTGTGTTGTTTGTGTGCCTAAGCGTGCTGTCTGCACGTCTTGTATGTGTATGTGATCTGTGTGTCCTTTTGTGTGTTTGTGTGTGTCTATGTGCTTTGTGTGTGTATGTATCTGTGTATCTGAGTGTGTCTGTGTCATCTGTGTCTTTCTGTGTGTTTGTGTGTCTGCATGTGTCTATGTATGTCTACAATCTGTGTCTGTGTGTGTACGTCTGTGTGTGTATGTGTGTGGCCTGTGTGTCTGTCTGTGCTGTGTCTGTCTTGTGTGTGTGACCGCGTGTGTCTGTGTTTTGTCCTGTGTCTCTGTGTCCACGTGTGTTGTCTGTGGGTTGTGCATGTGTGTGTATATCTCGTGTGTGTCTGTGGATGTGTGTATCTGCACGTGTGCAAAATCTGAAAGGATGACTTCTAGATGCCAGCAGTAGTTAGCTGTGGGGGTGGCACTATGAATGTTTTGGCTTATTTTATGATAAACAGGTATTCCTTTTGAGTGAGAGAAGTTGGGGACTTGAGAAGTCGCTATCACCTCTACCCATCAGAAATGCTGTATTTATTTGGAAACACGGTTTGTTTTCTCCCAGTGACGAGAGTCATCCGTGCTTCCTGCCCCAAGACAGACAGGAGGAAGCAAAGAACAAATGTCCCGCAATTGCAAGAATGATGTTCAACTGGTCCCTGACCCAGGGCAGAGAGAGCCTCGGCACCCCCTTTCCTGCCAGCCTCCCCTGTGGCAGGGATCTGTCACCTGCGTCTCTGTGAACCCAGCATCTAGCCCAGGGTGGAACACACAGTGAGGCCAGGAAGGGTCTAGAAGGGAGTGGTTGACTGGGGAAGGAAAGAGAGGAGGGGCAGAGGGAGGGAAGGAGGAGGGGAGGAGTAAAGGGAGGAGGAATTGATTCGCAGAACCAGGGGGACGCTGGGCTTCTTGTTACCGGGGAGACGGCCCCTGCACAGACTGCACGAGGCACACCGGTCCAGACCTCAGCCCTGACAGGGTTAACAGAGGGTGGGGCTGGAAACAGGCACCCCCACTCCCGCCCACCTCTTCAGGAGGTGTTGACAGGGCGAGGGAGGGATGGGGTTCCTGGAAGGTGGGGCTCTGAACACATGGCCAGTGGCTTCTCCTCATCCACACCTCCTCCCTTTATGCAGCCCTGGTCTAGAGGCTGGTCACACCGCTGTCCCCGTGGATTCGCCAGCTGAGTCCCAGCTCCCTCTGTGGGGGCAGCGCCATCCGTCCCCAGCAGCTGGCTCTGCCACAGTTGCTGCCAGGCGCCACCCACCTCTGCTGCCCCAGCCCAGTGCCTCCCCCATCCCTAGCCAGCCATCCCGGCCCAGGAGTGGGACACAGATATCAGCCCCTCCCATGCCCCCACAGGACCCCAGCAAGGAGCCGGCTCATCAGGACAGACACCCAGAGATGGGTGGGATGCAGGCCAACATGCATGAGGGTGCTGCACGTTTAGGAGAAACTGAGGGAGAGACGGGGAAGGAAAACCCCACTGTCACCACCAAATGCACATTTCGCGGGCAGGCGGGCACTGCGGGCGCCAGCACTTAGGATGGCACCATGCCCACCACACGCAGACACAGCACAGGCGAGGGCTCGGCTGGCAGTGGGAGCCTGGGATGCTCTGTGCTTGGGTCCTGCAGAGGGAAGCCAGGGGCACTGCCAAGCGCCTTAGGGGGCAAAACGGGGGTGGGGGAACAGGTGGCTCCGAGGTCTCACACCTGACTGCTCTGTCCCCAAAAACCCACCCACCCGCAGCCCCTCCTGGCCCCTGTGAGCCCCCATCAGCCCCTTGGAGTTGCGGGCCAGGTTTCCTACCTGCACAGCTTCTGGGCACCAGAGCCCAGTCTGACGGCCCTGCTTGAGTGCCGTGCTCCCTGGAACGTGTGCCTGCGAGGGTGGACACCCTCACCTTCAGCCAACAGTCTGTCACCTGCTCCTGCTGCGCCCTGGGAGTCCACTGTCACCCAGCGGGGCACCGGCACACTGGGCCGAGCATCAGGCAGTGCCACCGCGGCGGCGGCAGCTCCCCTTCTGCGGAGCCAGGCTTGTCCCCGCCCGCAGTTCCCACCTTGCACCCGGGGAGGATGCTCAGAGCTGTGCAGAGCCCGCCGACTCAGCCACGCCGCCACAGACTCGCCTCCCCGGCAGAGGCGAAAACAAAAGCATTAATCTTCCCCAGGAGGCCCTTTCTCCTCCACAGCAGAGGAGGAGGAAAAAACCCAGACCTGTTTTGCTCCTGTTCCTCGAATTAGGATGGTTCCTTCCCGATGAACCAGGGCGCACCCCAAATTCTGTATTTGGCATTAAATATCAGGGATGCTTACATTGCAGACATGGGACGCTTGCCTCCCAATCCATCAAGGGGAGGGGGGGCTGCCTGATGAAACCCACTTTGCTCGCCCAGTGCGGAGCGTGCCTGAGGCAGAGCAGCCCCAGTTTGGGTGGGGTCTGCCCCCGACCCCAGGCCAGGGCCTCTCTGGTGTGGGGGCTGCTGCCCATGGGTGTCAGAAACGCGGGGCAGGTGAGGCTCCTGCACCAGCAGCAGCAACAGCCGCAGCTGACTGCACCCAAGATACACCCCACTTTAGGCCACCAGATGTTCCAACGTGGCTATGCTATTAAGCCAAAAATGCAAACCTGCATCTGTGCACCAGGAGAAGACAAAGGGTTGGGGGAAACCTGCGCACCCCGGGCTCCAGTCTGGCTCTGCCACCGACTCTCAGTGGCTGATGGCCGGGCACGTGGGTGGATCCAGCTGGACGCCCAGGTGAGTGGTGGGAGGCAGTGTGTATGTGGCGGAGGGAGAGTGCCTGCATGTGGTGTTGGCCTGGCTGAGCATCAGAGCCACCAGCGCATAAGAGGAGCAGGGTCAGGGACAGCACCTGAGTGGGGAACGCAGGCCCTGCAAGGCCCCTGGGGAAGTAGGGAGGGGTCGGTAAGAGGAGGCTTAAAGGCCTTAGGGTTTCCTGCACACAAAGCCCCCGGATCTGCAGAAGAGCAGGGAGAGTACAGGTGGAGGAGCACAGAGAGGGTCTCTGAGAGGCAGTGGGGCCGGTGCGAAGGGAGAGGAGAGGCTGAGTCTCTGCAGTGGGGACTTCCATACCAGGCTGCTGTTTTTAACGGGAGAGATGAACACTCTCTAAAACGCCACTGGAGGGGAAGCCCTGGCAGGTAAGGTGGGGAAGATGGGAGGAGACAGGATCAAGCACGGCAGAGGGGGCGATGGCCAGAGCGGCTGGACCCAGGCACAGGCGTGGTAGGGGTGGGGGTGGTGTGCGGGAAGCAGCAGGGCAAGGGAGAGAGTCAGGATAGAAATGGGGTCTCATAGAGAGTGAGCCACCCAGGCCGTCCTCGCTGAGGTCTGGCTGCCAACTCTTTGTCAAGCAGAAGACAAGGCCGCTGTGTGGGCAGGGAGCGCAGTCCAGGACAGTGTGGAAGGTCTGGGCTGTTCTTCGCGGAGAACGGAAACGTGGCTTTGGACTGCCAGGCAGTGCATCAGGCCAGGCTCCATCCTATCCTGCAGGCTCCTCCAGAGCCCTCACCACCTCCTACAGGGTGGGGTGTGCCAGCAAGGGCTGAGCAAGGGGAGGGGTGAGGGAGGGAGAGGCCACGGCCCCAGGAGAAGGGGAGAGAGGAGAGGGCCAGGCAGGACGTCGTCCCTGGGATGCATCACTGGCTGTAAATATCAGATATGATCGCCACCCAGGAAAATACTTATAGGACAGACAGAACATCTGCAGCCTTATGTGATCCACCCGCACAGAAGGCACAAAGACCCTAAATAGATAAGCAGGCAACATTTACAACAGATAACTGAAATACAAGAATTAGGAATGGCTACAAATGACAAAAGGTTGGGCATGGTGGCTCACGCCTGTAACCCCGGCATTTTGGGAGGCTGAGGTAGGCAGATCACCTGAGGTCGGGAGTTCGAGACCAGCCTGCCAACATGGTGACATTCTATCTCTACCAAAAATACAAAAATCAGCCAGGCGTGGTGGCTCACGCCTGTAATCCCAGCTACTTGGGAGGCTGAAGCAGGAGAATGGCTTGAACCCAGGAGGTGGAGGTTGCAGTGAGCCGAGATTGCGCCACTGCACTCTAGCCTGAATGACAAGAGTAAAACTCTGTCTCACAAAAAAAAAAAAAAAAAAAAAAAAAAAAAGACAAGACTCAGCCTCACTAGGGATGGAAGAAAGGCAAATTAAAGCTAGACCCTGCAGGGTGCGGTGGCTCACACCCCTAATCCCAGCACTTTGGGAGGCTGAGGTGGAAGGATCACTTGAGGCCAAGAGTTCCAGGCCAGCTG
Source organism: Homo sapiens (assembly GCF_000001405.40). Classification (NCBI taxonomy): domain Eukaryota; kingdom Metazoa; phylum Chordata; class Mammalia; order Primates; family Hominidae; genus Homo; species Homo sapiens. The sequence goes on from NC_000004.12 coordinate 8,074,263, forward strand.
GGGCAATACAGCAAGATCCCTGTCTCTAAGAAAATTTTAAATACTATCCAAGCATGGTATTGCATGCCTGTAGTCCCGGCTACGTGGGAGCCTGAGGAAGTATTGCTTGAGCTCAAGAGGTCGAGGCTACAGGGAGCTATGACTTCATCACTGCGCTCCAGCCTGGGTGACAGAGCAAGACCCCATCTCTAAAAAAAGAAATTTAAAAAAGCAAGATCCCATGTTTCCACCTATCAAATTGGCAAAGGTTTAGAGGAGAAATACTATATCTTGTTGACAAGATTGTAAATCAGAATAATCTTTCTAGAAAGCAATTTATAGTAACCATCAAGAACACTAAAAATGTTCCTAGTTTTTGACTCAACTTCTACATTTCTGTGAATATATCTTAGGAAAAATTAGAAATGCAAACAAAGCATTATTTTTAAAGGGTGTTCGCTGCAATGTTACTGATGGTTGTAAAAAACTGGAAGGCGGCATTGTGTCCAGCCATAAATGATCAGCCTGGTAATTCTTTTTTTTTTTTTTTTTTTTTTGAGACAGAGTCTCGCTCTGTAGCCCAGGCTGGAGTGCAGTGGCGCAGTCTCGGCTCACTGCAACCTCCACCTCCTGGTCCTGGTTCAAGCAATTCTCCTGCCTCAGCCCCCTGAGTAGCTGGGATTACAGGCACCCACCACCATGCCCAGCTAATTTTTGTAGTTGTAGTAGAGACGGGGTTTCACCATGTTGGCCAGGCTGGTCTTGAACTCCTGACCTCGTGATCCGCCTGCCTCAGCCTCCCAAAGTGCTGGGATTACAGGCATGAGCCACCGCTCCCGGCCCAGCCTGACAATTCTGAGAGTCATGATGAAATATGATGCGAGAGTAAAGCTTATGTCCGAACGAACCTTGAAAACATCAAGCTATGTGAAAGAAGCCGGTCATGAAAGACTACATATTTCATGATTCCATTCATATGAAACGTCCAGAAGAGAAGTCTATGGAGACAGAAAGTAGAAAGTAGAATGGTGGTTGCCGAGGGCTTGCGGGTACGGGGAGTGACAGCTAAAAGGTATGGGGTTCTTTCTAAGGTGAGGAAACTGTTCTAAAATTGACTGTGGAGATGGCTGCAAATATCTATGGTTATTGATAAAGAAAACCATTGAATGGGCTGGGTATGGTGACTCACACCTGTAATCCCAGCACTTTGGGCGGTGAAGGCAGGTGAATTGCTTAAGTTCAGGAGCTCGAGACCAGCTTGGGTGACATAGTGAGACCCTGTCTCTACAAAAACTACAAAAATTAGCCAGGTGTGGTGGCGCACACCTGTAGTCCCAGCTGGTCGGGAGGCTGAGGTGGAAGGATCACTTAAGCCTGGGAAGTGAGGCTGCAGTGAGCTGTGATGACACCACCGCACTCCAGCCTGGGCAACTGAGTGAGAACCTCTCCAAAAAAAGAAAAAAAAGAAAACCATTGACTTGTGCCCTTTAAATGGGCAAATTGTGAACTCTATCTCAATGAAGCTATTTAAAAAGACCCCACAATACCAAAAGAAGAAATGCTTATGGGGAGTTTATAATAAACTGGAAATCTGCTAAATAGGAAATATGAGTTGGGAAACACAGGGATGTTTGGGATACAACATGGCACAGATGGTTTGAGATCAACTATGATTACATGGAAAGAAAAAACGAAAGAAAACTGGCCAGAAAGTTAGGCTAACTATGATTGCATAGTCAGTGGTTTTATTTTCTTCTTAGCACCTCTCTGGACTTTGCAAACTTCCTCACATCAATGAGAATGGAGGACATCCCTCTCAGAGCCACTCCACAGAGGAGTGCAGAGCTCTCTGCAGGGCCAGGACCCTTCCCGTGGGGGCATCCAGCCCCCTGGAGTCTGCAGCTGGGGAAGTGAGACACAGTGACTGGGACTGGGATGGGTGTGGCCACCCGTCTCCCCGCCAGGTAGAGTTGCTGGATGCGGGTTTGAAAGAAGGTGGCCTGAGGCCAGGTCCAGCTCTCCGCCAGCTGCCTTTTTCTTGCCAGAAAAGCCACTCTGCGCTCACTGTTCCATTCCCCTCCGCATTCTGAATGCTTTTGGGTCCTGGGTACCAGCTGTGGGAGCTGCAGAGGGGAGCCTTGGGGATCCAAGGGTACACCCCATTCCACCCTCTCCAGACTGGCCTCTGCGGCAGCCAGTGGGAGCTCTCTAAAACTCCAATGTGGCCCAGCATTCCCTGCACCAAGGCCTTCCTCAGTGCCCCTCCCTACAGCCTCATCCCCAGCCCCACCCTATCCTCCCAGCCAAACCCCAGAGGCCAGCTCCTGCAACCTCCTCGAGAGGGGCTCCCACACCAGGCACAGCCCCTCTCCATTCTCGAGACCCCCCTGGTCACCTGTCGCTTCCCCCATGGACCATGGGCCAATCCAGGGATGGGGACAGTCCACCTGCCTGACCAGCACCACAGCACTGAGGCAAGGAGGGGCTGCAGGGTTGGGGGGGGTCTGTGAATCCAGAGGGTGGGCTGCAGGGTGGGGGGGTCTGTGAACCCAGAGAGGGTGGGCTGCAGGGTGGGGGGTCTGTGAACCCAGAGAGGGTGGGCTACAGGGTGGGGGGGTCTGTGAACCCAGAGAGGGTGGGCTACAGGGTGGGGGGGTCTGTGAACCCAGAGAGGGTGGGCTACAGGGTGGGGGGGTCTGTGAACCCAGAGAAGGTGGGCTGCAGGATGGTGGGATCTGTGAATCCGGAGGGTGGGCTGCAGGATGGGGGTTGGGGGTCTGTGAATCCGAAGGGTGGGCTGCAGGATGGGGGTTGGGGGTCTGTGAATCTGGAGGGTGGGGTTTGGTCCTAGTTGCCCCATGGGATTTATCTTATTGAACAAAACGCAGAAAAGGGCATAATGTGTAATTTTCACACAGGGAACATGCCCACATGACTACCTCCCAGACCAAGGCACACAAAGCTATCAGCACCTCAGAAGCTCCCCCTGCATAATTGCTATCTGCCCTGCCTCCCGGGCGACCCCGCTGTGCCTCCTATGGGGACGAGGTCCTGGTGTGGGCTCTCTTCCATCTTCCGTGCCTCTGAGTCCCAATCTAGACAGCAAACGGCTGGGCCAAAACATCTCAAGGCACTTCCCACATGCTCTGAATTTGTCAAGAGGCACAGAAGAGAGCATCACAAGGCAGGCTTCCTGGAGGAGGTGGCACTGGGCAGGCCCTGGACAGCTGATGAGGGTGTCCATTGGCTGAGCTGGCAGGAATAGGGAGGTGAAGCTGCAGCCAGACAGATTCTTGCACAAACACACACAAATCTCCCAGTCAACTCCCAGGGGGGCAGTTAGGCCCTAGCTCAGAGCGGGCAGGGGCCCGGCCCGCCGCGCTTACCTCCAGCACGCGCCCCGTGATGTATTTCTCACAGCTGTCACAGCGGATGCCGAACTTGGCGTGATAGTCAGCTTCGCAGTAGGGCAGCCCATCCCTGCAATGAGACAGGCAGTCAACACAGGGCGGGTGTCGCCCGAGGACCCTTGAGATCTAACAACCCTCACCAACAAGAGAGTCTGCCCTCAAAGTGGGGGAATGCCCACCTCCTCCTGCTCAGGTAACAATGCTTCCAACAGGCAGTGTCATTGGGCTCTCACAGACACCAGCCCCATGAGAAATATGATGACAATGGTCCCATTTCACAGACGGAGAAACTGAGGAGCACAGGCCAGACCACCTGCCCAGTGGGTGGGAGGGGCTGACAGCAGCAGCTTCTGGGAAACGAGAGCTGCTTCTGTAGACCTGGCTCTTCTTTCTGGCTCCTTCCATCCAAAGTTCAACATCTGGGGTGCCTTAGAAAACTGTGAGCCAAAGAGGGGGGACAGTAAGGGCACCCACATTGGGAACAGGGCTGGAGAATGACAGAAAGCCCAGATGAGGGTGTGGTAGGTTAGGACAAGACTTTACTGTCCCCCCTGCATCCTGGCCTGCATCACAGCCCCCGAATATGAGGGGTGACAAAGGCTGGCTCTGGCCACACTTGGAGAGGCCTGGCCTTCCGCAGTGCAGGAAAGAGCAGGAGGGCTGCACGTATGCGTCCATCCCCTCTCCCCACGCACACGTGCGGCCTGCCTGCTATGTGCCAGGTGCATAGGGCTCAGGGAATTGGTGTCGAATGCCCATCATCCTGGGCCTGCCCCTCCAGCAGAGGCTTCCTCCGAGTCTCCATAAATGAGCTACAGAGAAAAGCCGTCTGCGGGGTCATCCCTGGCACAGCTCCTGAGCTGACCTTCACACCCGTTATCATGATTATTAAGAGATCAACATGCCAAGATGGATGGCTGTGCAGATGTGGGGACAGCAGGTCAGCAGTGGCCACACTCGGTGTGGGGAGGCGCTGCTCTGCTGAGCCGTGGTTGAGTGAACAGGCCTGTGCTCAAATGCCACATCCCAGCTGTGTGACCCTGGGCAACTCACTTAACCTCTCTGAGCCTCAGCTTCCCCAACTGCATAATGGGGGAAATAATAGTAAGGACTAATGAAGAGAATGGCAGGCACTCTCCAAGGTGGCTGAAGCATTGTCATTACTAACCAGGGCTGTCCTCTCAGCCCCGGCCAGACCCAGCACGTGTGGGGGTGACTGGCACAGAGCGAGGTACCTGCCACTCCAATGCGCCCCTTCCAGCATCGCTGAAGTTGCTGTAGTGTTCCAAATTTGGTTTGAGTTTTTGCACAGCTACTAGAGAAGGGAGGATTTCTCAGGCTGTCATGGATTAGACCCCAGCTCACGTTCTTTTCCTCCAAGCTCCGGGCTGTTGCTAGGTCCCCAGGATGTGGGGTCATGAGCCCCGGGCCTGGGTGCCCCTCTCTGGCTGCGGCCTGGAAGTGGCCCACAGCTGGGATAAGCCATCGCTCAGAGAGTGGCAGCCCTTCCTTCCATGTGAGGGGGAGACATACAATGAGTCCTCAGGCTTACTTCCAAATGCCGCTGACCTCAGGACTCCCGTAATAACCCACAAACGAGTGTTATTTGCAGCAAATGGGAAGTTAAAGATAACATCTCCATGGCAACACCAACGCCCTCCTTGTCAATTCTGGGACAGCTCTGGAGGCTGCTAAGTAACATGCACGGTGTGGGTGAGCTGCCAACGCTGCGGGAGGGGCCTGCCGCCTGCACGGGGCTGGGCATTTTCATTTTATATTAAAGTGCTGCGTGCACCACACCGGGCGGTCCCTGGATGACCGTGACACAGGCGGGGAAACTCATGCACCGCACAGGTCCCTCACCCTGGGTGCAAGCTCACCTTGGTTTGGAGGTTTTACTTAAAATGATGTCTTGAAGATCATTGCAGATTCCCCAGCAGTTGTAAGAAACAATACAGAGAGGTCCCATGTACCCTTCGCCTAGTTTCCCCCAGTGGTGATGCAGAATTAGTATACACCCTCAGCCAGGAAGTCAACACGGGCACATCCACCGACGTGATTCAGGTTCCGTGTGACATGTGCTCGAATGTGCATGCATATGCGTGCGTGCGTGTGTGTGTGTGTGCGCGCGCCTCACTCCATGCAGTTTTATCACAGGGCGTTTTTCATCCCCATCAATTCCTGTGATGATTTTGTTCCCATTGGGCATTGAGAACAAGCACAGCATAGATAAAAGTGGCCAGAAGACCCTCTAGCTCCCAGGAAGGGGCCCTCTGCGCTCAGAGGAGCTGCCCGCCTTCAGCTCGTCCACATATTCGCCCCTCACCTGCACCATGCGGAAGGCTTGCCTGCCTCAGGTCCCCAATCCCCCAGGGTTAAAACCGACCCCCAGCTCCTGGCCCTGAGCTGCCTCCATTCAAGGCCATTATCTTCCCAGAAGCCTTCCCTGGTTCCCAAATCGGCCACCACCCCAGTGTGACTGCACATTTGTGGGACATGTTTGGTGTCGATGGCAGCTGCCCCAGGGGCCCCCGCTCTGCAGAAGACAGAGTGCGTGGCTGTGGGGCCCCAGCCCTGACACCTGGGATGGGTCAGCCCCCTCTCCTCATCTCCATGCTGGCTTCTGCTGACATTGCTTCACCTCCTGCAGGACATCCAGGCGCCGGAAAGGCAGCTGATCCCATGGGGATGGTGGAGGGGGACTGCGACGGGGAGGGAAGGCACTTCAAAAACTCAGCACTGGCAGCCCTGGTAGCTCTGCTTCTCATCCAAAAAAAGGAGCCGGATGCTGCAAATGCCGTTAGAGAAGCCAGGGCTGGCCAGGGAAGGGGGACATAAGGCTGTTGGGACAAATTCGCTGAGCTCTGAGCCATGCTTCTCACCCAGCAGCAGGGCAGTAGTAGCTGTGTGAGGAATAGGAGAGACACAGAGAGGGTGGCGCTGGGGACACGTGCAGAGTGTGGGACCCCCACAGAGTAGGGAAGCCTGAGCGGAGGCTCTCACTAGAGCCCTCCCCCCACTTACTTGCTGATGTACTCGGCATTCAGGAGCTTCCCACAGCTCTTGCACTTAAAACAGCCCAAGTGCCAGTGCTTGTCCAAGGCTACCAGGGCCTGGCCATTCTTGATTTCTGTGCCGCAGCCCCCACAACCTGGAAGAAAGAGAAGAGAACACAGACACCCCCACCATTGTGAGAGGTGTTGGGGAGGCCTCCTGCTCTCCACACTCCGTGAAGGCCCCTGGGGCAGCCGGGAGGGGCGGGACAGACCAGCAGCCACAGCGAGTGTGCTTGGAGGAGTCTCTTACACAGCAGTCTCTGGAGCATAGGGAAGGCAACTGGGGAAGTTTGACCCTGCATGCATTGAGCACTGACTGCATGCAGCCTGGGCTATGAGCTGGGGAAACCTAGATGAAGAAACAGAGGTCCTGTCTTGCAGGAGAGCGGAGTTGGCTCCTGGCACCGAGACGTACCAGGTTGAACCCAACTGTGACTCGATGTGCCCCCCAAAGGGAAATGGACCATATTAGAGAGGGCCGAGCCAGCCCCCAGCCCCCAACCCCGTCAGCCCTGGGAGCTCTCCCGCCACACCCAGCCAGCCAAACCCACCTTCTCTCTTTCTGCCATCCCTACGGTGACTGGCGCTCTCCACCCCGTGGCCACCAGCCTCGTGGGACCCTGCCTGGCCTCCTGGTGCCCTCTCTGTCCTTCCCAGCCGTGCCTGCCCTGCTCACTTGTCCTGTGTCCCAGGGCCTGGTCTTTGTGCACAGGGCCTCCAGGTTTTGGCCCTGCCCTGAGCCAGCGGCCCACAATCCCTCCACCCTATGAGCCACCATACCGGGGGCTCCACAGCCAGCATCATGGGCATGCTCCCCTGGCAGAGCGGGTGGAGCAGGCTGGGGAGCTGGGGAGAGCCTGGTGCACGAGCCTGAGCGGGGTGCGTGTGAGTGCATGTGCATCTGTGTGCATAGGGTGTGACTGTCTAAGTATGTGGATGTGTCTTATGGGACTGTGAGCATTTGTATGTCACCTGAGTCTTCCTGTGAGTCTTCCTGTGAATATATGAGGTCAGGGGCGGGGAGTGGGAGGCAGAGCGGCAGAGACGCTGTGACAGCATCCCCAAGGGAAAGGGCCTCTCACAAGGTGAACACCTGGTGACAACAGCAGCAACTGGGACGGAGCAGGGCCCACTGAGTCAACCACCCAGGTGTGCATTGATTCATGGATCACACACGTCCTCACTCCAGGGACCTGCACCTGTCATAGCTGAATGTGCGTCAGTGTGTGTGACTGGTGCGTGAGTGTGTCTACGTATGTGTTTGTGTCTGCATGTGCGAATATGTCTGCACGTGAGAGTGTGTCTGTGTGTTTGTCGAAGTGTGTGTCTGCGTGTGTTTAAGGGTGTGGTTGTGTGTTGGGGGCATGACAAGGGAAGGGCCTCGGACCCCGTAATGGACAGGGAGGAAGAGGGTGTCTGACAAACAGGGCCTTGCCGCCTGCAGGAGCCCCTGAGTAATTCACAGACCAAGCAGGGACCCCTCGTGCCCAAGGAAACCTCTACCCAAGATGGAAAGAAGGTGGCCCCAGGGCCCGACGTGCTGGGTACAAATCCTGGCCCCCACTATGCGCTGGGTCACACTGAGCGTATTCCTCCTGCGGGAGCCCCCATTTCCTCATCGTGGGGTGGGGTGATCACCTCCTCACTTGGTGCCTGCCCGGATCCAGTGCTAATTTACACAGAAGACCTGGCCCAAAGCCTTGCGCATCCCGGGTGAACAGTGAGCATCGGCGAGACCCCCTGTGGGCCTGCTGTGCGGTGAGAGCTCAGCAGAGGCTGCTTCCCTGCGTGGCTTCATTAGTTTCTTTTGGCAGAGACCTGAGTCATATTGTTTTTAACAATTAAAACAAACGAACACTCACAAAGCCGTTGGTCAAGCTCAGGATTTCCTAAGTGACCACACTGTGCACATTCACATGCTACTTTGGAAAACAGCCAGAGAGCAGATTCAAACTCTGAGGGAAAGGGGGGCCTCTTACTCATTTCAGGACCCTGGATGCCCAGCAGAGGCTGTGGGCTTGAGAAACACGTGGGGAATGAATGAATGAATGAATGGGAACCAAAGTGAGAGGATGCCTCCGCCCTTCTCAAGTCCAGGAGGCGACCCCCACATCACCCAATCTGCCGCGCTCCTTCCTGTGTCTCTGCAGAGTCAGACGACGCACAGCCCTGACTTAGCCTCCTGGCTTCCCCCACTTAGCAGGTGATGAGGCACATTTTGCAAAGCTCTGCATCAGTGGCTCTCAACTTGGGGCACTTTTGCCCAAGAGACATTTGGCAATGTCTGGCGACCCTTTTGATTGTCATAACTTGGAGGGGGTTCCAGGCATCTAGTGGGCAGTGGACACAGGATGCTAACCGTGCCAGGACAGCCGCCCTCAACAGGGCTCTCTGGCCCCACATGTGAATGGTGCTGGAGCTGAGATCCCCGGCTCCAAGCCTCTGTTGGCTTCTCTGCATGTCAAGGGAGCACAGCACATGGGGCTGTGTGTCGACCAGAGGACAGACAGCAGACAGCAGCGGTCAGATCCCAGCAATGCCCCCCACCGGCTGTGACCTGGGGAAGTCACTTCACCTCTCTGTGCCCCTGGAATGAGGGCACGTGTGATCCGTGAATAAATGCACACACGTTGACCGGTGAGGTGGGCCCACCTCTGCTCTCACTGCCACTGCTGTTGTTGCCAGGTGGTCCCCTCACGGGTGGCCTGCTCCCTCTGTGATGCCTTTATGGGCATCTCCGCCACTCTGCCTCCTACCATATTGGCCGGCGCCCTCCCCTGCCAAGAAGCTCCCTTGACCTTGAGCTCCAAACTGCAGAGGGGATGTGAACCTCACACCTGCCTCGGCCCCCTCATTCTCCTATCAGCAGTACACGTGGAGATGAGAGCAAGGTGCAAAAGGAGCGTTGCCATGGAAACCACATCCTCACTTTCTAAACACATCCGGAGCTCCACATTGCTTTGCGGGCTCTGCGCATGGCAGCTCAGAGTCCTGTGTGACACAGGCTGTGGACTAGAGCTGTCAGCGGCAGGATGTCCCTAGCAGGGCAGAAGGGGCCCCAGGACCCCCCAATGTCAGCTGGCCACGTGCCCGTACATCCTGGTTGGCACTGCCATCAGCAGCAATGGCATAACCCTCCTAGAACCTTCCACTTTCCTATTTTCCCCAAAAGGCTCCCTCTTCCACAAGATGTGGTCATGGTGGGGGTGGTTGTTGGGGGGTGGCTAGGATGTGCCAGGCAGCCTCCTGGAGCCTCAGCTGGAGCTCAGGGGGTGCAGGTGCAGGAGCCAGACCCCCTCTGCAGCACCTCAGGTCTAACTGGGGGTCAGGGGAGTAGGGGGGAGTCTCAGATTCTAGATCAAATCTGAGACTGAGTTTTGGAAACAAGGACTCTGACCGAGCTCCAAAACTTGAGAGTGATTGAAAATCCACGAACTTGGCTTGCAGCTTCATTTAGGAACCTGTACTGAGGAAGAAAAGCCGCTGGAAAAGATAAAACACGTTCAAGTTCGGCCCCAGCGCACTGCGGTCAGGACTAGACCGGGACAGGCCTGCCATGGGCCCAGAGCGGGACGGGGGCTCCTGCGAGGATCCTGGGTTTACCTCCCAGGCGCACCCAGGGGTTCTCCTGTTTCCTAGGCAGCCCGGGAGCAGTGGGAGCTCCTGGGTTTAACCCCGGCCTCACCTCGAGGCTCTCCTGTTTCCCAGGCAGCCAGCAAGGGGGCGGGGGCTCTGGTTTGGGCACCCACCCTCTTAGCACTACCCTTGCAGGAGCAAAGGACACAGGGGCTCCACGTGCCACAGCCCAGGTGGTCAAGCCCTGTTGCTGGAAGAGTGGAGGACCCCAAAGCCCCATTCCTGGGCCTGGGACCTTAGAACTGCATACATCCCTTCCTGCCTCTTCATCCCTCACTCTGGTGGGGCCTCCCCAGGTCCAGGGGATGGAGCTAAAGAGCCAGGGGCGGCCAGGCCCAAGAAGTGGCTGTGGGGTCTCCTCAGCACGGATGGAGCTGCTTGCCATCCCTTTTCCCCAGGCCAAGCCCATTTTTCCCAATTGCCAGCCTGCCGCCCACGCCCCTGCTGGCCCCACACCCACATCAAAGGCCCAGAGAGGGGACACCTCTTGCCCTCGGCACACAGTGGTGAATGCAGGGTCCACCCAGGGTATCTGGGCTCAGAGCTGCCTCTGGTTCGGCACGGCGCTCGCACTCTGCGACGGCCGCCCTGTGACAGGCTCGTGACCAGCAATGGGTCAGCACTGGAGAGCTGGGGGCCTCACGGGAAGGGGCAGAGCTTCAGGGACACAGGGGACCTCCCAACGAGAGTGGTGGGGAAGCTGAGGCATGCGGGGTGTTCGCTGCTCCTTCTGGAAGAAGCCTGTGCGGCCCACCCTAAAGGATTTCTTGTTCCTAAGTGGCCTGCTTGGGGCAGCAGAGGGAAGCTCAGGGCCACGGGACTCAAGCTTGAGCTCTGCCTCAAGAGCCAGCCACTCTCCCCTCCCCAGGGAGGGGCAGCCACACAGGCAGCCATGTGAGGCCCCACCCTGCTGCCCCCCGGCCCAGCAAGCTGGCCAGGCAGACGGTGCTGCTTCCTACATTCTGGACTGACTTGACTCTACCCCACTCCACAACCATCTATTGCTCCTCACGGCCTCCAGATGTACCGAGAACACCACGGCGTGGCTTTGGAGGAAGCTGCCATCTGGTGTTGGTGTCTCAGTGCCATTCCCATTCCCCGCCCCCACGCTGCAGCCCCGTCCACTCACACGGGTCTGGGGGTGCCCACGCTGCAGTCCCGTCCACTCACACGGCTCTGGGGGTGCCCACGCTGCAGCCCCGTCCACTCACATGGCTCTGGGGGTGCCCACGCTGCAGCCCCGTCCACTCACGCGGGTCTGGGGGGTGCCCACGCTGCAGCCCTGTCCACTCACGCAGGTCTGGGGGTGCCCACGCTGCAGCCCCGTCCACTCACGTGGGTCTGGGGGTGCCCACGCTGCAGCCCCGTCCACTCACGCGGGTCTGGGGGGTGCACCCAGCACATTTCACAGGTGTTTAGTCTTTGTACTCATCTGTAGCATCCTCCCCCTTCCAGACCCACCTGCTGGAATTCAGCCTGCGTCTCCAGTTTCAGAACCAAGGCCACCTTGGACAGCCTCTAGTCCTAGTGGGGTGAGCTCACTTGCTTTGGAGTTGAAAGGCCTTGGCCCACCCCTCGGCACTTCCGCCCCCTGATGGACAGAGCACCCAGCACACCCACCCCTGCCAGGTACAGGGCACTCCTGCACCTGCAGAAGAGCTCCTCCAGGCACAGCTGCTGAGAAAACTAAAGGAGGCTGGACTGGGAAGACTGCAGACATCCACGCAGGAACCAGGACTGCTGCTCAATGCTTTCTAGGCACAGAAATGGTTCTAAGCTCAGGATTCTCACCACAGGCTGGGGGAAGGGGCAGGTTACATTATTAGTTATCTAGGGGTCCGGGGAACATTTGTTCTTTGAAAATGCAAATTTGATATTTCAAAATAAATTTACATTTGGAGAGGGCACAGCCTTTCTGCCAAGGGTATTTTTGAAAACCTCAAAAAAAAAAAAAAAAAATCTCAGACAGTGATTCTGTGGTTGGTCATATTTCCATCCCCTCCCACTTTTTTTTTTTTTTTTTTTTGACATTCTCACTCTGTCACTCAGGCTGGAGTGCAGTGGTGCAATCCCAGCTCACTGCAATCTCTGCCTCCCAAGTTCAAGCGATTCTCCTGCCTCGGCATCCTGAGTAGCTGGGACTACAGGTGGGCACTACCACACCAGGCTAATTTTTGTACTTTTATTAGAGACAGGGCCTCACCATGTCCAGGCTGGTCTCGGACTCCTGGCCTCAGGTGATCCACCCGCCCCGGCCTCCCAAAGTGCTGGGATTACAGGCATGAGCCACCACACCCAGCCCATGTTTCCCTTTTTAATTTGGCTGCCAGGAAGCTGTGGACAAACTGTTCAAAACTGATCTCCCCCTTTTAAAATTTGCCATAGAGCTTTTGATTACTATCTGAATTTAATTATAACAGTACTACTGTTTGTGAAGCCAAATTCTCAAAGATAGATAAAAGGCATTAAATAAAACCACGTTTACATTAAAAAAAAAAAGCAGTCAATCCAGGCCCCAGCTGGAGAGAAATTTTTGAATGGAGGACTCTCCTAGCAAGCCCGGAAGCAGCGCCCTCCCGACCCGGTGGGGCTGTGAACTTCATCCCAAGGGATGAAGGCTTTGCTTTGGCTCACAGAGTCAAATTATAACCAGCTCCCAGGGCCAGTGCTGCACCTCGGGGAGGCTGGAAGTGGAATCGCCTCTGTAGAGACTCTCAACGCAGCAGACAAGGTGGGGGAGAAAGGAGGCATTTGACACAGGAGAGGAAATTAATTGCGGGCAAGATGTTGACCCCAGAAATCAGGAGAAACCCCTCCTCTGTCTGGGGACACCCCAGTGACCACGGTGCTCAGAGTGGGCTTCTGCACCAGGTGCCTGGCAGCGGCGGGGCCTGGTTTGCTGGGCTTCCCTCCCAGAGCCTGTGTGCCATCTCATGATCCGGCAGAGCCACCCCAGCTGGGAAAGGCCACCTGGCTGCCCACTCCTTGCTGATACTTGGCCCCACACCTGCAAACCCCTGACACTTCGGCTGGCATTTGTTTTTTTTCCACACTAACAACCTCCTGCTTCCTAATTCAGGAAGCATCTTGAGCCCCCACTGCATACACACCTGGCCTAACTCCTGGGAGGTGGAGCAGTGAACCCAAGGGCCCCTGACTGCGGGAGCCCGGAGCTCAGTGTTCCTCTACAGGTTCCCCCAAAGGGGTCCCGGGTGGCCTGGAATTAACAGAGGGGAGCTGAGGGGAGTGAATGCCAGAGGGAGAGGACCTGAAGGAGACCTGGAAGGCTTCCTGGAGGAGGTATGCTAGAGCTGGGCAAAAGCAGCAGTGGACATTAGATGGGAAAGCAGCAGTGGGCATTAGATGGGAAAGCAGCAGTGGACATTAGATGGGAAAGCAGCAGTGGGCATTAGATGGGAAAGCAGCAGTGGGCATTAGATGGGAAAGCAGGAGTGGCACATGGGGTGGAGGAAACAGCCAGTGCAAAGACTTGGCGGCACGAGAGCCCCAGAAACTTCCATCCCTGGCTGCCTCCTCACATTTATTCACAGCGTTCACTGCAGCTGCTGCTGCTCTGGGTCCCCGTTTCTCAGGCTCTGTCCCTGGGCACTGCAGAGACCAAGCCCCCAACTCAGCACCCCCCCCACAACCAGCAAGCCCCCACTTAGCATGCCCTATACTCAGCACCGCCCCCACTCAGCGCCCCCCAGCACCTCCCACTCAGTACGCCCCACTCAGCGCCCCCCAACTCAGCATACCCACCCATTTAGCACCCCCCACTCAGCATGCCCCCACTCAACATGCCCCCACTCAGCGCCCACTTACTTCGGAGGCCCTGGGACAGGTGCGCGCTGCTGCCCACCGATACGGGCAGGGAACACTTCTGGCACATGCATTCCTTCCCGTTGAAGGTCACTCGGTCCCCGGGGGGGAAGGGCAGCCTGAAACAAGAGAGCTCGTTACCAGCCAGGCCCACCTTCTGGCTCCTCTCTGGGGGAGCCCTGTCCCAGTGCAGGAGACCAGGGCCAATGTCTCCCCAGGATCTTGCAAAGGTACCACTCACAGGCTGAGGAAATGCAGGGCCTCTCCACCCAGGCACTGCTGCGTCCCCGCAATAGGACCTCAGGTAGTCATCGACACCTGAGCCTCAGTTTCCTCATCTGTACCAACAGGCAGAATCATAGCACCTAAGGTGGTGGTGAGGACCAGCTGAGGGCCAGCCCAGTGCTTGGCACATGGCAACATGCCAGGCTGCCTGGGCCACCGGCCCCTCCAGCCCACCCTGCCTTCCCAGTCACATGGGATGCTTTCTTCATATCAGCTCAGCAGCAAGGACAGCAGCTATGTACACTGGGCATCTCCTGTGTGCCCAGGGCCCACTACTGTGATAGGTGCCCTATAGGCATGCCTCATGAGTAACCCCACGCCATTCAACCTAGTTGGTATTTGCTTCATGTTTTCTCTATAGGTGAGAAACTGGAGTTCAGAGAGGATATGTAACTTTTCCAAGGACACATGGATACGAGTCAGAACCAGAATCAAACCAAGACCTGTCTGGCTTCAAAGTTCCACGATTTAACTACCTGGGCCTCTAAGAGGGCAGTGTCTATAAAAGCACACCTCGTAGACAGGAAGATGCTGGACAATCGGATCCTGTCTTTATTTAAAATTCTGCCATTTTGCTCTAAATGGATTTTTTGCATTTATTTCAATTTTTTAAAGTATCGCATTAAAATATCATTTACTTGACTACTGAGTTTTTTGGCACCACCTTAAAGTCCGCCTCCGCAGCAAGTGCCTGGAGTGAGGCCAGGTGAGGGACCGCAGAGAGCTGGCCCATCCTCCTGCAGTCCGGGGATGTCTTTGGAAACTGAGGGATGGCTCAAGTAGCTGCATCTAGCAAGCTAAGGCCAGGCCACCTGCAGACAGGGCCAGAAGCACAGCCTGAGAATGCTGCCATGTCTGCCCTCGACACCTGCTGCCATCAAGCTCCCAGCAGCCACCGGGCCACTTTCCTTCCCCATCTGAGCCTGGCCAGAGAACCAGGTGCTTTTCAGGCAGAAGCCCGTGGAAGTGTCAGACCACGGGTGCCCCTTAAATCCCCTGTGTGGCCAGGCGCAGTGGCTCACACTTGTAATCCCAGCACTTTGGGAGGCTGAGGTGGGAGGATCACTTGAGGTCAGGAGTTTGAGACCAGCCTGGCCAGTGTGGTGAAACCTGGTCTCTACTAAAAACACAAAAATTAGCCATGCATGGTGGTGTGCACTTGTAATCCCAGCTACTTGAGAGGGTGAGGCAGGACAATCGCTTGAACTGGG
This sequence comes from Homo sapiens, assembly GCF_000001405.40. Lineage (NCBI taxonomy): Eukaryota > Metazoa > Chordata > Mammalia > Primates > Hominidae > Homo > Homo sapiens. The sequence goes on from NC_000004.12 coordinate 8,089,662, forward strand.
AGGTGGAGGTTGCAGTGAGCCGAGATTGCACCACTGCACTCCAGGCTGGGCCAAAGAGTGAGATTCATATCAAAAAAAAAAAAAAAAAAAAAAAGCCCCTGCTCAAACACCTTTGTTGGGTTCTGTCTGTCTTCTTCAGGGAGGAGACAATGCATTCATTGTTGAATGAATGAATGGGTGAATAAGTGAAGGACTGAAGCTCTCCTAGGGGGCCACGCTTGGTCTACTCTCTCCTGCCAAGTCCCTGCCTGGCCTCCCACCAGGGCCTGCCAGATGGAGCTCCCTGAAGCTGGAGACCACCGTGCCTTCCCCTGCTGAAGGCCTGCCAGAGCACCCACCTGTGGGGCTGGCATCCAGTACCCTCGGTCCATGCAGCAGGTGTGTTCCTGGGTTCCCACTGGGCCAGTACCTTCTGGGGATCCAGGACAAATACAGGCTGAGCTGAACCCAGGGCCCTCCCCTCCCATCCACTGCCCAGGAGCCTGCACGGCTCTCCCATGCCCGTGTTGCCACCGTGTCAATGCTATGGTCTGCTGCCACCTGGGTCTCCGTGTCTTGCACCCTCCCTGTCATGGGGGATCTTGAGACAGAGTGGGAGCCCCTCCCCATCCCTGGATGTGCTTGGAGCGAATCTCTGGCTGTTTAACCTGGAACAAGCTACTCAGCCTCTCTGAAACACTTCCCACCTATAAAGTAGGACTGAGAATGCCTGCATTCCAGGTTTGTATTCATACATTCATTCGCCCACAGGACATCCTGCCTAGGAAGCTCTGGCTTATTGCCTGGACCTGGGAGGGGCTGACTCAATGGCAGCTATGATTGTATTTCCTCAACTTTATTGAGGTACCTTGTGACAAATGTACACACCCATATAACTGCCACCACCACAGTCATGATATGGAACATTCTTTCCACTGCAAAAAGCCCCCTGTGGCTGTCTACAATCATGCTGCTCACGACCTCTGGCCCCAGGCACCGTGATCATCATTGTCACCATGGCCCCAGACACTGTGATTGTCACTGTCACCGTGCATTAGATTTGTCTTTTTTTTTATTTTTATTTTTTTGCGGGATCACAGAGCACATAGTCTTTGGTGTTTTGTCAGCCTCGCGTTTTTCAGGTCCACTCATGCTATTTGCCAATATCGATCCTTTGTTCCTTTGAGGACGGAGCAGTGTCCATCCCATGGATAAATCACAACAGCCATTCCATGCAACTGCTGGGGGCTTCTGGGCTGTTTCCAGTTTGGGACTGTTACAAATAAAGCTGTTAAGCACGGTTGCCAACCAGCCTCTCCGCGGACACAAGCTTTCCTTTTGGGTGAATACAGAAGATGGATTTTCTGATCATATGCTAAGTGTGTGTTTAACTTTATCAGAAACTGCCAAGCCGGTTTCCATGGCCGTTGTGCCATTCTGCATTCACAACGGCACTGGAGGGACACTCCTCTGGCTTCACATCCTCACCAGCACTTGCCATGGTCCATCTTTTCAGTTTTAGTCGTTCTCATGGAGGCGTAATGGCATTTCTTTGTAGTTTTCATTTGCATACCCCTGTGACTAATGATGGTAAACACTGTTTCATGTATGCTGTTGGTCATTTGTGTGTATATATATAATTATATATAATATTATATATTATATTATATATATATAATTATATATATATTATATATATAATATATATATAATTATATATATATTATATTACATATAATTATATTATATATAATTATATGTAATATATAATTATATATTATATATTATATATAATTAATTATGTATTATATATAATTATATAATTATATATAATATATAATATTTTATATTTTATATATTTTGTATAAAATATAAAATATATATTATATATAAAATTATATATAATATTTATAATTATATATATTATATATAATTTTATATAAAATTATATATATAATTATATATATTATGTATAATTTTATATAAAATTATATATATAATTTTATATATTATATAATTATATATTATATAAAATTATATATAATTATATATTATATAATATACATAATATAATTATATAATATATATTATATTAATATGTATTATATATTAATATTATATATTTATTATGCATTTATATATTAATAATTATAGAATTAATATATTATATATTATATAATATATTATATAAATAATATAATATATTATTTATACAATATATTATATATACAATATATATTATAATATATAACATAATATATATAATATATTGTTATAATATATAATGTATATTATAATATATAATACATATTATAATATAGAATACATATTTTTATATATATTATAATATATAATATAATATATATATATTTTTTGAGACAGAGTCTTGCTCTGTCACCCAGGCTGGAGTGCACTGGCACAATGTTGGCTCACTGCAACCTCTGCCTCCTGGGTTCAAGTGATCCTCCTGCCTCAGCCTCCTGAGTAGCTGAGATTACAGGTGCCTGCCACTACACCTGGCTAATTTTTATATTTTTAGTAGAGATGGGGTTTCACCATGTTAGCCGGGCTGGTCTCGAACTCCTGACCTCAAGCAATCTGCCCACCTCAGCCTCCCAAAGTGCTGGGATTACAGGCGTGAGTCACCACACCTGGCCCATTTGTATATGTTCTTTAGTGAAGTGTGAAAGACAATAGAATCTCAGGACCCCAAACTCACTATGCCAAAGGGAAAGTTAAGCTGGGAACGGAATCATGCAAAAACTGCTTTCCTTTTGTTTCCAGAGAACTGTAGTTTCACAACCCCATGTCACATGTAAAATGTAAAACAGAATGGCGTATGACAAATGTAAAATGTAGATTTACAGAGGGTTAGTCTTAACTGTTTCCTGGACTCCCTCTTTTCACATGTAAAACATAGATTTACTGAGGCTCTGATTAGCATATGAGATGTAACTATAAAGACTGTAGCTATCTGCCTCATGGTCCTCCTCCTCCTCCCCTTTTTTCTCTCCTTCTTGCTCTTTCCCCCTTAAACACTGAAGTGTCCCAAACCCCCTTTGGAAAAAGCACAGCTCACAAGTGCTCCTGCGGCTTGCGTTTGACCCCAGGCACATCCTCAACCTTGGCTAAATAAACCTCTGTTGATTGAGCCCTGCCTCAATCTCTTTTTGGTTTATAGTCATCTCTATTAAACTCTTTTGTCCATTTTTTTAAAAGTTTTTTTGAGATGGAGGCTCCCTCTGTCACCCAGGCTGGAGTGCAGTGGCGTGATCTTGGCTCTCTGCAACCTCCACTTCCTGGGTTCAAGAGATTCTCCTGCCTCGGCCTTCCAAGTAGCTGGGATTACAGGCGCCCACCACCACGCCTGGCTCATTTTTGTATTTTTAGTAGAGACAGGGTTTCACCACGTTGGCCAGGCTGGTCTCAAACTCCTGAGCTCAAGTGATCTACCCGGCTCAGCCTCCCAAAGTGCTGGGATTACAGGCGTGAGCCACCGCACCCAGTCTCTTTTGCCCATTTTTAACAGTATTTTGGGTCTTATTATTATTGAGTTGTGAATAATCAATATTTTGTAAATAATCAATATTTTGTAGAGCAGCGCTTCATCAGACACAGGTGTGAGGGTGCAACCTTGAACTCATATCTAACATGGCACTCTCTGCCAGCTGATGGCTTGCTTTTGCAGTTTCTCATTTTGCGTTTCCTTCAGCCCACAAAACTTCCTGTAAGTTTATTTTGGTGCAGATTGGCTGGCAACAAATTCTCTTAGCTTTGCGTGTCTAAAAAAGTCTTTATCGTGCCTTCGTTTCTCAGTAACAGTTTTGACACTTTATTCACATACAATGTAATGTACAATCCAGCAGCTTTTAGCATATTCAGAGTTGTGCAACTATCACCATAATCAATTTTAGAACAATCTTATCACCCACAAAAGAAATCCCATACCCTTTAGCAGTCTTGCCTTCATTTTTGGAAGTTTTTTGTGCTTAGTCTAGAATTATTTGATAGATATTTTTCTCAGCATTTAAGAAATGTTGTTCTATTGTCTCCTAGCATACATAGTTTCTGATGAGAAGTCTGGAGTCATACATTTGTTCCTCTGTAAATAATTTTTGTTCGTCTGGCTGCTTTTAAGATTTCTTTTTAGCACTGGTTTTCAGCAATTTGATTAGGATAGATTTGGTAGATTCTGATGTGTTTATTCTGCTTGAAGTTCATTGAAATACTTGGATTCATTTGTTTATAGTTTTCACCAAATTTGCAAAATGTTCAGCAATTACTTCCTTAAACACTTGTTGGTCTCCCTTATCCACCTAGATAGAGAAATAGATCTACATCCACAGATCCCTGAGGTGCTTTTTGTGTTTTTCAGTTTTTTTGTCTCTCTGCTTAAGTTTGAATTCTTTTTAATGCTGTGTCTTCAAGTTTACTGATATTTTCTTCCAAAATACCCAATCTACTGCTAATTCCTTTCAGGAGATTTTCCACTTCGGCCATTGTATTTTTCATTTCTACAAGTACCAGTGGTTTCTTTTTATATCTTCCATAACTCTCCTATTATGTTCATATTTCCTTAAAATACTTAAACATATTTACAGTAGCTATTTTAAAGTCATTATTTGCTCATTTCACCATTCCTGTCATTTCTGGGCCTATTGCTGCAGCAGGACAAGCCACAGACAAAACTCCTCAAACACCGAGTTAAAGAAGGAAGGTCTTTATTCAGCCAGGAGCTTCGGCAAGACTCACGTCTCCAACAACTGAGCTCTCCAAGTGCGCAATTCCTGTCCCTTTTAAGGGCTCACAACTCTAAGGGGGTCTGCATGAGAAGGTCGTGATCGATCGAGCAAGCAGGGTATACGTGACTGGGGGCTGCATGCACCGGTAATCAGACAGGAACAGAACAGGACAGGGATTTTCACAGTGCTTTTCTATACAATATCTGGAATCTACAGATAACATAACTGATTAGGTCAGGGGTCGATCTTTAACTACCAGGCCCAGGGTGTGGTGCCGGGCTGTCTGCCCGTGTATTTCATTTCTGCCTTTTAGGTTTTACTTCTTCTTTCTTTGGAGGCAGAAATTGGGCATAAGACAATATGAGGGGTGGTCTCCTCCCTTATTGCTACTGACTTTTCTTCTGGCTTTGGGTCACATTTTCTAGTTTCCTTTTATTAGGTTGCTGATTTTTACTATTACTTTTAATGACAAAACCCACAATTACTTTTGCAACAACCTAATACAACTAGTAATTCCTTCCCTCCCTCCCTCTCTTCCCTCCCTCCCTCCCTTTCTTCCTTTCCTCCCTTCCTTTCCCTCCCTCCTTCCCTCCCTTTCTTTCTCTTTCTTTTCCTTTTTCTTTCTTTCTCTCTCTCTCTCCCCCCACTTCTTTCCTTCCTTCCTTCTTTCTTTCTTTCTCTTTCTTTCTTTCTCTCTCTCTCTCTTTCTTTCTTTCTCTTTCCTTTTCTTTCTTTTCTTTCTACAGGGTCTTGCTCTGTTACCCAGGCTGGAGAGCAGTGGTGCAATCATAGCTCACTGCAGCCTCAAAATCCTGGGCCCAAGCAATCCTCCCATCTCAGCCTCTCACATAGCTGGGACTACAGGCATGCACCACCATGCCAGACTAATTTTTAAATTTTTTGTAGAGACAGGGTCTTGCTATGTCACGCAGGCTGATCTTGAACTCCCAGCCTCAAGTGATCCTCGCACCTCGGCCTCCCAAAGTGGAGGGATTATAGGCATGAGCTGCTGTGCCCAGCCATCACCAGCAAGTTTTGATTGGACACTGAACACTTATAAATTTTACGTTGTTGAATGCTGGATTTTTAAAAATCTTCTTGTGAAAAGTGTTGGGCTTTGCTCTGGCAGACAGTTTATTTGCAGATCAACATGATCTTTTTTAAAAAATAATTAATTAAAAAATAGAGATGGGGTCTCTTTATGTTTCCCAAGCTGGTCTCCAGTTCCTGGTCTCAAGCGATCCTCCTACCTTGGCCTCCCGAGGTGCTGGATTACGGGTGTGAGCCTCCGCGCCCAGCCAGCATGATCTTCCTGAGGCTCGTTTTGTGCTTTGGTAGAGCAGGTTCACTGTAGCCTTCGCTCTAGGGCTGTTTTGTCTTCTGGATGAGACGCGACCTTTTGGTGTCCACACTGCATGCCCTGGGGTTCGACGAGGAATCTCTGCCCTGGACAGGACTCAGATGTTTCCCAAATCCAGGAATTGTTTCGCTTGCAGCAACCTGGTCATTCTCTGCCCCACTGTGTGAAATTCCTCTGCGACTACAGGGCTTCATATTTGGTCAAAGACTCCAAGGTACCTGTGCAGTTCGGCGCTCTTGCTCTGTGGTGCCCCTGCCCCTCTGGTATTCTGCCCAACATGTTCCAGCTGTGCCTGCCTTTCTAGTCACTGTCTCCTGCCTCAGGACGATGCCACGCTCCCCTTGGGTCTCTCCCCCAACCCCACGCTATCCTTCCGGAAACTGCCTCCAGGAAGGAAGCTGGGGCAATCACAGGCCTCGCCTCGCTTAACTTGTTCCTTTCTCTTAGTTCTGAGCTCCAGAGTCTGGAAATGGTTGTTTCATACATTTTGTCCAGTTTCCTAGTTGTTGATGGTGGCTGGACAAGTCCAGCTCCAGTGACTCCAATGCGACCAGGGCTGTCTGTTATTATTTTTTAAAATAATGGATTAACCAGAGGCGATCTTTCAAACCAACTGTGAGATGTCAACCCTCATCTCTAAGCCACGTACACAAAAATCAAACACTCGGATAATCCCTGGGAGAGAGAGGTCTGACTCAGGTCACGCTACGATGACACAGAGCGACTCTCCCTAGACATACTCCTTGTCATCGTCACCTCCTGTCCTTAGCATCCTCTGACGAAGGTTCCATTTCTGTCTCCGGCACACGCTGTAACCACAGGGAACTGCTTTGGAAACAACATTGAAAACGTCCCCTGCAAACACGGTGTGGTGAGACAGGGAGTACAGAACAGAAAACAAACTGTTTTTCATGTTTCTCTTCTTTGTTTTCTAGAAACAGAACATTTCCTCTGGGAGGAACGAGTCAGGGGCTGGGGAGGGAAGGGGGAGGCAGGGACCACGTAGGAAGGCTCCTGCTCAGCCCCAGGAGGTGCAGGCGGAGCGGGGCCGGTGCAGTCCTGTTGCCGGGATGAGGACCCAGTCTCCGCAGCCAGCACTTGCTGCATGCTTGCTCTGTGCCATGCACCAGACCCAAAGCGGGGCAGCCCACCCCTGCCCTCACGGAGCTCCCTGTGAGGAGGCCTCTGTATGCACCAAGACAGAAGGGTGCAGACTGTGGGGCCTGGAACAGCCTCGCTGCAGGATGCAGAGGGCGGGTCACGGGAGGGAGCAGGAGGAAGAAGGGAAGGGAGGGAGGGAAGGAGAAAAGGCCCAGAGAGGCAGGGGAAGCAGAGGCCAGGTGCCCACTTACTCACCGGCAGACGGCACACACGAAGCAGTCGGGGTGGTAGGTCTTGCCCAGCGCCGACACCACCTCACCCTCAATGAACTGGTCGCAGCTGAAGCAGCGGGTGCCGTAGAGCCTCTGGTAGTCCAGCGTGCAGATGTACTCGCCCTGCCGCACGAAGAAGCCGCCCTCGGCCAGGTCGCAGCCACATGCTGGGGGAGGACGGGCGAGGTGGCGTTAGCGGCAGAGGGGACCATCTCCACGTCCCCCAGGCCCGAGGTGCACCCCCCTCCACACACACACCACCACCTGACACAGGCACTGAGGCCTCGGCACACACTTGGGGTGGCTTGCTCAACTCTCGGCGGGCCGGGCTCCTGGGACAGACTCCAGCTCTGGCCCCTGGCCTGGTGGTGAGTGGACTTTCCTTACAGAAGCTTGGGAAAGGGCACTGACCGGGACAAGAGCCAGGCTCTCTTGAGGGGCTGCCCAGCCTCCCACCCTCGCTAGAGTGCCCCCAGCCTCTGTGACCCCGCCAGGGATGGTCCCTGAGCCCCTGCTGTCCTCCAGTGGGCTGTTTCCAGCACTGGGCATACAGATCAGGAAGGGGCTAATGCCTGATCACCTACTGTGTGCTAGACTCTGTGCTGGGGGCCGAAGGTTCCCAGGAGGACAGACCAGGTCCTTGTGGTCGGTGCCTCCAGCCCACCTCTAGGCTTCCCACCCCCTCCCCCACTCCTCTGGGTCTCCATGCCCTCATGGCCCTCGACGCCTGTCTCCCCACAGTGTGAACAAGGCCAGACCTGCAGGAGGAGAGAGCCTGTGGACTCCTGAAAGGGAAGCACTTTGTCTCTTTTCCCAACACACACCCGGCCCAGGAAGCTGAAGCCCTGGAGCTCCATGGAGGGCTGAGGGATCTCTGCCAGGTAGGGAAGGGAACACTCGCCCTCAGGACAACTTGCTGGTCACCACCAGCTCAGAGGCCCCCAGTCCATGTCCTGAGACCCGATCGCATTCCTCCCACAAGCTTCCCCTCCAGTGCCCAGGCCATGCATGGTTTCAGAGGGAGCAGCCCACAGCCTCCCCTGACCCAGCTGGCCCAGGCCCTCCCTGCTAGAGTCACAGAGGAACCCCCTGCAGCCCCAGCCCCTCTGGCCTGGTCAGTCCTGGGTCCTGCCTGCTGGGTCAATGCAGCTTACAGCCACCAAGGAAGGGCTTTGAGAAACCATGTAGCCCTCATACATTTTAAACCTGACATCTAAAAGTTTTCATCACAATGTTAATTGCTTGCAAAGGACGTCGTTTCTGCACATTGTGAATATGGGCACCTTTAAAGTTAACTGTTACATCATTCCTTTGAGGGCATCCAGTGGGATATCGAGGCCAAAGCAAGACCCTCAACATTTGCCTACAAAACCCCCAACAGAGCTCTGGGAACAAACTGGCTGGAAGCACCAGAGTGGCTGGAACGCCTACATTCCAGGGTTTACTTGTCTCCATTTCTCCAAAGAGATGTTAGCTCTTCTGATATGGTGAGACGTCAACCGAGCAGCTTAGATTCCAGATGCCGGAGCTGCCGGGATTCGAATCCCAGCTCTACCCGCGTAGTGTGCTGTGTGTCCCTGGGCAAGTTCCTTAACCTCTCTGGGCCTCCTTGTCCTCATCTAGCACACAGAACCTACTTCAGAGGGGTACACGGCAGCACAGATGAGCATCCCGTGAGCCAGTGCGATGTGAGACCTGAGTCCTGCCTGGCTCAGTGTCGAGGCCCTGGCTGCTGCTCTAATGGCTGCTCCTAAGAGGCCCAAGGCCAGAGATGCTGATTCTGAATTCTGTCTCAAGGTAAAAATGAAAACTCAGAACGAAATCCCATCTAGATGGTCTGGGAGGGATGAGGGCATGGTATAAGATGCCTGCACTCGCTCCTCCTGGGCGTTCCGGGGCGTTTATGAGAAACAGCCAAGGACTCCCAGCATCAAAGGGAAGCTCCAGACAGGTGGGCCTCAGCCCTGGGCCAGGGTGCCCTTGCTCTGCACTCCATGCTCTGGCTCATGAAAATCCAGAAGGAAACCTGGGCTGAGGATGAAAATGCTTTGTCCGATCTTGCACCATAGCGTAGACCAAGCAAATACATCCCAACTGGGGAGAAGCAGAGACTTGGGGGCCTCACTTTGGAGCATTATAGTATTCTGATGTCAGCGCCACCTGCCCCAAGACAGTAGCTGGATGGTGACTGGGCTCACAGCACTCATGGCTCTGGCATTTCTGTATTTCTCTATTCTTCTTAAAGACGTGACGGCGTGAGCTGTTCCTTGAAGGAGAAACATGTGGCAGTGGTTCTGGTGCCCCACTCCAGTGCTGTGAGTCCACTCCCGGGAGCACCAGGCAAGTGAGCATGTCCAGCCCCAGCCGTTATCTGGGAGGTTGCTGGTCAGATTCTAGCTGTCCTGAGTATGCCAAGGTCACCACAAGGTGGTTAAAACCCAGACCTCTGACTGGGCACGGTGGCTCACACCCGTAATCCCAACACTTTGGGAGGCTGAGGCAGGCAGATCACGAGGTCAGGAGATCGAGACCATCCTGGCTAACATGGTGAAACCCCGTCTCTACTAAAAATACAAAAAATTATCCGGGCGTGGTGGCGGGCGCCTGTAGTCCTGGCTACTCGGGAGGCTGAGGCAGGAGGATGGCATGAACCTGGGAGGCGGAGCTTGCAGTGATCCGAGATCGCGCCACTGCACTCCAGCCTGGGTGACAGAGTGAGACTCCATCTCAAAACAAAAAACAAAACAGCAACAACAAAAACCCCAGGCCTCTGTGTGCTAAAAATAAAATGTTCAAGTTCCCTGGTCATTTTAGAAATCCTTATGGAGACAACACATTGTTCTTATATTGCATTTTGCAATTTATCAAACTAGCACAGACACTGGCAGGAGGCAGGGCAGGTGGGGGTGATGGGAGCACCATCCTTTGGGCACACGCTGTGTTCATTTACGAGAAACAGGCAGGAGAGGGTGGCGGCTGGGGGGAAAAGATGAATCAACATCACTTTCTGGAATATCATTTGGCACTGACTCTAAGGAATGTGAAAACTTTTCCCGCCCTTTGACCCAGCAGTCCCTCTCCTGGGATTGTCCCAAGGAAATGACCATGACTGTCACAGAAATTCAGTTGCAACAATGTTCCCTGCATTATGGGTACAGTAAAATGTTGTAAATAGATGCCTGGGCTTTAGAGTCAGGCAGCCTGGGCTTGAGTCCTTGCTTCTTCCACTTCCCAGCTGTGTGACCTTGACCAAGTTACTTACCCTCTCTGAACCTCAGAGTCCTCATGTGTAAAATAGAGTTAGCAATACTGATCTTGCATGGTGGCTGTAAGAAATCAGTGAGATGAAGGCAGGGTGCGGTGGCTCACACCTGAAATACCAGCACTTTGGGAGGCTGAGGGGGGCGGATCACCTGAGGTCAGGAGTTCGAGACTAGCCTGACCAACATGGAGGAACCTCGACTCCACTAAAAATGCAAAACTAGCTGGGTGTGGTGGTGCATGCCTATAATCCCAGCTACTCGGGAGGCTGCGGCAGGAGAATCACTTGAACCTGGAAGGCGGAGATTGCGGTGAGCCAAGATCGCGCCACTGCACTCCAGCCTGGGCAACAAGAATGAAACTCCATCTCAGGAAAAAAAAAAAAAAAAAAAAAAAGAAATCAATGAGATGAGGTCTAACAAGCTGATTAGCCCAGTGTCTGCCTGGAAATGATGTTGACATCCAACAGTGCAAGAGTGACGACTACATTTACTGTGGGGCATGCATTGGAAGGAATTTGGGAGGATATTGACATGAATGTGAGGAATCTGCATGGTGAGGAAAGTGCCCACACACTAAATTGAAGCGAACGAATCAGGTATACGGCATGCCTTCACATTTTAAAGAGACTCAGACCAGGGGAAAGCTGGGAGGAATATACACCCAGATGGGAACAGGGACCACCCAAGGTGCTGTCCACCCGCTGCTATTTTTCTATATTGGTGAGTGGAAGACGGAGATGCCAATTCACATCAAAACACAAGAAAACAGAGAACCCCAGGGGCCTGAGTGAGCCTTAACCTGGGCGAGGGCTCCAGGGCTGGCCGGGCATCGCAGCTCCGAGTCTTGGCCCAGCCCGGCTCAGGATCCCCTTCTGTGAATAACAGGGGGATGAGGCAGACGTCATCTGAGATTCCTCCTGCCGGGACTTTCACAACTCTGCCATGTGATCTTGACACTCGTGCCCTGTGCGGCTTAGGCTGTGCGGAACAAGGAGTGCCCTGGGCCAGGGCCAAGGCCCACCTGTCTAGAGCTTCCCTTTGATGCTGGAGGCCCAGGGCTGTTTCTCATAAACGCCTGGAACGCCCAGGAAGCACGTGTGCAGGCATCTTGCACCATTCCTTCATTCCTCCCAGACCGCCTAGAACAGGCGGCTATTTATAGTCCCAGATGGATGCATCCTCAGGGACAACTCCACCTGCCTTACATGCGCAGCTCACGGGCTCTCCTCCCGGACACACGTCCTTCCCTCCCTGCCTGTTTTCTTGGCTCTTGCTAACATTGTGGACTTGCTCAGTTCCACTTCCAATAGGACCAGAAAATGCCCGCTCTCCCGAGGGCACACATGGGTGTGGCCTCATCTTTTCATCATTGCATTAACAACACATCACAGTTAAAACATATTCCCAAAGCACAGAGCTCAGCCACCCTTTGAAGGCCAAGTAAACCAGATTTGTTTTTCCAGGCATTCTGTGCTATGCGTTTGACGTATTTATGTTCTGCATGTATTCCCATTTGTAGAGTAAGGACAGAGCCAGCTGGATCTCAAAGACATCCAGAATGAGACACCTTCACACCCCTCATCCCAGCCGCCATTGGCTCCAGCCTAGGTGCCCGCACCTGCCTCTAGCCTCCTCCCGACTCCCACCCTGGCCTCCCTGCACAAGCAAGCACCCAGAGATCCATGGAAACCTACAAGGATGGAGCAGGACCCTCCTCTGTGTTTCCTTGCTAGTGTCAAAGCCACGGTCTTTGCAGGGATGTAGAGGCTCTATCTCCCTAATCCCCTTGGTCATTCTGCTTCAGCCACATGGGCCTCCTGCTGTTTCCCAAGCCTGCCTGCTTCCGGGTCTCTGCACTGGCTGTTCCCTCTGGTGGGAATGCTCTTCCCTCATTAACTTCCTCACCTCCTTCCACCAGGCTTTGCCCAAAGGTCACCTCCTCCGTGAGGCCCAGCCTGACCACCCAGTTTGCATCTTTCCTTCCCTAGCAGGGCTCACTTTCTAGCACATGATGAAATTTGCTTATTTATTCTTTATCATGTTTATTATCTGTCTCCTTGCATTAGACCTGGTCCCCATCCCCATAACGGGATGTCTGTCTTGTTCATGGCTATCTCCCAAATACCCTGAACAGTGCCTGGCACATAGTAGGTGCTCAATAAATAGTTATTGAATGACTTTTACTTAGAAAAACTGGGTTGAGACACCTGCCTAAGATCCACATGAGCTGTGGGTGGCAGAGGTGGAATTCGAATGCCCAAGCCTGGGGCAGCCACGGACAAGAGGATAATCATATGATTTCACAGATTTTCCCAGGTAAACTGAGGCACAAGTAAGTGCCTGGGTAGTGGGAACCCAACACAGTAGGAGCTCTTGAATTGTCTTCCCTGCTAACAGATCCTGCTTTGGCTCAACTGGTAATGTGCCCACCTGAGGACGGCCATGATTGGGCTAAGTCAGCCACGAGCCCCCCGTTCCTCTTTGCCGGTGGGGGTGAACGTGTGACCGAGTTCTGGCCAATGAGTCATATGGGGAGTCTATGGGGACTTCAGGAAAGGGTTCTCCTCCCTAATGAGAGGGAGGGTTATGCGAGGAGACAGGCTTTGCCTGTGCACATCTCCAGGCTGCATGCCATGCGGTGAGAACGTGATGTTGGAGCAACGGCAGCCATCTGAGACCATGAGGAGAGGCACTGCTGACACGCACAGGGTGCAGTGTGGGAGAGGGAACATTTGGGCATCCATCATGACCCTGGTGAGTTGTTTAATTAGCCAGCCCTGGGGTAGGGGTGTGGGGCTACCTCCAGACTTCGTGTTAAGATGACAAATATCCATGTTGGATATTTATGAGTTGGGTCTTCTTTTTATTCATCCCAAAGCACCCTCAATGATTCATACGCTGCACTCTCATGAGAGCCTGGAGAGAAGATTAATGCAAGACTGCAAGGTCCTCATGCTTAAACAAGTGCAGCTCATTTGAAAGCTTGCAGGAAATCGTAGTTACTCCATGCCATTCTCCAGCACAGAGGCCACCCACTGAAGGCAGAGCTTTCCCAGGAGAAGGGGTGGTCACTGCCCTGGCTGCCACATCTGCAGGGCCAACAGGCCTGGCACAGGTGCCTGGCACAGAGTGAGACTCTAACTGGCTGTGGGTGGGTATGTGGTGGATCTTGGCACTGGGCCTGCCCTCAGACCCCTGCTACTGCTGGAGTCCATGGTCACTAATCATCTTGGGTGATGGAGTGTGAGTCCCCAGCCCTGGGTCAGCCTGCCATTGACACTGTCTCATCCCATCGCCTGTCGCTGGCGAGGAAGAGGTTATGGTTATTCCCACATCCACTGAAGGAGGCTGAAATGGCCTGCCCAGGTGACAGAGGAGGGGGACCCGGGGCAGTTTCCGCCAGCTATGAGTCCGCTGGGTCACAGGAGGTGATGAGCTTGACTCGGGTCTGATGCATTTTGCTGCATGCCCAAGGTCTGTGCTTATGGAAATCCTTTCAAATAAAGTGCAAGCTTCCCCTTTGTCTTTTAAAATAGGCTTTTAAAAAGAGGCATCTAATGGATTTTGCTTTCCAGAAATGTGGCAAATGTATCTTCAGGGAGAGCTGAAAAAATTGCACCAGCTAAATCCCACGATGCCCTGGAAAGCCCTAATGAAAAGCATGAAATCCACTAGCTGCAGGGAGAGAAAGGCCAGGGTGGAGGCCACCCCTTCTCCCAGGCAATCGCTCCCTGGCGCTGACACGCCCCCTTTGCTTTGCAGCCTGGGCGGGGGATCCCGAGGCTCAGGAAGGCAGGTGGACCACCTGCTTGTTTTTGGAAATGTGGGAGGATGGAGGCCGGCCACACTCACACCCACAGCTCGTGCACTCACTCCCAGAAAACAAATCCTTCCCCGCGTGTGCCGGAGAGCGTGCTGTTCACTTCGTTGTTCTTCCAAAGTAGCCCCCAGAACTGCCATCCTGGGGGTGTCCCTGGGTCCCCCCATGAGGACTGGGCTTCACGCTGCCTTTGTCAGGGCAGTGGTATTGGGGTACCTGGGATGCCAGGGTGCTATGGGGAGAATTCACTGAGGGCTGAGCCAGGCTGTGGATGTACAGGGAATCCCTGGATCCAGGTGATTCTTGGGGCATCAAGTGCCCCCGGTGATGTCCCTGATAGTCACCCACGTCCTTGGACAGAGTCTCAGCATCTCTGAAGGTCGGGGCTGGGGTCTGCCTTAGCCCAAGGGATTCAGGGCACTCCCACTCCTGCCAGAAATGGTGCAGCCCCCTTGGGGTCCCAGGGCCAGTGGAGAGCTGGCTGAGCTCAGCGTCTTCCCTAAGTCACCGACCCCCTGCAGGGCTCCAAGTGCCGCGCTGTGGCCTCTGACCTCCTCCAGGGCCAGCGGCACCAGGGTCGGTTCTCAGATGGTCCCCTTTTAGCAGCAGAAGACTCTAGACCATTGGTTTTCAAGCTTCCTTTTCAAGCAACAGGACTCTACACACAGTCTTTAGACTGCGCCTGCAGACATGAACCGGACTAGTGGACAATGTCTGCACTCCGATGGGCAGCACTGGAGACAGCACCTGCTCCCCTCCTGCTCCCACTCACACCCAGGAGACCCTCAAGGCGCCTCCACAGAAACCCAGGAGGGAAGACCCTGGCCCAGGGCTGCAGACACGCCTGGAATGCAAACCCTGGGCAAGCTCCTCGCGCTTCCAGACCTCAGTGTCCCTCTTTCTGAAACACAGTCACATGTCTCCCTGGGCTGCTGGCGTCGGGAGGATTCCCTTCTGTCTGGAGCAGCCTTGCTTCTGCCAGGCAGATTTCTACTCCCGAGGTTCTAGCCAGCACGCCACCTCCTCTGCGAAGTCCTTTCTGGAGTCTTCGAAATCCTTCCCTGTGGGCATCCCCCCCTACACACATATACTTGGTTTTTACTATAAAAAGCCACCTTTTCAAATCGTGTTGCACACCTTACCTAACATTATCTCCCTCAGCAGACAGCGAATGTGTCCATGCTAAAGCTTGCGCCTTCCTGGTCTTTAGAACATTCAAGAGCCTGGCGCACAGCAGGGCCTCCTAGAGCCTTTGTGGAGCGGATGAATGCAGCCCGCAGCCATTGGATGGGGGCCGTGCAACGCCTGATGAAAATCATCATGCTCAATTATCGGCTTGTGGCACATTTCCTAGTTTTGTTTGCCCAGAAAAAAGCAAACCGTCAGCGCACTAGGGTTCATCGAGGGTCGTTATGGTTAAGCGAGTGTGAATCTCCAAATGGCCCAGGGGGCCGTCATACCGAACCCGCAGAAGGCAGGCAGGCACGGGGCCGCACACCGCAGCAGGGATTTGCAGTGTCCTTAATGTGATTCCTTTAAAACTGCAAACTCCTCGGGTCGACATCCATCAAATTGGTTTGATTTGCACATCCCTTCCTCCAGTGCTATTTTTAATCTATTTTTAGAAAATTAGCAAGGGCACATGCGTTATCTTTGTATAGGAAGGAGGAACAGGCTGGAGGGAGACTCGGCACAGGCCATCTCCGTTGGCCGGGCCCGGTTGGTGGGGCCTCACGTGATTTTTTTTTTGTTTTCCTTTTTTCTCAACTTTTCAGGATGATTGGAATTTAGTAGATTATTTACATTATTGGTTTATAGTCATAGAGAAATTGAAGTGATTTTAGTCTGGAGTAATGGTAGTGTTCGCAGTGCTACTTCGGGTGGGGGTCCCCGCGTGCCTGGGATCCAGCAAAGGTCCCGCGTGTCCCCCACTACTGAGTTCATGCGGCTGACCATGACCGTTTATTTACCTGTGTGGCTACAGTGCTCAGGTGGCCACCTTCCTCTGGCCGCAGGACCAGAATTCTCTGAGGCTGGGTGCAGCCACACGAGGACACCCCTAGGGACCTGGACCCTCATCCCCTGACCCTCCCCAATCTGGTGATTTCTCCATCACATCCACAAGTGACAAGGCTATGTTGAAAAGATCCCACTCTCCTCTGAAGATTCTGTATCTGGAGTGTTCTCCAGTATCCCAGGCCCAGGCAGAGCTTCCCAGGAGGCTTTGCGGGCCCAGGATCGCCGCTGGGAGGCCCGTTTCAGGGGCCACACTGCAGGGGACCGGGGGACACTCACCTTTACAGACGAAGCACTTGATGTGGAAGTACTTGTCCTGCACCCGCAGCACCTCGCCCTTGCACACATTCCCACACGTGTTGCACAGGATCGCCGTGCTGGGCGACTTCTCCAGCGGGCTGGGAGCAGCCTGGGGCTGCGACACTGTTGGGAAAGAGAGAAGAGCAGCGTTCAAGGGTGGATGTGTGAGGCACAAAGGTGAGCAAAGCAGGCGTGTGAGGACGCACAGCTGACCCTGCCAGCGGGCCCCGCACCCACCAGCACGAGCCGCACGGGGCATCGGGGTCGGTCTGTTGTCTCCTTTTGCCTGGGGACCCACAGGAGTCAGATTATGCAGGGGTTAGGGGCCAGAGGGAGAAGGTCATCTGGTCAAGCCCCAGTGTGGGCTCCTGTCTACAGTAGCCCCATGCAGGGAGGGGCCCGTGCTTCTCATCCACATGCACAACTGCGGCAATGAGGCCATCACCTCCCCACCTGGAAGATGGCCCAACCACTGCTGCCTTAACCTGGCACGACCTTACCCTCAGGGGTCTCAGGGACAAGGCACCCCTCTGTGAGCTCAGTAACCCTCAGCAGCAGGGACCAACATCCTCTCTTCTGCCAGTACAGCAGCCACGGTCCTCAGGGGAGCTCACTTCAAATTTCCTCTGGGTCCTGGGACATGGAGCTGAATATTGCTGCGGTCCCCTTAAATCTCCCTTAAAGCCACCACAGTACAGGACATTTAAGGAGTGGATGGATGGACAGGTCAGGATGGATGGTCACAGGGCCTGACTGTGGGGCTCCCGGGGACCGGGCAGGGGGACACACTCCTCATCCCCATCTTCCCAAAGCATCTGCAGAGACCAGCGCCCAGGACAGAGGGCCACGGCCCAGAAGCCTCAGGTCTGCCCTTTGAGGGGCTCCCAGTGGGCATTAGGGATGGCCAGGTGAGCAACAGTGACCACCAGGTGGCCGAGCTGGCATCGCTTTGAAGCTTGAGGAGGAGTTGGTAGATGGAGGTGCAGGATCTGGATGTGGAGCTCTGGCAGGCACAGAGCCAGCCACACAGGACCCGGGCAGGACCCAGCTGCCCGGACAAGTGGAGGCAAGTGCTGGCCTGTGAGAGTGAATCAGCGTGGGGACTGAAGGCTCAGACCCCAGGGCAGGCACAGGCGGTGGGCAGGAGGTTCTGTAGCTAGTGCTGCAGTCGGCAGAACAATGCTCCCAAGATGTCCCCTTTCTAATCCCCGGAACCTGTGCATATGCTTTCTGACATGGCCAGAGGGGCTTGCAGTTGTGACTAAGTTAAGGGCTTCGATGGGATATGATGTGATCGTCTAGCTGAGCCCAACATCATCACGGGGGCCTTAAAATCAGATCATTATGCGGCTGTGGCCAGAGGGAGGCGTGACTGTGGAAGAAGGTCAGGGAGATGACACATTGCTGGCTTTGAAGGCAGAGGAAGGGGCCACAAGCCAAGGAATGTGGGAGCCTTGGGAACTAGAAAAGGCAAGGAAAGGATTCTCCTCCAGAGTCCTCAGAAGAAACCAGCCCTTCTCACACCTTGATTTTAGCCCAGCAAGACCTGGTGGGCACCGTGACCTCTGGAACTGGAAGCTAATAAACTTGTGTTGTATTCAGTTTGTGGTCACTTGTTACAGAAGCCAGGGAAGGTAATGCAGTGGTCAACCTGTCAGATAGGTGGGGGACGCAGGGGCAGAGGCACCAAGCCCCTCCCCTCTGCATTCTGCCAGCCACTCCTTGTTTGGGAGTGAGAGCCACCAACAGCAAGGACCACCGCAGTGCGGCAGCCCAGGGCGGGCTTTCACTCGGCTAGGGCTGCGCCCCATGCCTTCTGCTCATGCCAAGTTCACCCCGAATGATCTCATTGACAGACTGAACACACAGACAATGGCCGGGCCCAGAGAAAGGCAGAGCTCAGACAACACCTGCAGCTGCCGGCCCAGGAGTCAAGTCCGGCCACGGTACCCAGCCGGGAAGCCAGCTGCATGGCAGACTCGCGGGGAGGCGACTACTCTCCCTCGACAACCAGGAGGTTAAACAATAACTCGGTCCCACATGGCCAGGACTTGACTCACAACTGATAGCCGTCCTAATTCGTGCCCCCGCTTTCCAGTTAGGATCATTTGGAGAAAGCCAAATACATCCCTAACCAATCACACGGGACGCCCCCCTTCTGGGAGCCGCCTCCAGTCCCCCGAGGCCGACAGCCTCCATGGGGGCTCACCAGGAGCCATCCTTTCCCCTCAGAGGCTTCCCAACCACTTGCCTGCCTGTGTGGGCAACTCCCTTGCCACAGCGGCTCTGAGAAAGTTGCCTCCACTTGTCCTCACGTCTTCCTTTATTTCCACAGCAGTCTAACGCCAGCTCCCCCTGTCTTGGTCTGGGTTCCCATGAAGCCGGCCTTGAGACCAGGCTGTGGGTGCGATGGTCTATTTCGGGGACCCCAG
This sequence comes from Homo sapiens, assembly GCF_000001405.40. NCBI lineage: Eukaryota > Metazoa > Chordata > Mammalia > Primates > Hominidae > Homo > Homo sapiens. The sequence goes on from NC_000004.12 coordinate 8,108,947, forward strand.
GCACCAGGCCAGAGCGAGGAGTGGGAAAGATGAAAGCTGGTGGCAGGTGTGTTGTTGAGCTGCTCCCCATGTGGGAGAGGGAACTCACTGGGGCCGTCCAGGAAACCCCGCGTAGCATGTCCCAGCTCATCCCGTGGAAGGAAGGGAGGCCGCGGCACTGGCCCCCCACCGCCTGTCCCCTGAGTGCAAGAGCTGCTCCAAGGCGGAACTCCCAGCCCCCTCTTCTGGTCTGCCTGGCGTATAGGCTGAGTGAGTTTCTGAGGCACAGAGCCAGGGGTGCTGCAGATGCCAGGGCTGGGCAGCCTGCAGGTGATGGGGCATGGCCCACCTGGTTGCAGTCGAAACCACAGGTGGGCCGAGGGATGTGGCACAGGCCCAGAAAACACCTGCCCCCCTTCATTTGAGGGCTAAGCGTATTCACGCACAGACGTACTCACTCACATCTATTTACCCAATTGCTAAATGCCAGCGCTGATTGAGCTCTGAGCCTGGAAGGTCTCCTCATCTCCCTGGTAAAAATCGAGTGACTGCATCTCAGACAGAGGAGGCCATTTCCCCATCCAGTTCCAACCTGCCCCTAAGCGTTCCCAGAACCCCACATCCCGGAAGCCACCGATCTGGCCACCCATCCTCGCCTAGGGTCCCTGCCCACGGATGGAACTGTGACAGGACAGCGCAAAGGAGGAACCTGGGTCATGCTGGGGCCGCAGGTCTTTCCAGGCCAGGGGTTCCAAACAGACCAAGGGCGGTGGGTATCAGCTGTCTGGGGATGAGGGAGAGGGGTTGGCCTGGGAAGCAGGCATGGGAAAGGAGATGAATGGCATGAAAAATAACTCAGCATCACCCTGGGCCTGCCTCCGGTTTTGCAAACTGGACGGGGCACAGCCCAGTGAGGGTCCCTGTGGGCTCAGTCTGCAGCCGCTGGAGGCCACCGTGGCCTTTCTCACTCTGGTTGAATCCACAGCAGGCTTGTCCCACGCGCCTTTTGCCTGCGGAGTCATTGTAGAAACCACCTCATCCGTTATTTAATAAAGATGGTGGGGAGGGTACAGCAGGTGAAGGCTTTCTGGGCTGGAATCGAAGCCTCCCAGTGCAGAACGAGGATTAGAATTGTGGACTGAACTTCAAATGGTGCCTCTCTCGGCCACGCATGGCCCAGGCCATGGGGGCCCCTGTAGGCTGCCACACGGGTGATGCACCCAGTCCACATCTGAGGCTCAGTCAGAGCTCACAGGGGTGGGGGCCGTGCATCTTCAAGACGCTTATGTTCTCATCTATTGGCAACAAAGAGAAAAATGCACAAGCGTCTCTTCATGATCCGACAAGGGAGAGGTTCACGCTGCTGGAATCTGGCCCAAATCCAGCCTGAGGGAAGTGTCAGCTTCAGATTCCCGGGGGACAGCGCGGGTGGTGGGGTCAGCTGGCCTGGGATGCAGGCTTAGCTGGCCTTCTGCATGCTGTGACCTCAGGTGAGGCCCTGAAACTCCTGGTCTTCTGTCTGTGTGTCTGTCTGTCTCTCCACCCAGGCATCCATCTTCTTCTTGTGTTACCTGGCCCCAAGGATGCCAGGACCATGAGCAATAATGTTCCCATAGCAACCAACCCAGCAAACAACAAGTGCTCAATACACAATTGTCATGGTTATTTTCAAGAACACTGGCCTGACATCACTGTTTCCAGGTGACTGGAAATATACTTGGTCGGGGGTGGCGGGGGTGGGGTGTGGGGGTGAGGGTTGAGGGAAGCTGCTAAGAGCATGGATTTGCTTGGAGGCCCCAATCTCGCCTGCTGGGGCCGCCTCCGAGGCGTCCGGGGGCTGCAGGGTCATGGCGGAGGCGCTGCCCTCTCGCGATGGGAGATAGACATTGCGCCGTGGGGACGCCGCTGCCTCCATGCAGGTGCCGCTCCTACAGGCTTCCCTCCAGCTGGCCCTTCCTGCCAGGCCCTGGGAACACAGGTAGGTAAGTGGGTATGCGCTTGCCTCCCAAGAGGGTTCATTCCTCACCTGGCTGCAGCTGCCAAATTGTGAGGACGGCTAGGGGGGCAACAGCCAAACCATGCAAAAGCAGGGGCCAAGTGGCATTCTCTGTTCCCCTAAACCTGGCCCAAAGTCAGCCACGTGTTTTACATTAAAAAGAGAAGTTTCAAGTGGTCCTTCAGCAGGTGAATGGATAAACGAGCTGGGGTGTATCCAGACGATGAAATATTATTCACCAACAAAAAGAAGCATGCCATCACACCATGAGAAGGCATGGAGGGACCCTCAATGAATACTGCTAGCTGGAAGAAGCCTGGAAAGGCTATGCCCTGCAGGATTCCAATTATGTGACATGCTGGAAAAGGCAAAATGAAGGAGACAGTAAGAGGATTGATGGTTGCCAGGGCTGGGATCAACGGAGCACAGGGCGTTTTTAGCAGTGACGCTGCTCTGGGCAATACTGTAATGGTGGATCCACGACACTGTACATTTGTCCAAACCCATAGAACCTATAACACTAAGAGTGGCCCCCACTGTAAAGTATGAACTTCGCTTAAGAATACATCAACGTTGGTACAGTTACAACAAATGCACCTCACCAGTGCAAGGTGTTAATCATAGGGAAGACGGGATGGGAGCACATCGGAACTCTCTGTGTCTTATCTAGAAACCAAGAGATGCTCTGAGAAATAAAATCTATCAAAAAATTTAAAAATTCTAGGCCAGGCGCTATGGCTCACGCCTGTAATCCCAGCACTTTGGGAAGCTGAGGTGGGTGGGTTACTGAGGTCAGGAGTTTGAGATCAGCATGGCCAACATGGCAAAACCCTGTTTCTACTAAAAATACAAAAATTAGCCGGGTGTGGTGGTACACACCTGTAATCCCAGCTACTCGAGAGGCTGAGGCAGGAGAATCACTTGAAACCCGGGAGGCAGAGGTCGCAGTGAGCCAAGATTGTGCCACAGCACTCCAGCCTGGGTGACAGAATAAGACTCTGTCTCAAAAAAAAAAAAAAAAAAAATTTAAAAAGGAACTAACCACAATTGCGGCAGGTTCATTTCACTGCAGTTTCAAGATTGGCTCCAATAATTTGGCTTAACAAGTCTCTAACTGTGATAATAACATAGAACATAAACTCAAGTGCTAAGAATCTATCACACAGGGGCTGAGAGTATTTAATCCCTCATGATAATGAAACCCCAGCCTTGGGAAGCCCCACCGGGAATAACAAAAATGATTGCTGGTGTCGTTAACACACAACCTTCACAACAAAGGGACGTGGCTCTCTCAGGAAATCCCCCTGCCTCCCCCTCCAGGCTGAACTCCTGGTCTGCCACCAGCCAGCCAGAATGGGAGCCAGCAGGGTCCGGTTTGGACCCACCATCCAGGGGCAGCGGTGTGACCTTGGTGAATGGATTTAACTCTGCAAAGCCTCAGTTTTCACATCTGTAAATCAGGGCTTGATCTTAGGAGGATGTTTTAAATGTCCATTGAAGTAGAGAAAGCTCCACGTGCAAGGTCTGACAGGTGGCCGTGAACAGTAGCTGTTAGCTGAATCCTCTCCAAGGCTCAGAGACCAGACTTGCAGGCCGCAGGATGGAGGGGTCAGATCAGGGGTGGCTATCAGAAAGAGGAAAAACGATGACTCTGAGGTCTACTCGAGGTTTCCCAGTCCAGAGCGGGAGTCCACAAGCATTTTCAGGAAAAGGCAAGACAGTAAATACAGTGTAGGCCCCAGGGACACCACAGTGAACACAACAGCCACGGTCCCAGCCCTCGACATTCTCTTGTTTGTTCCATACCATGCCCCACAGGAATGGTCAGTCATCCTCATCTCACGGATGAGGATGCCAAGGCTAGGAGATGGTCACACGGCTAAGAGACTGAGGCCCAGCTCAGGTGTGTCCGAGGCTCCTCCTCCCACCCCTTCCATCACCTGCTGGGCTGCAAACCATGTGTTCACTTGTTCAACAGACACGGGAGCAGACGCACTGTCAGGTACTGGGGAGAGAGGTGTGCCATTCAGCACCACACCAGCGTGACAGGCACAGGAAGAGGGACATGCCAGGCCAAAAGGGCATAGGCAGGGGGGCAAACTCCTCTTTCTGTCCAGCGAACCAGCTCTCACGACCCAGACAGCAGAGTCCTCATCATTCCGTGATCTCTGGGAATCTTTTTTCTTCTCCTGAGGCAGGGTCTCGCTCTGTCAACCAGGCTGGAGTGCAGTGGCGCAGTCTCAGCTCACTGCAGCCTCAACCTCCCGGGATCAAGCCATCCTCCCACCTCAGCCTCCCGAGTAGCTGGGACCACAAGTGTGTGCCACCACACCCAGCTAATTTTTGTATTTTTTGTAGACACGGGATGTCGCTATCTTGCTCAGGCTGGTCTCACACTCCTGGGCTCAAGTGATCCTCCCATGTCAGCCTCCCAAAGTGCTGGGATTACAGGCATGAGCCACCGTGCCTGGCTGGGGATTTGCTTGACTGTTTATTTCCGATCTGTGCCCACGGATCTATATTTAGTTCCACCCTTCTCTAAGGGCCCAGTGAACTTTGGACCTCTGAGCATGTATTCCTGGTTTGGCCAAAGACCAGCAGCTGTGCTCGCCTTGTTCTCTTGCTTTCCTCATTTGCTCTGGAGGTAAATCCACCTTGAGAATGGGCAGGGGACCCCCTTGTGTACTCACACAGGGGAAAACTTGGGGTCCACCCATGGCAGGGGTTCTCATCGGAGGCCCGCTCCATCCGCCAAGATGATTTCAGAAAGCTCCCCGTCTGCTGTTTGTATCATCCAAACGGCTGGCTTGGGGTTTCCAAATGTCCTAAGGATGTTCTAATAATATTCAGTTTTCTAAGCCTACACACGCACACATGAACTCCAGAGGTCCCGGCTCACCCAGAGCGGGTCACAGGACACACAGTTCCAGCTTCCCTTTCACACCTTTCCTTCTGACCATGGCAACGAGCAGAGCAATACAGAGAGGGGCACAGGGCTGTGTGCAGGCACAGCAGGGAGATGAACCTGTGTACAATCAGGGAGGGCTTCTGGGAGGAGGTGACATAAACTAGAAGCTCAGAGGATGGACAGGCACCTTCTGGGACAGGAGCAAGCACACATCACAGTGCTCAGCTCACCTTCATTGCGGCACAGCCCTGACACATGGGTGGCTGCTGTCCACTGGCCTGCCTGCCTCCCCTGGCCTGGAAGCCCTCATGGGCGGGGGCTGTGCCCGAGGGATTTGTCTCCCTAGGGCCAGGTGCTGAGGAGACCAGAGCTGATGCTGGCCCTGTGCTGATGTGTGCTCAGCCAGTCCTTGCCGGGAGACAGGCATGGCTCTCACACACCATGGGGCCACACACACCCTGTGCCAGCTCTGCCCTGGGGCACAGGGCTTTCTTTGGGCTAATTTTATGAATATGGAATTAAAGCGTACAGGCACGCACACTTTGCATCCTCATGGATCCTGCCACACTGTCTTTTCGGGGACTTACAAACCCCCGCCCGTGCCTTACAGTGTGTCCCCTCCCTCAGGTTCTCACTTTATAGGTCATGCCTCGGTTTAAGAGCAGGTCCAGGCCTCCCTACTGCCCCGCCCAAGTGTTACTTGTTAGAAAATCATGCCGGATCACAGGCGGGCACTTCCTTCCTAACCTACTTAAGGGCTGGCTGCTGATTATAACCATGAACCGAGGACGCTGCTCTCTGGAGCCGGCCCCATTCTCACCACGGCCATCACTGCCTGGGCTTGGCAAGGGAGCTCTGCAGGTCCAGACAGGGCGGCCCTCTGTTCAATCCCCCATTAAGCAAAGATGCACTGGGCACTCTCTCCTTGCCAAGAGCTAGGCCAGCACCGGGCCGATGTTGGGCAGCCACCGCCCCGTCCCCAAACAGTCACCAGACAGTTCTGGGCACAAGAGCACACAGGAAGCTCATGGTGCCAGTGCTGTGGGACCCCAGGCCCAGGGACACTCCTCCCGGGGCCCACCCAGCTTTATTTCAGTGGTGACATGAGACACCTGCGGGGCGCCCTGGAACGCCCACCAGGAGACGACCTGGCCCTCTTCCAGTTCCCCAGGAGTGCAGTCTGGCTTCTCCCATCTGAGTCCTTGACCTGCCCATGGCCAGACCACGGGTCCCTGAGGACCGCAAACAGCTTGGCTCTGCTTTGGGGTCCTGAGGATGGACGCAGGGCTTGTGTGCAGATGTGTGCAGATGAAACTGATTATGGGAAAATACCTCAGGCTCCTGACCTCCACATGCCCCTCTCAGCATCACTGTCACCCCAAACTACGACCTCCTGGGATGTCATCCACCCTGGCCCTCAGTGCCCTGCTCAGGGCTGGCCCGGACATCAGCAGCCAAACTCCTCTTTCTGTCCAGCGAACCAGCTCATGAGGGGAATCACTTGAGCCCATGAGCCACTCCTCCTTTCGCGCCTGCCTGCTGCACAGAACACATCCTTTGACATCCATCTCCTCTGTAGGGCCAGTGGGCTCCATGCCTGCTGGGCTCACCTGGAGGCCCAGCCCCCTGCCAGTGCCTGAACCCTAAGATGTGCTTGGGGAACAGGATGAACCTATGCATCTCACTCTGACCCGCAACCACCTTCCCCTCAGCATGTGACAGTAGCATCCAGCCATCTCAGCACCTCCCATGGTGTCCTTCTGGAAGCCTCTGAGCTTATCCCTCTGAGCTCCCCACGGGCTGTCTGAGCAAAGCCCTGTGGCATGCTGCATCTTCAAAGGTGACGATCACAACAACCGTTCTTACATGCTCTCCTACAACACTATGTCGACCCTTCTCCTATTACCTGATGGGGTCTAAAGCCCCTCACCTTGAACCTGGGTGGACCTCTGCAACTGCTTTGACCAAAAGGATATGACAGAAAAGACACCAGGCAGCTTCCAAGCTGGGTCATCAAGTACCCCCAGCTTCTGCCTTGCTTTCTTAGGATGCTCATTCTGGGAACCCGGCGGCCATGCTGGGACGAAGCTCAAACCACTCCACGCTGTGACCACGCATGGAGCCCACATGCCGCTATTCTGGCAGAAGGACCACAGAAGTCCCCACGGATGGCCAGCAAGAAGTTTCAGCAAAGACGCCTGTGGAGGATTCTGGCTCCCAGCTCTTGAGTCACTCTCAGCCTTTGGGTCGGCCCAGTGAAACCACAGACATTGTGGAGAGGAGACAAGGCATACCCACTGTGCCCTTTCTGAATGGCAGCCCCTCCCAACCCGTGAATGTAACAGGATGTTTGTCTTATGCCACTGAGGCTTGGGGTGGTTTGTTAGGCAGCCATTGAAAACCAGAATGCCACCACAGTGATGGCCCCAGACATCAAAAGACCTCTTTGCAAAGCTTTTGCTCACATCGTTTCTATGCAGCTCTCTCTGTGCATGCCCCCCAAGGGCAGGAACCCCATCCCACCCTGCTGAGAAGCTCCCCCTCCAAACCCAAGGCTGGCCACCTCCTCCTCACTCTCCGATCCCACTTCTGCTATCGCACACATGGGCTTACACAAGATGCCCAGGAACGGGTTCTCTAAATCCGTGGGTTTCCACTTGGGGACCCTGGGGATTTTGCAAGGGGTCTGTAAATGCATTTGCACACCATGATTGTCTGCAGACAAATGGCTCCATCTATGTTGCACATCCGGGGACTATGGTTTCCAGTTGCAGGTAGATGCTCAAGGGATTTTTAAAAAATGAAGGCTGCTAGAAAGTGTTACAAAATCCTCAGTTGCCTTTGTTACTGAATAGTTCTTAAGCAAAATAAGGATTGGATATAGCACGAGGATGTGAGTTCATTGAGAAAGGGGTCTTCACTCTCTGGAAGGTTAGGTGGCTCATAACACAGATCACAGCAGCTTCCCTGCTCTGGAGAAACAGCTCCAAAAAAAATACTAGGTCCCAAACTGTTCCTGATCTAATTTCTGGAACTTGCCCACCAAGCAAAAAGTTAGGTTTGATGAGGATAGCAGTTTATAGTTTACAAATAAGCCTTATGCATTTTATCTCTGCTCATACAAAAACTCCCTGGTATAGACAGTAGGAGAGGGGACTCAGTGGCGACGCCTGGTCTCCTCACCATCTCTGCACAGCCTGGCTCCAGACCTCTCTAGAGACAGTAAAGTCACTTTCTCCACAGCCAAAGTCCCAAGAGGAGGCACTTGCCGTTTTGATCCAAGAAGGGAAATGCCCTTCAAATCCTGGCGTGACCTTGCCTGGAATCTTCACAGCCACTCTTGGAGGTAGATATTCTTTTGCCCATTTGGCAGAGTTGGAAGCTTATTGAGGTTTAGTGACCAGCCCAAAGCCACACCGTGAGGAGTGGCAGAGCAAGGATTCAAGCCCAAGTCTGCCTTTCTTCAGCTACCCATTTCCAAAGAAAGCTGCGACTAACCGATTTGCAGCCCACTGCCCCTGCCCACTGCAAGTCACACCTACAGACTCCACCCACCACAGACTCCACCCACAGCAGATTCTCCTGCTTCAGGCTCCACTCACCAGACTCCACCCACTGCAGACTCCACCTACCACAGGCTCCACGCACTAAGACTCCACCCACTGCAGACTCCACCCGCTGCAGACTCCACCCACCACAGGCTCTACTAAGACTCCACCCACCAGAGGCTCCACCCCCAGCAGACTCCACCCACTGCAGTGCCACCACTGCAGCCTTCCTTCCTCTCAGCCTTGCCTGGGATCCACCCACTTTTCCTCTGGCCCCAAAGACTGCTTCTTCTCCCATACCCTGTGATCATCATTCTCCTAGGCTCGACCGAGAAGACCTAACCGTACTGGGATGACTTTATTATCTCCTGGGCATGTTTCCAGAAGCCAGCTCCGCTTACTCTAAATTCAAGCAGGGTGTCCTGGCCAATTCCCATGTGGGCCTCTCTCCTATCCCCCCACGCAGCGTCCTGTTGGCCCAGCTGCTCACTGTGGGAAGAGATGATGGGTTGTCCCCACCCCAGTGATCAACTGTAAAGCTCAGGACAGTTCAAGGGAATCAAGCCCCACATTCTCTGGGCTTCATGCAGGACATCACAGCCAAACACAGCCCCAGGAAGAGGAGCCCTGGTGATTTTCAGAGGCCTGTGTTATGATCCAGGCCAGCCCTGCTAGCTCCAGGCCACATTCTCCCAGGAAAGTCACCACCTCTGGAGCCTCTCCCTGCCATCTGCGCAGGAAGGCTGCGGCTGTACTGAGCTTTTGGTGGTGTGGTGAGACTCAGAGGCCGAGGCTGGACCCTGAGCCCAGCACACAGCATGAGCTCAACACACGCCAGGGCTTAGGGATCCTTGCACACTGACTGCCATCTGGGGAGACGCCAGAGGACAGTTCCAGAAGAGCACTCCACACTCATGTCTAGAGGCCCTTGAGAGCTCAGGCAGGAGCTGGCCCCATGAGACTCGTCCTCCAATCCCACAGGGTTGTAGGGAGGCCTCTGTCTTGCTGGAAAACTTGGGGTAGGTCCCTTTTCCCTCCAGCCCAGTTTCTAATCTGAGTCGGCCTCACTGCGAGGGGGCCGTCAGCATGATGGAGTCTCCAAGACAAGCTCTCCAAGTTGGCAAGGTGGCAAGATCTGGGAGGGTGGCCTCCAGCACAAGCTGCACCCCTCTGCTTAGGTCCCTCCCCCATTCAAGAACCTTCCATGGCTCCCCACAGAACACAGCCCAGCCCCTAAACCAGCACTCTAAGCCTGGTACCCACCTGGTTGCCTGACTTCCTCACTGCCCTCTGATCCCACACTCTTTCCCAAAGTTGTCCTCGATAGTCCTGGCACCAGCCTGGGCTCCCACCATTCCTGCTCCGGGGAGCACTGTGTGCCCATCTCACCTGGGAAGACCCTACTTGTCCTTCCAGGCCCACGTCAAATGCCCCCTCTGTACCGACAGCGTATTCACAGACAATGATTCACTCTTGTGCTGAGCTCTGCACTGGAGGCTTCAGGACCTAAGCGCCCTTCTTTGCACCCTAACTTTAAGAAAATTGTCCTTATTTTACAGACGCAAAAGCTCACCAGGTGAGGGGATCTGTCTGTTGTCCACCTGGGCCCACTGATGGGGTGACCTTGAGCAAGTCAGGGCACCTCTCTGAAACAGGACAAGCCTCTGGCTTTGTCTACAGTCCCATGGTGCCAGGGATCCTCTAGAGACCTGTGCTGGGCCTGGGGAACAAGTGGCCCAGCAAGCCTCAGGCTGTCCCAGGACACTTTTGTCCTGGCACGATCACTGGTCTCAAACGTGTCTCAGGGTGGGGTGTGGGGCTGAAGAGAGCCCCAATCTCACTTCTGAGGTGAGGTGAGTTGGGGATGCTGGGTATGGAAGGATCTAGAAGCCCAAAGGAGGCTGGAGAGGGCGTGTAGTCTTGTGGCACAGGTCTCGGGCTTCCTTCTTTTTTTTTTTTTTTTTTTTTGAGACAGAGTCTCGCTCTGTTGCCCAGGCTGGAGTGCAGTGGCATGATCTTGGCTCAGTGCAACCTCCGCTTCATGGGTTCAAGTGATTTGCCTCCCTTAGCCTCCTGAGTAGCTGGGATTATAGGTGCGTGCCACCACACCGGGATAATTTTTGTATTTCTAGTAGAGATGGGGTTTCACCATGTTGGTCAGGCTGGTCTTGAACGCCTGACCTCATGATCCGCCCACCTGGGTCTCCCAAAGTGCTGGGATTATAGGCGTGAGCCACCGTGCCCAGACTGGGCTTCCTTCTTACTAAACAATCTTAAAATCACCAAAGAAAATGATTCCATTTTCTTGATACTTTGCACAGTGCTGCAAATAACAGTGACACTGTCTTTTAAAAAACAAACAAACAATCAAACAAACAATTTCCTCTTGGGCCCTGGCTCGAGGGCTTGGTTGCTTGGACCCTTTGTGAAGTTGGGGCTTTTGCGAGGCTGAAACTCCACTAGCCCTGAGTGAGCCTAAGGGGTCAGGGGAGGGGTTCCCAGCCCAGTGGGAAGAGCAGACCCTTCGCCTCCGCTCAGATCTGGGGTGCGTGCTCAAGTCCTGCGGGTGGAGGTGTCCTACAGCTCCTTCCGGCATGAAATCCCTGTGATTTCCCTATTTTGAGGCAGGGGTCCATGAGGACAAAGTCACTCTTGGCCACAAATAGGCTCTGTTCACAGAGCGACAGGCACAGACGTCGGGCGGCAGGGTCCCTGGCGGCCCCCAGAGCCTGAGAGGAGCCTCTCCTCTGGGAGGCAGGAAGAGAAAAACAGCCCAGCGGCCACGCTGCCCCTTCCTCCCAGAAGAGGACGTGGCAGGAAGCAAGAGCGGTGCCAGCGGGGAGCTCGAGCCATCTCTGTGGGCTGAACCGGGACCCCCAGATGCCCACGTTGAAGTCCTAACCCCCGGACCTCGGCAAGTGACTGTGTTCGGAGACGGGGCCTTCAAAGGTGTCGTTATGGTAAAGCAAGGTGATCTGGAGGGTGGGTCCTCATCCAGTCTGACTGGTGTCAGAAAAAGGGGAAATGTGGACACAGAGACAACCCCAGACAATCCCCCGTCTGTGTGTTTTGTCGTGGCAGCATGGGAAACCAGAGGGAACCCAACATGAAGACGCGGGAGAAGATGGCGACTTAGATGCCAGGAGAGGGGCCCTGGGACGGGTCCTTCCTTGCAGCCTCAGAAGGAGCCAGCCCTGCCCGCACCTTGATCTGGGACTTCTGGCCTCCAGAACTGTGGGAGGATGCACATCTGCCAGTCCAGCCCCCATCTGTGTGCTCTGTCGTGGGAGCATGGGAAACCAGCAGGAGCACTTCTCAGCTTACAGTGCAGGTCCGTCCTGATGAACCCGGGGCAAGCTCGTGACATCACTAAGTTGAGACTTCACTGACTTCACCTAACCTAGCGACCATCACAGCTCAGCCCAGCCTACCGGAAACATGCTCAGAACACCTACGCCAGCCTACAGCTGGGCACACACATCTAACGCAAAGCCTGTTTTATAATACAATGTTGACCGTCTCACGTAAGAGTACTGTACCGCAGATTGCTAGCTCAGAGAAAGATCGAAATTCAAAATTCAAAGTATGGTTTCTACTGAATGCATATTGTTTTTGCAACATTATAAAATCAAAAAACGATAGTCCAATCATGGTAAGTGGGGGCCTGTCCACACGCCATCCCTGCAGGTGGGAAGAGCCAGAGCTGGCCTCAGAGCCCAGCTGGGGACTGGCTGGCTCCCTGGTCACTTCCCCGAGCCTGTTTTCCATCTGCAAAGTGGGACACTGATCCTACCCAAGGCTGGGCTTTTGGAGAACGGTGATGTGACGGTGACCACACGGGGCTGGCAGGAGTTTGTGTGAGTGTCAGGTGGGGGCTTCCTTCCAGGGGCAGAGCTGGGAGAGACGGTACTGGGCAGCCACCCCCGCTCAGGCTGGCTGTGGGCTCCGGGCAGACGCCAGCCCAGCTCCTGCTGCTTCCAGGACTCTCCAGGCCTCCAGTCGCTGGCCCAGGCGCCCCCGGCACCCACATTCCTGGAGGGTGTTATTCCATCACCAGAAGAGTGCAGCCGTTCCAGAGCGAGGAGCATCTGAGGAGCTCATGGGAGGTGTCCCGGAGGGTCAGGGCTCAGAGCATGTACACTGACTCCCCTGCCACCCCCCACACAGAGGCAGACAGGGCGGCCCAGCCCAGGTCACGCAGCAAGTCTGTGGCCAGGCCAACACCAAGGCTCGGGTCTGCAGGCTCCCAGCCCAGGGCTTGTCCCCCAGGGTCTCATTGCCTTGAGCCAGAGTGGCCACGCTGGTCCAACAGGTGACCTCCTCTAGGCCTTCAGCGTACAGCAGATGCCCAGTGAATATTTCTCAAATCTAATAGGAAACAGGAAATGCGCTGAGTGACTGCAGGGCACTGTCCAGTGGATGGGGGGGTGATGATGAATAACCCATGTCACATCATCTTTCAGTTCCTGTGTCCAGGCAAACACCAGGGACTGCACTCAGCACCTCCACCCACAACCCAGGTCACAGAGCTGCAAATGGCAAAACCACACAGTTGGGCACCGGACCCAGACCTGCCCAGACCTCAAGCCAGCTCTCAACTCCCTCTCTGGGAGGAGCTGAGGGGCTGAGCTAGTCCCACCAGGGACCCCACTCTCTCTCCAGGCAGCTGCTGTGGTACATGTCCCCAGTGCAGGGACCTGGCAGGCTAGGGGACCTGACAATATGCCCCCAAGCATATACTGGCCACACCTCAGCTGCAACCCACTCCTCCCCAGGCCTTTGAAGATGGGGCCACAGCCTTGACCTGGAGACACCACACCAGCCTGGATGGGGAGTCTCGCTGCCCCCTGTGCATCTCCATCATATCCGAATGGCCTGGTAAGGATGGCCACAGAGAGCTGGAGAGGTCCCCCACTTTGTCCTCGGCTCCCATCCTCCATTTCCCAGGGGACACCCTCTGTCCTGGTCCATGTGGGCTGCCAGAACAATACCAGATGTGGTGGCTTAAAAGACTGACACTTATCTCCCACAGTTCTGGAGCCTAAGAGTCTGATATTAGGGCAGCAGCATGCTCGGTCCCTGGTGAGGGCTCCCTTCCTGGCTTGCAGACAGCCGCCTTCTTACTGTGTCCTCACAAGGCAGAGAGCGCGCTCTGGGCAGGAGTCCCATCATGAGGACCCCACCCTCACGACCTCATCTAAACCCCATCACCTCCCCAAGGCCCCTCCTCCAAATAGCGTCACCCTGGGGGTTTGGGCTTCCAAGTGTGAATGCTAGGGGAACATGAACATTCACTTCTTAACACCATCCACTGTCAGACCCTACATGGTACTTGCCACTTTAGTCCACTTGCCACTTTAGTTCTTTTCATCCTGCACAGCTGGGACCTGTCCTCTCTTCACCATTTACGGATGGGCAAACAGAGGTTCCAAGCAGGAATGCACCTCCCCAGGCCACTGGGACCCAGGCCTCTCTGACCCTGGCCTTTTCCACCATGCCCCACCGCGTGGATGAGGGGATGGGAGAGGGAGAGGGGTGAGGGGCGAACCAGCCCTAGGGGTGGCAAATCTGTCTGGGACCTGACCAGTGTGGGACGTCTTCCCGGAGGTCGTGCCTGCCTCCCCTGGCGTTCCCACTCTGCAAGCCTCCTTCCTATCTGCTGCTGCTCTTCCTGGCATGAAGCAGTCCCCTGTGCGTGGTTAATGCCCTCAAAGCCCAGCACTGTGTCCCAGCACTGCTGGAGGAAGACCTCTTTGCCCGGGTCTGGACTCCTTAATCCTAATTGCGGTCCTCAGAGCATTCTTCCCTGGCAGCTGGTGCCCCTTACTTGGGGTCTCTAATCCCTGCCTGGCCCTCCCCTGTGCAGGCATGGTGTGGGCACAACAGCACCAGCCCCATCTCCAACTGGCATGAGAGGCGTTGTCACCCTCAGGCTGCAGGCAAGGGAACCCCATCTCAGAGATGCTCAGTAACCTGTCTAGATCACACAGCCTTCAACTGGCAGGGTGGGGCCTGGAGCCTGGGCCTCTATGTCAGGGAACTGGTTTTCTGCCTGTCTGCCCTCCCGTCTCCCCCTCAAATTCCTGACCCTTCTCATGTTCTCCTGATCTGCTGATTCAAGGGAGGCTGGTGTGAGGGAAGCATTTCCGGCATGTCTAATTAAAACTGGTCGTCGGGATGGCTGGCCTGGAGCCCAGGGAAAGCCAGGCCAGGCAGGGGAAACTGGCTGCAGAGGCTCTGTGACATTCACTAACCACCTGCATGACAGAGGCAGCCAGCCCCTGCCTTAAAGCGGGTCTCCTGGGGGCGTCATCCTTGTACTGACAGGGTCCGGCTCACACACCAAAGCCTGTGGGTCTACACATGGGCAGGCAGGGGTGTGCCGGCATTGGGTCACACAGCCCAACTGGGGTGACAAGGTCCTGGCTCCACCCGGACAGGCCAAGAGGAGGGGCAGGAGGTGGCACGGGGTGGGAGCCCTGCCTGGGATCCTTGCTAACCTCTGGAGACACGGTTCCTTTGGGTTCAATGACAAAAATAACTTCATTTTGATGACCTAAGGAATGCTACTCATGGCTAGAAACCCAAACAGTACATCAAAGATGAAGGAAAATTTAAAATCCCCTGCTTCCCTTTTACTGAGACGACCACTCTTAACAGCTCAGCGGCTGCTCTACCATGTGCTTCTGTAGGCCACAAACAAAAACCACACACTCTCACACACCTGGGACATATGATATGACATCACAACCTAGAATAATTCATCTATCTTCTCATAAGGCAGCACCTCGATGTGCTTTCAGAAACAATATTCTCAGCACCTCCACAGAGCCTAGCCAGCTCTGCAGAAGTGCTCGGTGCACACATCTGAAAATCATAACTTCATTGAGATATAATTCACATAGCCGTACAATTTGCCTGTTTGGAATGCACACTCAATGGCTTTTGGTATTTCACAGAGCTGCGTGCTGATCACCATAATCCATTTTAGAAAATTTCCATCACCCCAAAAAGAAATGCTGCATCCTTTACTGTCACTCCCGTTTTCCCTCCGCAGCCCCTGGTAACAACTGGTCTGTCTCTGTGGATTTGCCTGCTCTGGGCATTTCATGCGAACGGAATCCCACACTGCGTGGTCCTTCGCGACTGGCTTCTTTCACTCGGCGTCATGTTTTCAGGGAGTGTCCGTGGTGTGGTGGGCGTCAGTGCCTCTTTCCTTTTGATGGCTGAGAAATATTCCGTTGTACAGACAGACCCTATTTGGCTCATCCATTAGTCAGTGGATGAACTTTGGGGCTGTGTCTACTTTTTGGTGATTGTGAATAACACGGCTATGAACATTCGAGTGTGAATATTCGTGTGGACATAGGTTTGCATGCTTTTTGGGTAGATACCCAGGAGTGGAGTTGCTGGGTCCTGTGGTCACTCTGTGTGCCACCTTTCAAGGAACAGTCAGACTATTTTCCACACCGGGTTCTGATTTCTACGCATCCCCACAGCCTGCTCTGGGTGTGCCTGCGATTTTGATCCAGCCATTCTAGCGGATCTGTAATCGCGTCTCACTGGGATTCTGATGTGCCGTTCCCTGTGGGCGAATGATGCTGGGCATGGTTCATGTGTAGATTCTCCCTCTGGGAGTCTTCTTTGTAAAAATGTCGATGCAGATGCTTTGCCCATTTTTCAGCTTGGTTGTCTTGATAGGATTGAGGGATGAGAGTTATTCGTATATTCGAGATACAAGTCCCGTGTCAGCTTGCTAATTTGCAAATATTTTCTCCTATTTTGTGAGTTGTGTTTTCACTTTCCTCACGATGTCTTTGGCATCACAGAGGTTTTTGATGAAATCCAGTCGTCTATATCTTGTTATGACGGCTTGGGCTTTGGTGTCTTTTCTAAGAAACCATCGCCTGATCCACCGTCATGAAGATGCGCTTCTGAGTGTTCTTCTAAGAGATTTACGGGTTTTTTGGTTTTACTGTAATTTTACATGAATAATTTTACACAAATAGAATTGCATCTATGTGACTGCTAGTTTTAATTGTGGATACCCTTGCTTCGCATGTGAATCGCGATCTGCAGTGCTGATGGCCGCAGGTTTGCCTGGGGCCTTGGTGCCAGACTGCTTCTGGGATGGCTCTGCCATCAGCGTTGACGGTCTGGTCCATCTACCACAGTCGATCTGCAGTGCTGATGGCCACAGGTTTGCATGGGGCCTCGGTGCCGGGGCTGCTTCTGGGATGGTCGTGGTTGGCTCTGCCATCAGTGTGACGGTCCGTCCAGCACAGTTGTCCACAGTTGGTGGAAGCACAGTGGGCCTGAGAAGGCATCGCAGACTCAGCTGAGCTGGAGAGGCCCGCCCAGCCTCTGCCATGGAAACTCCATCTGGGACACGGACATCGTCACCTGCTGTCTGCTCTGGGCATCCACGGCTGTCCTCAGAATGCTCCAGCACCCCAGCCATGCCAGCTCGTCCTCCTGGGCAGGAGGGCGAACTCACACTCGGCTGTGCGTGGGCAGCCTTGGGGGACCCGCCGCTTTTGGGAACACACCTGCATGTCTCCTTTTTTGGTTCACAACACCCTGGGAGGGGGAAGCCACACAGCCAACCCGCTTTTTCTGGGGGCCTCATGGGCAGGGCAGTGTCTCCTCCAAGCCCCACGGTGAGGTCAGGCAGAATCAGGGCTCGAAGCTTCATGGGTTGGACTCCAGGGCCACTGTCACTGCCTGAGCCAGGGCTGCTCCCTTCAGTAACATTCCACGGAGTTTCAGAGTGTGAGGCGCTGAGGGGGGGCTATGGACAAGAGTCCCAGTTCCTCTGTGCAGGGCAGAACCCACAGGCCAGAAGGAGGGCACCAGGGAGGGAAGACTCTGGTCTGGCTGCCCAGAGATGAGGCCCTGCTGGGCACCAGGCCTCGTGCCCACACAGAGTGGGGAACATTTCAGGGGGAGGAGGGAGCCGCTGGAGGCCCTGGCACTGTGTCAGGCCCCCTCCCCTGTGTACCCCCTGCTCTGCTTCCAGGGGTCTGGGCTGCCTCCCCACTGTTCTCCCTCCCCTCCCTTCCCTCTCCCCTCATCTCACTCCCCCTGCCTCCCTTTTCTCCTCTCTCCCTAGCCCCCCAGATTTTGCCATCACCTTCACCCCACAGGCCGCCTGGTCAACACGCAGGATTGGAGCTATTGGAATTGCTGGTTGTTCGTATCTAAGGAGCTTGATGGGCCCTGTCTTTTATGTTAATATCAGGGAACTGCGGCATTCATGCTGTCCCCCGAGCAGGACACCGGGCCAGGCAGGTGCTACTGCGTGGTGTCCTGTGCACCACAGGACGCTCAGCCGTGGCCTGACCCCTTCCTGCCAGATGCCAGAGGCACACCCTCCTGAGCTGTGACCATCAAAAATGTCTCCAGATGGCCGGGCGTGTGGCTCACACCTGTAATCCCAGCACTTTGAGAGGCTGAGATGGGAGAACTGCTTACACCCGGGAGTTCAAGACCCACCTGGGCAACAAAGTGAGACCCCGTCTCTACTAAAAAAATTAAAAATTAGCCAGGTCTGGTGGCGTGCACCTTAGTTTCAGCTACCCGGGAGGCTGAGCTGTGAGGATTACTTGAGCTCAGGAGGTTGAGGCTGCAGTAAGCCATGTTCATGCCACTGCACTCCAGCCTGGGTGACAGAGTGAGTCCCTGCCTCCAGAAAAAAAAAAAAAAAATGCCTGCAGACATTGCCACATGTCCCCCTGGGAGCACAGGAGCACAGCTGCCTGTGGGTGAGAATCACCACCTTAAAGGAAAAAAGAAAAGGGAGGGAGGGAGGCCCAGACGCTGTGGTCAGTGGGTGCTGGAGTCCAGACGCAGCTCCGATACCAGCACCGTGTGAGGTTGGATCAGACTCTTCCCGTCCCCAGCCTTAGCTGACCTGTACAATGGGGTCACCCTCCTCACCCCACAGTGCTGTCCATAGAGAGTGTCCCCGAAGCCTGCACCCACTGGCGCTCGTGGTGCCGGCGCTCATGACCTTCACGCAGGGCACAACTTGACTGGACCCGTCCTTTCCCACCAGACCCCTGAAGCTGATTCATGGAGCTCACAGCTCCCAGTCCCCTGAAGCTGACTCATGGAGCTCACGGCTCCCAGCCGGATGGTCTGGGCAAAAGCGCAGTTTGGGGATTTACCTGTGTCTCCCCCTGGCACCCCCATGGAGCGTGGCTGCTTGCAAAGGGCCAGCGGGTCGGCGGCTCTCCCTCTGCGTGGCTGGGCCTGGCACCCACGGAGGATCGGGCAGGAGTGGACCGGGGAAGAGCCTCTGTGGCCCACAGGGCTCCCACAAGGTCACGTGGCAGCTGCCACCCTCTGCCCGGGGAGGGGCAGAGCCAAGCCCTTCCCGGCACACTGAAATAGACTCCCGCCACACTATGCGCCAGAGACACACCTGTCTCCCAGGCATCCGGGAAAGGGGCTCTGAAAAGGCACTCGGGGTGGGGGAGGAGTGGTGGGGGTGGGGAGCATCTGCTGACCCTTCCTCCATGTGTAGGGGCAGCAATAGTGAGCTCACAACCCCCACAGCCCCGCGTGCTGGGAGTGACAGCCTGCACCAGGGTTCCCTGAAATGGGGGCTTCAAACAACAGATACGGATTCTCTCGCAGTTCTGGGGGCCAGAAGTCTGACATGAAGGTGCCAGCAGGACCCTGCTCTTCACAGGGGTATAGGGAGCTCAGGCTGCCTCTTCCCGCTGCTGGTGGCTCCAGGCGCCCTTTGGTATGTGGCTTCAGGGCTCCTGTTTCTGCCCCCACCTTCACAGGCCGTCTTCCCTGTGTGTCTCTGCGTGTCCTTTTTAGTCTCTTATGAGGACACCAGTCACTGCATTTGGGGTCCGCCCTCATCCACAATGACCTCATCTCCATCTTTACCATAATTACATACGGAAACACCCAAACAAGGTCACATTCAGAGCTTCCAGGTGGGTGGGGCCACAAGAAGACGTGTCTCTATCTAGCGAATCAGAGTCCAGCACCCCGTCATAGGATGCGTTGCACCTGCACACCCAGTACAGCTGCCTGCAGCTCGCAAGGCCCCTGCATACCGAAACATGGCTAGCACCACGCAGAACAGAGTTTTAGATTTTATTTAATTTTAATTCAACCAGGGGACCTGCTGGTTACCAGATGTACTCCCAGGCTCTAAAACACGAATGCACTAAACCTCCAGTGACCTTGCACAGCAGGTCTCCTTGCCCTGGCTCTAAGGCAGGAAAGCGATGAAGTCATTGTCTAGCCCAAGGCCACTGCCGTGGATTGAATGTGGTGTCCCCTCCCCAGACTCACATGCTGATATCCTAAACCCCAGTGTGACAGGATTTGGAGGCGGGACCTTTGGGAGGAATTAGGTCTTGCAGGTGGAGCCCTCATCATGGGATGAGTGCCCTTGTAAGAAGAGGCCAGAGGCTGCCTCGCTCTTTCTACCACATGAGGGTGCGAGGAAAAGGCGGCTGTCTGCAGCTCAGAAGAGGGCCCACCCAGAGCCCGACCATGCTGGCACTCTGATCTTGGACTTCCAGCCTCCAGAACTGAGAAAAATAAATGTCTATTATTCAGAAGCCACCAGTCTATGAGGCTTCGTTGAGCTGCACCGAGACCACACATCCTACCTGGCTGCCCCCAGCTTTCCCCCAACTGGGCTGCCAGCACCCCCATAGGTTGTGCCCATCCAGGAACCTGAGGCTGGGGGCAGAGGCCCTGGAAGACCACACATGGTGGGCTTGTCTAGGCACTAGGGGCAGGAAATGTTTCCTTTTAACATTTCCCCAAGCTTTTGACATTTATAATTTGACATCAGAGGAAACACTCTCAATGCCATCTTTAAGGGAAAAGGAATAAAAAGCAGAAATACGTATGCCCCGCCCCCTCTGTGACTCACTCAAATCCCCTGCACAAGTGAATCAGAGGCCAGCACCCCATCGTAGGATGCATCCCACCTGCACACCCAGCTCAGCTGCCTCCAGCTTGCGCGGCCCCTGCGCGCCCGAAACACGGCCAGCACCATGCGAAACAGAGTTTTAGCTTTTATTTGATTTTAATTCATTTTAATTTAAATAAACACATGTGGCCAGTAGCTACCATATTGTTTCATGCAATAAGACTAAGACACGCTGTAAGACAGGTGTTTAAAGATGGTGTTTCTAAGATTCAGGGAGAAATCCGGGGCACAGAACCTGAAAACTTGACACCCCATCCCAAAGCCCACCACACTGTGCTGTCATCATGACTGTGTTTGCAAGACAAGTATATGCACAGATGAGTCCCCTGCGGACACACCTTTCAGCAGCAGCCAGTGGGGCTGGGAGCAGAGACAGGTATGCTCCCTCTCTCTCTCTCTCTCTGTGGCTCTGGGGCCCTGGGAGGGCTGGCGTTGAGAAGTGTCAGGGCTAGAAGAGGCCATAATGATCACCGGCCACCCCCTCCCCGCCATTGTACGGATGGGAGTGCAGGGGCAGTCTGGAGAGTTCTGTACCTAATCCTGAGAGGAGACCTCTTCCATGCTCAGAGACACTGGGGAGCCAACTGCACCAGCCCAGGACGTGGGCCAGGGAGGCTGCTGGAGCCAGGCTTCTGCTAGTCAGCACAGCTGGTGCCCTGCGGGCTCCCAGCACTCAGCACTGCCTGGGGTTCCCACGGAGAAGGAGCCTCAGATTCCCCTGGCCTCCAGCCTGCTGTTCACCCCTAAGCATCTAGTTTATTCAAAGGCAGCCCCCAAGAAAGGCCCTGGTGGTCTCAGCCTGGAAGGGGAACACTCAAGTCTTGAAGGAACTCAGCCAGCAGGTACTGATGGCTCACAGGGCCAGGGATGGAGACGCAGGGTGGCCAGGGTGGTGCTGGATGGCTGAGGCCCGGCCGCATCTGTCACCAGTTCCGGGATGGCCCATGCTGGGAAACATCACGTTGCTTTGAGGCCATCATCTTAAGGGGATTCTCTGTAATGTTCAGGAGAGGGCCATGTGGAGAGGTTGGCCTTCTGAGTCCTGCCTGGGCCCTCAGGGTCCTCTTGGCTCAAGACCAACAACTGCAGGGGCTATGGCAGGGAGAGTGGACGCCGGCGCCGGGCACTGATCTGGGCCTTTCCACAGCTTTTTAGAATATCAAGTTGTCTAAGCTTCCCCGAGACACTGTGAGGTGGCGCCACGCTTGGCCCCGCATTACTGGGACTTGAAGGGAGGCAGCCTGGCCCGAGTCCAGGGTGTGCTTGACGGCACCCAGGGGAGCACAGGGTGATCTGACCTGGCCTGGAGGGAGCAGAGGGGCTTCCTGGAGGAGGGGGTATCAAAGTCCAGCTGTGAGATGGAGGAGGAATTAGCCAGGCCCAGGGAGGGGAGAGACGGTCTGGGCAGAGAGCAGTACAACAAGGACAGGAATACAAAATCGGTATCACTGGGCTGATGTCAAGGCAGCCCCAAGGCCGAGCTCCCCGAAGGCTCTAGGGCAGGCTGTCCTTGCCTTGCCTGGCTGCTGGGGCGGCCTGCATTTCCTGACTTGTGGACGGCAAGGTGGCCCCAGGGCTGAGCTCCCCCAAAGGCTCTAGGGGAGGCTGCCGTTACCTCGCCCTGCTCTTGGGGCAGCCTGCATTTCCTGGTGATGGCAGCATCACTCCAGCCTCTGGCTCTGTGGTCACCCCACTCTGCCTCTCTCTTAGAATAACTGTGATGGCACTGAGGGCCCACTCAGATCATCCAGGATCAGCTCCCCATCTCAGCATCCTGGTGTAAGCCCATCTGTAAAGACCCTTTTTCCACATAAGGCAATATTCACAGGTCACAGGGATCAGGACCTGATATGCTGAGGTGGGGCACAATTTCTCAGCCAACCACATGCAGCAGCAGCTTAACTGATACTATATGTAAATGGCGAACAAAAAATTCACAGAAAACACCTTCATTCCTTGTGATGTGCTCTACTATTTTCTACTCAACTCACCTTCTTATATAACGCACACTGCTGCGACCCACTAAACTGATTTCCTGCCAGGGACTGGGTCGCCACCTGCAGTGCAGAAAATTATATCCTAACCTCTGCAGCTGCATCCTGCCAGGGTGGGGACCGGGACGAGAACTATGATGACTTTAGTAAAAGAGGGGGATGAGCTGTTTCTGCATGCGGAGGGCAGATGGGACTGACAAGGGCCTGGGAGGACCCCCGACCCCTCCCTGACTCTCTCACATGCTCTCAGCCACCCTCTGCTGGCCTGGGCACAGAAGCCTGCATCCCTGAGCACAGCAGCCCGCATCCCCAGCACAGCATCCCGCATCCCTGAGCACAGCAGCCCGCATCCCCAGCACAGCAGCCCGCATCCCTGAGCACAGCAGCCCGCATCCCCAGCACAGCAGCCCGCATCCCTGAGCACAGCAGCCCGCATCCCCTGCACAGCAGCCCGCATCCCTGAGCACAGCAGCCCGCATCCCCAGCACAGCAGCCCGCATCCCTGAGCACAGCAGCCCGCATCCCCTGCACAGCAGCCCGCATCCCCTGCACAGCAGCCCGCATCTCCAGCACAGCAGCCAGCATCCCCAGAACATCAGCCTGCATCCCTGAGCACAGCAGCCCGCATCCCCTGCACGGCAGCCCGCATCCCCTGCACAGCAGCCCGCATCCCCTGCACGGCAGCCTGCATCCCCGAGCACAGCTGTGCCGGCCGAGCTCAGGCCTCGGGGTGCCTGGACATCCCTCCGTGGGGTGTGGTGTACTAGCGGGATGGCTCAAGTGGCACAGGAACGACCTGGTTGGAAAGGAAACAGCGTACATGGTCCCACGAGGCTGCAATCACCCCCCTGCTCACTCATGCTCACCCCCTCCCCTGCACAGAACCCCTCACTCCCTGACAGCCCAGCGCTGTGGCTGCCACCCATCACGGGGGCATGGATGGGGTATAATTACTCACATCTTCATTTCTGAATGCTGCTTAAAAGCTGAGAAGTAATGAGATCAGGCCCTGACACATGGGACAGGTGAGAGAGATTTTCACTGAGACTTAAAGCGAGGAAGACACCAGTGCTTTTTCAGGATTGTAAAACTTAGGTTTAGAGGGATCTGAGACCATCCAGTCCCTGGAGAAGGACGCCCAGCCCTGGCCTTTCCTGAGCACTGGGCCCCCAGCTCCCTCTGAGTGCTGGATGCCTCCGTGGGGATGCTCCAGGCACCTCACGGTCAGAAAACAGAATGCGGAAGGCCTGCTCACTGCCACCCTCCCTCACCGCCACTCCTGCTCCCCAGCAATGCTGCACATCATGAAGCACGGCCCCTACCCCGCTGTCTTCCCTCGGGTGACTCAGTCCTGGGCCTGCAACAGGCCCCAACACTCCAGAGCCCTGGGACCTGGGCCCAGCGACTGAACCTCTTAGAGCCTCAGTTTCCTCATCTGTAAATGGGGATACCACGGACTGGGCTGCAGGGAGACTAAATGAGATGATGCCTCTGAAAGTGTCCAGCCCCTACCCGGGCACGTGGTGGGCACTCGGTAATTGGCATCTTTGTTCCCCAGTTCCTGACTCGATGGGTGTCCCGTGGCTGCTGTGACACAGTGCCACAGACGGCAGCTTAACAACAGGCATTTACTCTCCCCGGTTCTGGAGACCAGAAGTCCCAGATCAGGGGTTGTGAGGACAACGCAGGCTCTGGGGCTCTGGGAAGGACCTTCCTGGCCTCTTCCCGCTTCTGCTGGCAGCCGGCAATCCTCCCGAGCCTCAGCCTGCAGCCGCGTCACTCCAATCTCTGCCTCCGATGTCACGTGGCCTCCTCCCTGCGTGAGTTCACATCACCTTCCCTCTTCTCCCTTCCCAAATCCAGCATGACCTCATCTGGACGAGTTCCATCCCGCAATGACCCTACCACCAAGTAAGGTCACATGCAGAGGGGTCAGGGCTTCACTTAGCGGGAATGCAATTCAACCCACAGCGGCGGCTTTCCTCTTTTCATCAGGGGACCTACACCCCGGGTGCCCTGGCACAACATGTCCCCATTAAGGGAGTTTTCTCCCCGTCCCCTGCGGGGTATCTCTTCTCCTGCTCCCTCCTGCCTGCCGGTCCATATCTCTCCTGGTAGAGACGGGAGGTCCCCACCCCACCCTCATGGGCCCTCCACTCCTTGGCAAACTAGCCTCCCAGTCTCCAGCACACAGTGTCCTCTTTGGGGCGCACTAGGCCTCCCAGGTTGAGAGCAAACCCCTGGTTTCGGATCTGAAGATCCCAGCCCGGCTGGAGCTCCTCCCCGGGTCCCGCTCTCCTCGCCCCTCACCCCTCTGTGCTCTGCACACACCTAGGCTGCCCAGCTCCACCTGGGTCCATGCCCCGGCCCTCCGACAGCATCTCTGCAGGACAATGAGCATTGCAAATGCCCCTTGAGACAGCGATTCCCAGAGCCCCCTGAGGTGTCAACAGGGAGCTGGCCACCATGGAAACAACCCAGGCAGCCAATGGCTGGGCTAGTTAGGCAGTGTCCCTGCCCACACCACAGTCCTGAGTGCCACTAACACCAGTGCATTCGTCCATGGGGGGAGCACCTGTCAGGCACCAGAGCAAGGCACGTGGGGACATGGGGGTCTCGTCATGCATGAAGCTGGCAGGTTGCAGGGGGGGGTGACGAACAGTGAACAGCGAGGTGAGTGCCCTCTGCAGCTGCTACGGCTGCCATGGGCACAGGCGGGCGGATGGGCCTCATGAGGACAGGACATCTGCACCAAGCACTGAAGGACACAGCTGAAGAGGGGATGGAGGTACAGAGGCTCCGAGGCCAGGCGGAAACAAAGGCAAGCGGAGGATGTTGAGCGGCCATGAGGGAAGCCTCGAAGGCCAGGACTAAGCATGCCAACTCCCTTCCTGAGCTCTCAGGCAGCCCCAGGGCAGGGTGAGCACAGAGATGCAGTGAGAAAATCCACCAGGGCGGATCGGAGGGGATGGTGCTGCGTCTCCCTGTTGGGAGGTGCCGCTCCTCCACCACTCCCTGCCTTCTGTCCCCAAGGAGGCACTCGCCCAGGCCGGAAACTGGGCCGTCTCCTGCTGCCCCTCCCTCTCCACACCCACAGCCCCTCCACACACAGCTCGGCCCAGCCCCCGTCGGCAAGAAGAACGCATGCTAAAACCAATAGCGATCCATCTCCCTGCCTGCAAAATGCAGACCACATGCCCCGTCTGCCTCCTGAATCAATAAAGACAAATAATCCAACAGAAAAATAAGCAAAGAAAGGGACAGGAAATTCACAGAGACACAAATGTGCCGGAAATGTATGAAAACGCTCTCAGGCTCCACAGTGCCAGGAAGGCCCCCTTTTCCCATGGTCTGGCAAATATTTAAAAGACTGACAGTGTCCTGAGCTGGGCTCGGAGGGACCAGGGACGAGGGACTTGTGCCCTTTTGGTACAGGTACAAATCAGGACAGCCACTGGGGAGGGTGGCTTGGCAGAAGGCATTTCTATCCAACAATTCCTCTTCCAGGAATATCCCTTACATGTCTATTTGCATGTGGGTGCAAAGACATACGTGTGAGAATTTTCATCTCCACTAGGTGCACACAAGGTGTGCTAAAATCTGAAAGTACTTGGGAGCCAGTGCGTCCCATGCGCTTCTGATGGGCACAGTGGCAAGGACCCAGCGTCACCGAGGCAGGCCCTTGTCCAAAATGCTCAGCCAAACCCAGACATGAAGAAACAGACCAGTCCTGATGGTGGGACATGCCACAAGGCCACAGGTCTGGACTTTTCAAGTGTGTCCGTGGCACAAAAGAAAGATAGAAAAGGAAAAAAGGTAGGGAGAACATTCCAGAATAAAAGCTACTAAGGACAACGACACATGATAACCAACTGCAATGCATGATTCTGGGTCGGATCCTGGAGGAGAAAAGGTAAGCAAATACCCGCAACAGACAACTAGGGGTAACCGGGGCAGCCAGAAAGTGGACATTGCACAGGCGATGTTTTGCTATCGATAGGTACTAATGTATTGCTATGTCTGAATGCCTGCGTTCCCCAAATTCATGTGTCGAAGTCCTTGCCCCCAGTGTGAGGGTGTTAGGACGTGAGGCCTTCGGAAGGTGATTAGTTCATGAGTGTGGAAGCTTCATGAATGGGATTAGTGCCCTTTCAAAAGAGACCTCAGAGAGCTCCCTCGCCCCTTCTGAGTGTGAGGACACAGTGAGAAGACGTCATTGATGAACCAGGAAGCAGTCCTTTCCAGACACTGCATCTGCTGGTGCCTTCATCTGGGACCTCCAGCCTCCAGGACTGTGAGAAATCAATGTCTGCTGTTTATAAGCCGCCGGGCTGTGATATCCTGTGAGAGTGGCCCCAGTGGATGAAGACAGATGCTCTCAAGGAGCGCAGATGACGCGGGTTCCGAAGGACTCGGCACCCAGCCCGGAGGCCGGCAACATGGGCAAGGGGCCTCTCACGGCTGACCTGTTTCCTCATCAGCACATCAGGACAATAAGAGCTCCCACTTCACAGGTGGTGAAGAGCCAACGTGGTGAAGAATGAATAAAGCAGCTCGTGGAAAGTGCTGTGCATGAGGCCTGGCAACCGGTCCCTGCTCTGAGGTCACCTGCCACGGAGCTGCTGACAGGACCATTAAAAACACAATTGTGCAAGTGCTCACCCACATTCACAGCAGCAGAATCTCCACCAGCCAAGCATTGGAGACGATCCTTGCATCCATAGACATGAACAGATGAGCAAAACGTGGTCTATACGGACGATGAAATAGCACTCAGCCCTAAGAAGAAATAAAATCCCGACAGAGGCTACAGCATGGATGGCTCTTGAGGACACCATGCCCAGTCCCAGAAGGACAAATATCACAGGATGCCACTTATATGAGGTCCCAAGAGTCGTCAACTTCATAGAGATGGAAAGTAGAAGGGTGGGTGGCAGGGGCCGGGGAGTTAGTGTTGAAGGGGGACACGGCTTCTGTTTGGGAAGATGAGAGGGTCCTGTGGATGGATGGCATTGCTGGTTGCACAGCACCGTGTAAGTGTATGTGTTTAGTGCCACAGGATGGCACACTTAAGAATGGTCTAGATGGAAATATAATGTATACATAGTACCACTGTTTTAAAAAATGATGCCAATAGATGCTCTCTGTACCCAGGGCAGCAAAAATCCAAAACTAGACATGGGGGAAGGGCTCTGCAGTACCAGGTGGGGGCCTCGCCTTCTGCACCCCACGTGGCTGACTTTGTTTGTCAGTGGCCTGTTGCCCACCTGAGTACCCGGGACCCACCAGACAACTCGTGGTCTGCAGGGCATCTGCCAACAGCACCACTGTCTGAGTCATGCCGACAAGGCCGAGGGAAGCGGAGGAAGGAAGGTGCATGACATTTTCCCACTCAGTGTGGCTAAATGTACACCTCACTGCCTAGTGCCATGTCCTGCCACGTGGCCTCGGGTCCAGCTGCAACCTTCCAGAGCACACAGCGGGGCCTCCCCGCTCAGGCCTCAGGAAACCAAGTCCTGTCACTCGCTACTATGGTCTGAATGTTTGTGGCTCCCCCTCCAAATTTGTGTGAGAAAATCCTAACTCACAAGGCAATGTATTAGGAGCTGGGCCCTTGGGAGGTGATTAGGTCATGAGGGTGGGGCCCAAAGAGCTCATTGTCCCCTTCCATAGGAGGACACAGTGAGAAGGCCCCATCTATGAGGAGGCGGCCCCCAACAGAGCCCACTCTCCGTGCCTCCCTCTGGGACTTCCAGCCTCCAGAAGTGTGAGAGTTCAACGTCTGTCTTTGTAAGCCGCCCAGGCTGTGGTATTTGTCACGGCAGCCGGGCTGACTCATACACTGACCTGGGCACTCCTCAGGCCCTTAGTCCCCAGCAGGCGCTAGGACCCCCCCACTCTGCTTTAGGGGCTCACTGGCTCAAGGGATCCTGAGCTGGGTGAGACAGTCCCTGCTCTGGGAGTCCCTGGTCAAGGAAGACAGACAGAAAGGGCATGAACCCCGGACAAGTGGACAAGCCCATGCCTCACAGGGACAAAGACAGTGGGGGCGGCCAAGGGCCTGGGGAGTGGCCACAGACATCGTGCCCCATGGGGCAGGCCTCTGGTGGATTTGGGTGAAGGGGCAGGGGAGCGGGGGCGTCCCATGAGGGGAACCGCCTGTGCAAAGACACAGGGCTGGGGAAGGGCCTGGCCCTCATGGGAGCCCCTAAGAGCTCAGCCTGGCCGGGCACAGGCGGTGGTGAAGAAGGGATGGGAGGTGCAGTTGGCGAGAGGCAGCCACGTCGCAGCCCCTCAGCCAAGCTGTGGAGTCGCTCCCTGAGCACAGGGCTCACAGGCCAGCCTGACAGGGTCCTGCCCTCAAAATGCCCCCACCAAGTGTCAAATGGTGCAGCCACTGTGGAAAAGTAGGGTGGGCCCTCGAAAACTTAGAGATAGAATGGCCATTTGATCCGGCAGTCCCACTTTCTGGGTATTTACCCCAAAGAACAGAAAGCAGGCTCCCTAGGAGATACCTACACACCCACGTTCACAGCAGCCTTAGTCACATCAGCCAAGAGGCAGAAGCCGCCCAGGTGCCCTCCGGCAAATGAACTGATAAACAAAATGTGGCCCAGCCATTCAGTGGAATATTATTCAGCCTTAAAAAGGAGAGGAATTCTGACACAGGCTATGACATGGATGACCCTTGAAGACATTACGCTGAGTGAGATCCCAGTCACAGAGGGCAAATAGTGCAGGATTCCACTGATAGGAGGCCCCTAGAGTTGTTGAATCCACAGAGACAGAAGGAATGGGAGTGACAGGGGCTGGGTGTGGGAGAATGGGGAGTGAGTGTTTAAGGGGGACAGAACCTCAGTTGAGGGAGATGAAAAAGGTTCTATGGATAGACAGTGATGATGGCTACATCATCATTCAACCGTGTGAATGGACTTAATGTCACTGAATGGTATGCTTAAAAATGGTTAAAATGGTAAATTTTAGGGTGAGTGTATTTAATCACAATAAAAAATAAAATTTAAAAATACAAAACAATCATATGGAACCAAAAAAGAGCTCATATAGCCAAGACAAACCTGAGCAAAAAGACCAAAGCTGGAGGCATCATGCTACCTGACTTCAAACTATACTATGAGGCTACAGTAACCAAAACAGCATGGTACTGGTACAAAAACAGACTCACAGACCAATGGAACAGAATAGAGATCTCAGAAATTAGACCACACATACACAACCATCTGATCTTCAACAAACTTGAGAAAACAAGCAATGGGAAAAGGATTTAATGAATGGTTTTGGAAAAACTGGCTAGCCATATGCAGAAAATTGAAACTGGACCCCTTCCTTATACCTTATACAAAAATTAACTCAAGATGGATTAAAGACTTAAACGTAAAACCCAAAACAATAAAAACCCTAGAAGAAAATCTAGGCAATACCATTCAGGACACAGGTATGGGCAAAGATTTCATGACAAAAACATCAAAAGCAATTGCAACAGAAGCAGAAATTGACAAATGGGACCTAATTAAACTAAAGAGCTTCTGCACAGCAAAAGAAACTATCATCAGAGACTGGGTGCAGTGGCTCACGC
Source organism: Homo sapiens (assembly GCF_000001405.40). NCBI lineage: Eukaryota > Metazoa > Chordata > Mammalia > Primates > Hominidae > Homo > Homo sapiens. The sequence continues at coordinate 8,138,937 of NC_000004.12, forward strand.
CTGTAATCCCAGCACTTTGGGAGGCCTAGGTGGGTGGATCACCTGAGGTCAGGAGTTCAAGACCAGCCTGGCCAACATGGCGAAACGCCGTCTCTAATAAAAATACAAAAATTGCCGGACATGGTGGCAGACACTTGTAATCCCAGCTCCTTGGGAGGCTGAGGGCAGGAGAATTGCTTGAACCCAGGAGGCGGAGGTTGCAGGGAGCCGAGATTGCACCATTACGCTCCAGCCTGGGCAACAACAGTGAAACTCTGTCTTGAAAAGAGAAAACGGAAAAGGGAAAAGGGAAAAGGGAAGGGAGGGGAGGGGAGGGGAATGGAAGGGAAGGGAAGGGAAGGGAGAAAAAAAGAAAAGAAACTATTATCAGAGTGAACAGACAACCTATGAAATGGGAGAAAATTTTTGCAATCTATCCTTCTGACAAAGATCTAATATCCAGAATCTACAAGGAACTTAAACATATTTACAAGAAAAAAACAACCCCATCAAAAAGTGGGCAAAAGCCATGAAGAGACACTTCACAAAAGAAGACATTTACACAGCCAACAAACATATGAAAAAAGCTCAACGTCAATGATCATTAGAGAAGTGCAGATCAAAACCACGATGAGATACCATCTCACACCAGTCAGAATGGCGATTATTAAAAAGTCAAGAAACGACAAATGCTTGCGAGGCTGTGGAGAAACAGGAATGCTTTTACTCTGTTGGTGGGAATATACATTAGTTCCACCATTGTGAAAGATAGTGTGCTGATTCTTCAAAGATCCAGAACCAGAAATACCATTTGAACCGGCAATCCCATTAGTGGGTATATACCCAAAGGAATATAAATCATTCTATTATAAAGATACATGCATGTGTATATTCATTGCAGCACTATACACAATAGCAAAGGCATGAAATCAACCCAAATGCCCATCACTGATAGAATGGATAAAGAAAATGTAGCACATATACACCGTGGAATACTATGCAGCCATAAAAAAGGAAAGAGATCGTGTCCTTTGCAAGGACATGGATAGAACTGGAAGCCATTATCCTTAGCAAACTAACACAGGAACAGAAAACCAAACACTACATGTTCTCACTTACAAGTGGGAGCTGAACAGTGAGAACACATGGAAACGGGGAGACGAACAACACACACTAGGGCCTGTCAGAGGGGTGGGGGGAGGGAGAGCATCAGGATAAATAGCTAATGCACGCAGGGCTCAATACCTTGGTGTGGGTTAACAGGTGCGGCAAACCACCATGGCACACGTTTACCTGTGTAACAAACCTGCATGTCCTGCACATGTATCCCAGAACTTAAAGTAAAATAAAATTAAGAAAAAAATACAAAACAAAAGCAATGCTCCCCATCTGGTGAAGGAAACAGAGAATGTGGTCAAACACACCACAGGGAGCCATGCAGTGGGATCCTACACGGCAGCTAAGGAATCAGCCATGGCAGGGGATTTCATGCCAGGCAGGAACTTCGTGAAACAGTGCCAGAGGAGGACCGCATCGTGCACCACCTGGAGGCTTGGAAACCTGGCGGGGAGCATGGGGGAAAGGGGGCAGTGACACGGGGGCCTTGCCTGCATGTGGGAGCCACACGTGGCCTCTCTTTAACCGGCTTCAATGCCCCTTCAAAAACAAACGCGCATTCTGTCTGTGATACCGTTACTCCCATGGCCACTGCTACTGATGATGGAAGCAATGATGATAAAATCGACCCCAGAGAATACACAAGAGGGCAGTGACCCAGGGGAGCTGGGGCCTCCTGAAGGTCCCACGGAGGCCAGCAGAGAGTAGCACCCAGACACATGTGGAAGGAGGGAAAGGGCTGACGATATTCAGAAAAGAGTGCATTTACCCCAGCTCCTGAGTCAGGGTGGGGTTCAGGGCAGGGAGGTGGCTGCCAAGAAGAGCTATGAAGAATTAGAAGCTGGACCAATGCAGAGGAGGCCTGGGTGGTGTGAACGGTGTTTTTCTAGAACTCCTTACTCATTAAAATCCACGGTAAAGCCTGCAGCTGTGGGCTGGTCTCCAAGGCCACTGAACCTGACCTCAGGCTCAGGTGGACCCTGCCCCTGTCTCCAGGCCCCTGAGCTGCCCTTGCCTTAGCCTCACCTGTATAGATATTCTCGCCATCCTGCAAGTCATCTCCAGGTAGCGGGAAGGGACTGGGACTGGGAACAGACAGCCCTGAGCTCAAATCATAGCCTTGTCTCTTCCCGGCCATGTGACCTTGGCCACCCCCTCTCCCCACCCCCCGGAGCCCTAAGTATTTCTAAGAATTCTGGAATCACTCTAAAGAGATCACAAACATCGAAGTGCCTGGCCCTAAGCAAACAAAAGCTATAATCTTATGGATTATAAGACCCACAAGTCCAAGCCCCAGACATGACCTGCAGTTAATTACCAGCCCCTCTTCCTCCTCGGCAAATCACAGCCACACATGCCTCCTTCACAGCTTTCCCCGCAGCTAGCTTCCGTTGGCCTGAAGCTCACAGGCACCCAGGGAATGATCTTTGCCAAACACATGCACCAACATTTGAATAATTCAACTTCCATAAAAGGGGAAGGGAGGTTATGCTTAATATTAAGCAGACTATGCTTTTTTATTTTTTATTTTGTAGAGATGGAGTATCGCTATGTTGCCTAGGCTAGTCTCAAATTCCTGACCTCAAATGATCCTCCTGCTTTGGTCTCCCAAAGTGCTGGGATTACAGGAATGAGCACACAGTTCTGCTCCTAGTATCAGCCAGTTATGCTTGATATTAGGAGCAGGTTCACGTGCAGATCTATCCACAGGAGACCTATTTGGGAGGGCGCCTGTGAGTTCTAAGTAAAGGAGAATTTGCAACCAGTGCTACTTGCCACACTGTATCTAGGGTCCCATCTTAAATTTCATATGTCCACCTGGGTGGGGCCAAATGCTCCGCCTGCACTTTGAGTAGAGAGCGAATACATGCACCCTGGATCTGAGAAGAGGGGGAGGGCCCCCCCAGCTCCATGCAGGAGCCCACCAGAAAACCTAACCATGGGTGCACAGGGGAACAAGCTGCTTGGCCATGTCATCCTGGGGCCAGCGGGGCGCCGTGACCAGCCCACCTCCCTCCAGCTGCAAGCCCAGCCTCTAGTGGCGCAGCTGTTCGAGTTGTCCTGAGTCAGGTGGCACCATGGGAGATAGAGGGTTCTATTCCTGGCATAACTAACCCTCTTTCCTGGATCTGGGACAGCAAGGGCCAGGACACTGTCCAGGTCTCCACATCGGCTCGAGCCCCTCCCAGAGTGTCTGGGTCTCACAGTCTCTATGGCACTGACCCCCACTGCTGTAACTGCCTGCTCCCAGCTGGTCTCTCCTGCTGCCCGCACTGCCCGAGGGCATGGACTCTGCCTCACCTCACTGCCCCAACATCACCCCTGGGGCCAGCACCGAGGTGCAGCCCAGGGGGTGCACTGGCAGACTGCATTACGATGACTCTCCACCTTCGGGCACAGAGGGCACATGTCCTGGTCACCCGGCTTCCCCATTGCCCTCCCTGGCCCAGGAGTTAAAGAGCCACTAGCTTGAACAAGATGCTGCTAAGCCTCAAAACAAGTGCCCACCCCAGCCCTCTGCTGCTCTTGAGTGAAATTATGACAAGGGCTGTGGGTGTGCTGCATGGGCTCACTGGGGTCAGCTGCTGAATGGTGCATGGTGGGCGCTGGCATCCTTGATGTGTGCTCGCAGCCACGAGGTGGGCACAGAGGGGGACCAGGGCTCCTGAATCAGCGGCCTTGCCCTTGATGGCCCTCACTCTTCCCCTGCACGGTTGGACAAAGGTGCCACTTCCTGCAATTGTGCAGCACCAATTGTCCCCTCTCTGGACCCTGCCCTCCCCAAGGACAACACCATCCCTTTCTGGTCAACGAGCCCTCAATGAGAACATCAGCCTGGCCCGGCCCTTGAGGAACCTCAGGTCTGGGGAAGGTGGGAGGGCGAGGAAGATAGCTCAGTGAATGAGAGAGGAGGCACAGGGACGTGGCCTTGGGACCTGTTCCCTGAACACTCTCAGCCAGCTTCCCTCCCCTCTGCAGGCCCCCTCTTCCCATCTGCAAAGGCCCCAGTCCTCCCTTGACCCTGGCAATACCGGCTCTTGTCCTTCTTCTCCCCTTCCTTCATGGCTAAACGTCTTGAAAAGGGTGTCAGTGTCAACAGTGCCCATACTGGGAGCGGGGGCGAGAGTGGGGGGGGGGGGCGTCTGCAAATGCATCTCCTGGGGCCTGCCCAGCTCTATCACAGCGTCCCAGGCTGAGGCCCAGGCATCTGCCTGTTGTACTGTCAGCGGTCTCCACCCCTCTAAGGAAGGAGCTTCCTTCAGACACTGACTCCCAGGCCCCCAAGGCTGGGTTCCCTACACTGTCACTGAGCACGTACTACCAGCCAGGTGCTATGGGAGGTACCGGAGGACCACGGTGCACAAAAGGCAGATAGCACTGTGGAGCCCTGCACCCTGCACCCTACCCAGGGCCTAAGGTCAGGGCACGGATGAAATTCCTCAAACACATACTCTCCCTCCCATCTCGGGGGCTCTGCACTAGCTGTCCCTGCTGTCAGGTGCCCTTCTCCCACTGCTTTGTCTGGCTAACTCCTACTTGGTTGGATGTCACCTCCTTCAGGAAGCCTGCCAGGATTTCTCTCTCAGGCCAGGTTCACTTTCTCTCTGGCCCCACAGCCTGCCTCCCTGAGAAGTGCTTTCTCATGGAGTGTCATCGCTTACTGCATGCCTTCTTTGTTGGCTGGGTGCTCCTGGAGGGAAGAACTGCCTCCAGTGCCCAGCAAGAGGATCGACATGCTCCAGGGAACATACCACCTCTAGCCTCCCTGCCAAGCCTGTGGATGCTGCTTGGCTGCATGTTAGAGGACACGGCTGCCTGTCAGCCCTGGGGTGGGGCCAGGCCTTTGCAGCAGGCTGGGGGGTCTTCTGTGAGGGGCATCCTTCCTGGTGTTGGTCTCCTCGGGGAGCGGCAGGTCCTCACCGAGGAAACTGGCGCTCGGAGGGGAGGACTTAGGTCCTGGGAGAAACCACCAGCCCCCACCCTGAAAGCTGCCCCTTGGGGACTTCCCAGGTCAATGCCAAGGAGGGGCCGGCTGTAGCCTGATGGTCCTCTTCCTCCCAAGTCCAGAGCAAAGTCCTGCTGGCATCTCCTGCTGGGCCACAGGGGTGCCTGGCAGAGTTGGGGAAAGGGAAGGGATCAAAGCACCCAGCAGAGCCTCAGCGGGGAAGCAGCCCCTGGTGCTCGGCCAGAAATTCCTGGTAAAATCCCAATTTCCAGCAAAATACTCTTTCTAAGTTGTCAACCTCCTAGGAGGCTGTGGGTCACATTTTAAGGAAGAAGAGAGAGAGACAGTTTCTAAGTCCCTTCCAGAATCCGCATCCACCCCCTATGGCAGTGATGACACTGCCCCTTATGCCCCAGGGCCGCCGCTGGGGGACTTGTTCTATTTGAAAGGCAAGGCGTGGAGGAGAATCACAAATACGCAGACAGCACATAAAATGACTCCCGCGCTGAGCTGCGAGAAGGCTTGTGAAAGCCTCGCAGGAAGCTGACCCACATTTAATGCAGATTATGGAGGGAGGGAGGGAGGGCGCCATTCAGCTGAGCACAGGGTCTGGAAGGACACAGCCTGAGCTCCAGTGCCAGCCCAGCGGGTGACGCGGGGCAGGCTTCTCCATGTCACTTTGCCTCTATGTCCCCGCCTGTAAAATGGGGAGTCACAGCTCCCCACCCCACCACCTGGTGTGAAGAGGACTCACAGAGGTGACGCGGCCCACACTCAGCCAGTGTTATGACCCCCGCTATGCTGCTGTTCTCTACCAGCCACCGGGCACCCTTTTATCAAGAAGCGTGAGCTCTTTGGAAAGCATAAAAATGCACCATCCGCAAAAGGGATGTTTTTTATCAGGCGCAGAACTCTTTGTTCCCTATTGGCCTGAGAATTTGAAAGAACCCGTGGGGAGACACGCTCTGGGGAGGCGGCAGCACTGAGTGGGTGTTCTGAGAGGCAGGCATGCCAGTGGGAAGCCCACCTCCCATCTTTACCAGCCGTGTGACCTGGGGCGGGTCGTGCCTCCTGTCTTATCCAAGCACCCTCATCTGCCAACTGGGAGCAGTGACATCACCCCACAGGGCTTTGTGGTGTCGGAGATCAATCTACAGCCTCGCTCCTGTGCCCAGTGTTGCTAGGTGCTCTGTAAATGGCAGGTATTGATTTTTTTTTTTTTTCCAGACAGAGTCTCGCTCTGTCGCCCAGGCTGGAGTGCAGTGGCATGATCTCAGCTCACTGCAATCTTCGCCTCCCAGATTCAAGCAATTCTCCTGCTTCAGCCTCCTGAGTAGCTGGGATTACAGGCACACACCACCACGCCCAGCTAATTTTTGTATTTTTAGTAGAGGCGGGGTTTCTCCATGTTGGCCAGGCTGATCTTGAACTCCTGACCTCAGGTGATCTGCCCACCTCGGCTTCCCAAAGTGCTGGGATTACAGGCATGAGCTACCGCGCCCGGCCAGGTATTGATTTTCATTAGACAAATCAATCACTCCCTTTGGATCCCACTCTGGTGAGCGCCGGGGGTTCCTGAGGTTGCCAGCACACCCAGGATATATTTAGCTCTCTGCTGGAGCCCTGCTGGGTGCTAGCATTCCAGCTGAGGACATGAAATCTCAGGCCAGCTCCTAATTTCTCATTGGCAACCATGGATTTTGCTCCAGAGCAGAACTCCCTCTCTTTTATAACCGTAGACTAAATTATCCCCAGACTACACACTCATACACACACACACACACACACACACACACACACACACACACACACGAGATCCCTGTGCTTGTAACATGTCAATACCGCTCACAGCCCTAGCTCAACAGTGAAAGTCCACCTCTCAAAATAGAGTATCTCAGAGCAAGAGGACCTGGCCAGCCGCCGGGGAGGCTGACAGCTGCTTCCTAATGGAGTGTCCTTGAGAACTAGAATTGAGCAAACCCGCCACTAGCATGTCCTTAAAATGGATCAGCAGTGAAAACATAGAACAGCAAAGCATTAGGAACAAAGGAAAATTGCCCATGATCCTAGCACATTTTTTTTCTGAGATGTTTTTCTGCATCTTTTGCAGACTGTAAGAAATGATGCGTCCTGTATTCTTCGTCTACCACCAGCCTTCACATAGACTTTATTCATGCTTCATAATATTTTTAATGCACAATATTCCATCTTTTATCAGCAGCTGTCAAAGTATGGTCTAGGGCAGTCCTCAGGACCTCACACAGGGTTTGGTGGTCAAAATCCTTTCAATAACAACACGAAGATATGGTTTCCCTTTTCACTCTCAGTCTGTCCTGAGTGTACAATGGAGTTTTGCAGAGGCCGCATGACATGTGACGTCACAACTGATTTAACACAGGGCAGACGTCAGAATCCAGCCGTCACCTACAAAGTCAGATATTAATGAGATTTGCAAAGCTGTAAAGCAGTGCCTCGGCTCGCTAAAAATGCTCTTATGTTAGCGTGCAGAGCAGTCATTGTCCTTTTGCGGTTTAACACATTTTTTATTTTTCAATTTTCATTTATTTATATATATTTTTGGAGACAGGGTCTCACCGTGCCACCCAGGCTGGAGTGCAGTGGTGCAATCATGGCTCACTGCAGCCTCAACCTCCCAGGCTCAAGCGATCCTCCTGCCTCAGCCTCCAGAGTAGCTGGGACTAGGCACATGCCCAGCTAATTTTTTTATTTTTTGTAGAGGCGGGATCTCACTATGTTGCCCAGGCTGGCCTTGAACTCCTGAGCTGAAGTGATCTGTCCACCTTGGCCTCCCAAAGCGCTGGGATTACAGGTGTGAGCCACCATGCCCAGTCAACAAATGTTTTTTTAAATTGTTTTAATTTCGAATACAATAAATATCAAGAAATATAATGCACATAAGCAAAAGCTCTCTGGGGTCCTCAGTAATTGAACCCTGAGGCCCTAGAAGTTTGATAAATGCTGCCATAGATGGACAGGAATTTCCTTAGCCAGTGTTCTGCGGTTGGACATTTACGTTGCAGAGCATGTAACCCCTGCAATCAACGGCTTTTTATTTCTGAAATTCATGTCTGTGTTTCAGAGGCTTTCTTCAGAAGAGATTCCCAGAAGTCGCATTATTCCATCAAAAGGCATGAATGTATTTAAGTCTCCATACATTTCACCTAACTGCTCCTCAAAAGATTAGACCAATTCATATTCTTATCCACAGTCTGTGACAGGATCTAACTCCCGGGACGTTTAAATTTAGCGAGTAACATTTTTTTTATCCTATGAGAAGTCATTCTCACTCTCTCATCCATCCTAGAGACTCCACAGGGAGAAGAAAAGGTATTGACCCGGTAAACAGGATGCACCAAGAGACTACCTGTGCCCGGCTGAGTAATGCCTCCCCCAGAAGATATCCCCATCTAATCGCTAAAACCTGTGACATATATGGTTAAAAGGGGAGGGGTCTTTGCAGATGTGATTTACATAAAGCGTCTAGAGACTGGGAGATGATTCTGGATGCTATGGGCGGGCTCTGAGTGCAATCTCAAGAGTCCTTATGGGGAGGAGGGAGCGGGAGACGACACACACAGGGGAGAAGTAGCATGAAGATGGAGCTGAGGGAGGTTTGAAGACTCTGCCTTGAAGATTGGAGCAACGTGGCCACAAACCTCAGAATCTGGCAGCCACCAAAGCTGCAGGGGTGAGGACTGAGCCTCCCCTGAGCCCCCGAGGGAGCTGCCAGCGCCGTTTAGCCTCGGACACTGACATTGAACTGCTGGCCTCCAGAGCTGGGAGGAAATGCCTTCTCTTGCTTTAAGCCTCCCAGCTTGTGGTCACTGGTGACCGCAGCCCCTAGACACTCACAGGTGGCCTTTGCCCAGCACTCTGGTTGTGCCATCTTCCCTGAGCGAGGCACGGACCTGCACAAAACCCTTTCTTTAATGGGTGAATCGCCCTTTAATCACGAAGTCAGCCCTAGGCCCAATATCCCAGAAGAAGGGGCACGAGTCAGGGCCCAGCTGCAGACCAACCCCAAACTCTGGTGTGGTTCCCTGAGGCCCAGGTGGGCAGGCAACAAGGGATAGTGGCCCGACCTTGCTGGGGGAGAAACCCCTCACCAAAGCCCACCATGCGCACCTTCCCCGGCAGAGAAGGGGTTTGGAGTGGCAGGAGGCAGGGGCAGAGGGAGAAAAGGAAGACGTGGCGGCGGTGCAGCAGAAGCTCTCCTGTGGGGGCCCTGGGCCAGGCAGGTTCTGAAGGGCCCAGTGTGTCTGGAGGGGAGAGGATGAGCTGGTGGATGAGAGGGCTGCAGCTGCAGGTGACCTAAGCAGCACTGTGGGCCTGCGGAGGCCTCCCCACTGGATTCCAGAGGGGGCTCTGGGCCTACAGTGAAGCAGGGCCCACAGGAGGTGAGGGAGCCGCTCAGGACGCGGGGGGGCCATGGCGCACCACAGTTAGGAGTGCGGGTTCTGCAGCTGGCACGGTGCTTCTCAGCCGAATCACCTCGGGAGAGTTACCTAATTCCCTGGGCCTCCGTTTGCTCACCTGTGAAGTGGGAATACTGGTAGTCCCGAGCAAGGAGCTCTGATGTAAGGATTATAGGGTGAAAGCACATCGCGGTGCTGGGTCCACACTGGGGAAGCGCGTAAGCCGTTCCCCCGTGGGCATGCACAGCAGAGTCCTGCTTGCCTGGAAGCAAATGCTACATCCCAAGGTGTCCATTGCCCCAAACCACACAGGAACTCAGAGTCGGAAAGATCCTCTAGGACAAGCCCAACCCCAACAGAGATGAGGAGGCCAAGGCTCAGGGGGTACATGGCCTGGGCTGGTTCCTGGACCCCCACCTCTCCATGAGACCACCCCTATCTCCTCCCAGAGCTGCTGATGTACCAAGAAACCTGGGCTCCGCAGGCACCCGGGAGATCAGGCCACGCCAGGACCCGGGATCTGGAGGCACCAGGGAGAGTCCAGCTGTGCCAAGGCCCAGGGTCCCCAGACACTACGGAGAGTCAGGCCACGCTGAGATCTGGGGTCCCCAGATACCAGGGCAGATCCAGCCAGAGTGTGAAGGGGTCTGTAGGGCTGGGGCCATCTGGAGGCTCCGGGGGAGATCCACTTCCGTGCCTCTTCCAGCTTCTAGGGGCACCCGAGTTTCTTGGTGTGGGGCCCCTCCCTTCATCCTCAGAGCCAGGCGTGGAGACTTCTCTCTCCTCTCTGCTGCCTCCTGCCTCCCGTTAGCGAGAAGCCTCAGGCCCCCTGAAATCCAGAGCAGTCTCCCTGTGGCAAAATCCTTCACATAGTCGCATATGAACAGTCATTTTGCCGCATGAGGTCACATAGTCACAGGGCCTGGGATTAGGACATGGGCACCTTTGAGTCCACTGTTCAGCCCCCCAACACCATCCAAGAGGAGGTATTTCAGAGAGGGCAGGTCCCAGCTCCAGGCTGCAGAGCAGGCAGGAGCAGGCACAAATCTCCACAGGAAACCCCAGCTTGGTCTGTGTCCACAGGTTCAGAGGAAGGAGGGAAGCAGAGGGCCTAGAGATGGGAAGAAAGCTTCACAGAGGCCCTGGAGTCCGGCAGAGCCTTGAAAGGGAGAGGAGGAGGGACTCCAGGGGAGCGGGGGCAGGCAGAAGGCGGCAGGAAGAATGCAAGGCTGTTGGGGGATCAGGGCAAAGACAGCACATAGTAGGTGCTTAATAAATAGTCGTGGAGGGACAGAAGGGACATTCTGGAAGAGCTCTGAGCCCTTGGGAGGCTGTTGACTGCTGGACACAGAGAAGGCCCGGACCTAGGCTGAGACTTCCCCAGCACCTCACACTCAGGACTGGCCCTGCGCCCAGACAGGACGGGGCCTATGGAGTAAGACCCCACACAGCCGGTCCCTCTGTGGGACGATTCAGAGGCTCCCAGTGGGACTGAGTCCCCACTTGCCAGAGTGGTGGCCCCCATCCAAATGCCCCCTCCTGGCTTCCCCTCCCTTCCCCCCTTACCCTCCTCACACCTCCCTCGTGCTTCCTGGGGTCACCTCCTAGGTAAACCACCTGCACCCAAGTTCCCACTGCACCTACTCAGGGAGCCTAAATGGAGAGAGTTGTGGGGCAAAGGGGTTGGAACATCATGAGGGCATTTGAAACTAGGCTGCCAGGTTGAAGGTCTGGATGCTCCTTGGAATTCTTCCTTCTGGGCACTTCGTGTCCAGCTGCAGCATCAACTGATGTCATTTTCCATGTGCGATCCCGGGGACACTGAGGTCTGCAGAAGCAGAGGGTCAGAGAGACAGGCCAGGCTGTCTTATGGAATGACGGCAGACAGATGAGGAGGCCATGCTGAACTGGGGACGGAGTTCCACCCATCACACATCCTCCACTCCTTGGGTGTTCACGAAATGCCTCCTCTCATTCTACCTGAGTGGCTTTCAGGGGAGCCAGTACAAGGCCCCATCGTGCCCTGAGGACAGACGCCAGCGAGGACAGAGGCAGCATGCTAGCCGCAGTGACACTGAGCACTTTTCTTGGTGCGCTGGCTGGACTCACATTTCCAGATCGTCTCTCTAACTCGTCTCTCTAAGCACAGAGAAACCAAAGTCCCAAACTTCCAGCACAGGGTGCGAGCTCCGTGCCGGAGGCGGGAGGAGCCACTGCTGCTGCCTGGGATGGGGGCTGCTCAGTAGAATGCAGCTAAAATGAAGCTTCGAGCTGAGACCGATGACTCAAGACACCACGCCTCCTGAGGATGCTGTGCCGAGAAAACCGGGAGCTGGGTGGCTCTCTGGAGACGGTGCTTCTCCTGGCACTGGGCTGCAGCCTTGTAACCAGGACTGAGATGGGGCTGGCAGGGGAGACAGCAGGACCAGAGAAGGGGAGGGGAAGCTATGAACCCAGCCTAGGGTGTGGCTGATGATGCCAAAGCGGCTCCCACGGGGCACGACGTCAGGTTTGTCCCTGAGCTGTGAAGGGTATTTACAGCTGTGACAAAGGCCATTCTGCCCGTTCCCTGGTGCCTGCCGTGCCCAGGCCCTTGACTCTCACTCAGCATCTCTGAGTCTACAGTAACCCCTCAAAAGCAGCTGTCATCACCTGTACTTTTTATGTGGGGAAACTAAGGCAAAGGGCATTTAAACAATCCGCTTGGAGAAACACACAACTAGCAAGTGACGATTGGGGCTGGAGCCCAGGTGTGCCCAGCCCCAAAGCCAGTGCATCTTCTGAGGCACCCAGACTGGCCCCCTCACATTTGGAAATGTTCAGCCAAGGGAAGTGACATGAAGCCACCCAGCTCGTTATCCGCAGCAGACCTGTTTGTTGTAGGCCTGGAAGCTGCTGATGGCGAGAAGCCCCAGAGCCAGCCCTGGCACCCACAAGGACCAGTGAGCGTCCCAGAATCCAAAGCCCCCTCCTCCGCCCCAGTCCTTCCCACAGACGCGAGGGACCCAGCTGCCCTCCTAGCTCGAGCTCCAGGCAGACATCCACAGAAGCTGCTAATCCACAGGCGGCAAGGCACCTCCCTCCACGCCAGAGACCCTCAGCGTGAGGCCCAAGTACTGCTCACCCAGCTGGGAGCATCTCGAGAGCCAGATGAGAAAGGTGGGCGCAGCAGGGTCCCTAAAATGGCAGCCAGGCCTCACACCCAAACAGTGGGCGGGGTGGGGCGGTGGTGTCAGAAGAAAGCAGGGTTGTACCCCGAGGATGGCAGTGGCCCTGTTTTTACAGATGGGTACACTGAGGCACAGAGGGACGATGACTTGTCCAAGGTCACAGAGGTCCAGGCGAGGGGCTGGAGACGCTGCTGGGCTGGGCTGTGTAAGCAGGGGGAGAGGCACTGCCTTCAGTGGAACAGATGGGCCCTGGGGGGATTGCAGGACTTGGGGTGGGGGTGGGGGAGTCGGAGCAGAGGGTCAGGGTTCCAGGGGGGCACATGGGCTCAATGTGGTGAAAGTCCTTCTCAGGCCCAGGCTATCTGAGGGTGAGTCACAGAGGCCATGCAATGACGCTAGGCAGGAACCCCCATAGGAGGCGGGTTTGGGTCTTGTCCTGCCTCCTGGCTCTGTGCTGGCAGGTCCCGCAGCTGGAAAATGGGAATAACACACCACGGCCCAGGCGAGAAGATGGGCTGTGTGAGACCCTCACCAAGAAGCGCCATCATGATGCCCCCAAACGGGCCAGGCTTTATCCACACCAACACTCAGCCACGCGTTATGAGGCAGCAACCAATCCCCCACAGCCACCGGCTAAAGCACGCAGGCAGGGGATAGGCAGACAGCGCCCGCCTAGCCAGGGATACGCGTGTTGCGGCTGAGTCGGGCACACTGGGGTTCAAATCCCAGCGCTGCCATTTACAAATCACGTGACACCAGGCACCAGACGGGACTCGCAGGCATTTCTTCCTCCGTAGGTAGAGATGCCACCGGCCGCTCCGAGCAGCGCTGCGAGGACCCCGGGAGGAAACCTATACGAGCATCTGGCCCAGGGCCCCAGGGCGGCACTTGATGAGCCGCAGTCTCTGCGACATTTAAGCCTGTCCCACCTGGGTGCTGCCCGACACCCTAGACACCCTGAGCAGCCCTGGCGATGGAAAAATTCCTTGAGTAAATTAAGACTGCTCGACTCGGGTTGCTCTGTGCTGGGTGCGAGCCTCGGAGGTCTGCTCTTTCGGGGCTTCCCCGGGACTGGGACAGCCGCGTCCATCATGCGGGGATGACTGCAGGACCCATGTGATCAGCCTCAAGCACTAGGAGCTATCCCAGGACATGACCCATGTTTTCCTATTGCAACTATTTTAACAACCTCTGTGAGCCTCTACCACGTGCCAGGCAGAGACTGGTCAGCTCATGAGACCCTCAATCCCTACCAAGACTCTGGGGAGGGGCAGCAATGGAAAGAAGGACACAGAGGTCTTATCTTTGATCATGCTAGCAAGTGGCAGGGCTGGGTGTGAGCCTGAGACCCCACTTCAAGGTAGGTTTTACGGAGCCCTACCCAGGCAGAGGCACAGCCAAGGGGTGCAGCAAGGAAGGGCCCTAAGTATCTTTGCAGGGAAGGGACTATGGAATCTAGGCTCTGGGGTTGGTTGATGGCATCAGGCCAGCAGCCTGATCTGGCTTCAAGGATAGGCAGTGCCCGCTTAAAGGGCCAGCGACAAGACAGGCCCCTTCATCTCCCAGTCTTGCCAATTTCCTCTCGAGCTCAGAGGTCTCCCGTGACCCAGATGATGCTCTGGAAGCCCAGGGTGCGGGCCAGGCAGCTTTTCCATGAGTCAGGGACACACACCTTTTTCTGGGACAGTAAGATTGAACTTTCCAAGAGTTCATCAAACTCAAGACTTGATTCTACAAAATATCCTATCTACCCCCAAACCATCTCATTGACAGAAACCATAAAGAGTCAAAGGATCTTGAGTGGCCAGGTTAGGAAGGAACCCTGCACATCACGGAAGAACAGGGCAGAGCTTGGGGGTGACCAGGTTAAGCGGAGACTGCCAATGCCTGGGCAACGGCAGTCCTCTCCAGATACAATCTCAGATGAATTTCTGGGTCAGGGGGGTCTGGCTTCTGCTGCACCTCATTCAGAGTGGAGTCAGGCAGGGAAAATCTGCAGCAGTGCAGCTGCCTGTGCTAAGCTCCCTCGATGCTGGGAGACACCCCCATCCCACGCAGCAGATAGTGGCCCTGCAGAACGGAATCGCCGGGCTTCTCCCGGAGTGATGGGTTTCTACCAGCGCTGGAGGCAGAGTGTGCTCTCTTCTTTCCATTTGATCTTTCAGTACAAAAGAAAAGGGCACACAATGAAGAAAACTTGGAAAACACATGGAAAGTAAAAAGGTGCAGAAGACGGAAAACTTTGTTCCTTCTCCCACATCTTACAGATGGGCACCGACGGCACTTCCCGACATTGCCTCCCTCACTGTTTCTGTAGAGTTGACATCCTATATGAAATACAATTTTGTCCTGAGCTGTTTTCTAAATTAAACTTCTTTTCTTTTTTTTTTTTTTTTTGAGATACAGTCTCACTCTGTCGCCCAGGCTGGAGTGCAGTGGCGTGATCTCGGCTCACTGCAAGCTCTGCCTCCCAGGTTCACGCCATTCTCCTGCCTCAGCCTCCCGAGTAGCTGGGTCTACAGGCACCTGCCACCACGCCCAGCTAATTTTTTGTATTTTTAGTAGAGATGGGGTTTCACTGTGTTAGCCAGGATGGTCTCCATCTCCTGACCTTGTGATCCACCCGCCTCGGCCTCCCAAAGTGCTGGGATTACAGGCGTGAGCCACCGCACCCAGCCACTTATTTTCTTTTCTTTTCTTTTTTTTTTTTTTTTTTGGAGACAGAGTCTTGCTCTGTCACCAGGCTGGAGTATAGTGGCACGATCTCAGCTCACTGCAACCTCTGACTCCCTGGTTCAAGCGATTCTCCTGCCTCAGCCTCCTGAGTAGTGGGGATTACAGGCACCCACCACCACACCCAGCTAATTTTTGTATTTTTAGTAGAGATGGGGTTTCACCATGTTGGCCAGGATGGTCTCAATCTCCTGACCTTGTGATCCACCCGCCTCGGCCTCCCAAAGTGCTGGGATTACAGGCGTAAGCCACCGCACCCGGCCAATTAAACCTGTTTTCTTAAGCATTTTCTCCTAACATTAGAAATTCTTTACATATGTAGTTAATTCTTCATGTGGGTAGTAACTTCATATACATCTTCCCCACCGCCCAATTAGAATGTAAGTTCAAGAGAACATAGATTTTGGGTTGTTCTCGTCTGTTGCTGAATCCCAGGGCCTGGAGCAGCGTGGGCTCACGTATTAGTCTGTTCTCATGCTGCCAATAAAGACATACCCAGGACTGGGTAATTTGTAAAGGAAATAGGTTTCATGGACTTACAGCTCCACATGGCTAGGGAGGCCTCGCAATCATGGCGGAAGACGAAGGAGGGGCAAAGGGACGTCTCACATGGCAGCAGGCAAGAGAGCGTGTGCAGGGGAACTGCCCTTTATAAAACCACCAGCTATCGCCAGCCTTAATCACCACCATGAGAACAGTATGGGGGAAACCACCCCTGTGATTCAATTATCTCCACCTGGCCCTGCCCTTGACACGTGGGGATTATTACAACTCAAGGTAAGATGTGGGTGGGGACACAGCCAGACCGTATCAGCTCATAGTAGGCATTTTGTGCATCTTTGCTGAATAACGAGTGAGTGAGATGGAACAGATGGCTCATATTCCATCACTGGCTTCCACGGTTTGGTGGTTTCTAACATTTTGTTGTTACTAGTAAGTCTGAGATGAATGTTTCTGTGGCTACATCATTGCCCATTCTTGGATTAGGTGAAGAAATGTGTCTCTGTTCCAAATACTAGGATCTGCACCGTCCACAGTCTGGGGACTAGGGCTCAGGTTCGGGCTCTGCCACATCCTCTCCTTGGCCCTGGACAGCTGCTTTTCCTTCCCTAAACCTTGGTTTCCCCCTTTGTGCAGGTGGGTGGGTTTGGGCTGGAACATTCCTCATGTCCCTTCCAGTTCCATGATCCTAAGAGCAGCATGGAAACAGAAGGCTGAGCCAGCCACAAGGCCGCCCTTGGCCCCGCACCCCTGTTATGGACTGAATTGTCTAAATTCATATGCTGAAGTCCTAACCCCCAGTACTCCAGGATGTGACTATGCATGGAGACAGGACCTTTAAGGAGACCACTAAGGTGAAACGAGGTCATGAGGGTAGGCTCTAACCAAGTCTGGCTGGGGTTTTCATAAGAACAGATTAGGACACAGACACACACAAAGGGAAGACGGGACGAGGACACAGACACACACAAAGGGAAGACGGGGCGAGGACACAGACACACACAAAGGGAAGACGGGGCGAGGACACAGACACACACAAAGGGAAGACGGGGCGAGGACACAGGGAGAGGGCGGCCGTCCACAAGCCAAGGAGAGGGGCTTTGGAAGGAAGTAACCCAGCTGACACCTTGATCTCAGACTTCTGGCCTCTAGAATCAGCAAAAAAATAAGTGTCTTCTCTTTAAGCCACCTGGTCTTTAGTACTTTGTTATGGAGCAAATTAACACAACCCCTCAGGAGCCTCTGTCCACCTGGGGGAATCTGATCTGCCAGGCCAGCAGCTGCCCAGGAGGATATTTAGGCTCAGAAGGAGCACAGGCCTTGCTCAAGGATCTGGTGCCCACTGGTGGCAGACCTGGCACTGGAATCCCCCCACCCCACCCCCTGCCCCAGCTCAGGTACCTTCCTCAACCCCACCCCCTACTGGTCCCCTTGTGACCACATGGGCTGCAGTGAGATGAAGCTACACCACACTGATTGTCACTTGCTGGGCTCACCATGTGTGGACTGGCCGGCCATACTACTGGGGAAACTGAGGCAGGGGGCGCCCCACAGCTAGGACATTGGATTCGGATCCAGGCCTGTCTGGTATGGGATGCCATCTCCTTCCACCTTGCCATGTGCTATATAAACAATCGCTCTGGCCACCTGAAATCAACAGGCAACAAAAGTAAGGCAACTGCATGGCCTCGATCCACACCTGGGTCATCCTGGAGGTGCCCTGTGTCAGGAACTGAAGACATGGACACAGCCCAAAGGAACAGGGAGCCTGCAGCACACGAGGGTTAGACAGGCTGCCCTGGGCTCTAAGCCTTCGGCCCATTTGGGCAGCTGGAGACTGGACCAGATGATGCTCAGCCACTCCTACCAGTGCTGAGCTCTGGAATAATGCCAGCGGGTGTGGGGAGGGCCACAGGGGACCTGCCCTTGTTGCCCTTGTTGATGATGGAAGCTCCTGTCCTGCCAGACATACACAGTGGCCGGACGTTAGAGCCCACATGCCAGGAACAAGGGACCATGCTGTCTGCTCTCCCCCACTGTGTGGGTGGAATGCCTGCTGTGCGCATCATCGGCTGGGGACAGGGCTGGGCAGGGGCGACAGGTGGCCCGGAGAGCACACATTGCCAGTTCCAAAGGGCTGGATTGATTCAGAGGGTCTGAGCTGAGCTGGCCACCCAGCAATGACCATCCCAAACTACCGAGGGCCTCCCAGGTGTGGGGCTCTTCATGTTGTACCTTGTCCCCTCCAGGCAACCAATGCTACTGCTCTTACAGGTCAGGAAGCCAAGCTCTGGAAGGTGCCACCTATGCCTAAGACCACCAGGCAGTCACCATGGTTCAAACCCCAGTCTCTGCCCCCAACTGCCCCAGTGCCCCCACACCCCTTCTCGTCAGATGCAGAGGAGAGATGCCAGCACTGCTTCTGAGGCTCTCCCTGATGACAGGGGGGACCACAGGTATCAATTATGGCCACAAGAAGCATAAAATTACTCTGTGTGCACCCAGCCATTATCCCCACCTGCCATTAGATAAATGTGTCTGGAGGTTCTGCCAAGTCTCAGGGTGCCCTGCTCCCCAGCCACTCCCAGATAACTAGGTTGGCCATTTCAGAAATCCTCTTCCAAAGGGTTCTGCCTCTGACCTCCCCAACCGCCTGCCATTGCTCTCAGCTACTCCCAAAGGCTCCCGGCAACGCCGTCCCTCCTTCCTTGGATTGGAGGGGGAGGGAGACAATCTCCCCAGGGAGGGGAGTCCCTGGCCCTTAGCCCCCGCCCCCTTCTAGGCCTACAGCCCACAGGAAGCTCTTACTAAATTCACATTCTCTCCCCAGTCCGATCTCCCTCAGGGGAAGCGGCTGTCCCCATTGGTTTCTGCACCATGGCCAAGGGCCATACTGCAGTCCCTGGCGCGACAGGCTTAGAGGAAAGAGCACAAGAGTCAGTGAGCCCGGGGTTCGAATCCCCGCCCCCCCTTCCTGAGCCAAGCAAGTGACTCAAGCCTGGTGCGCCTCGGGTCACACCCTGAAAAATGGGGTGACAGCCCTTCCCTGCCGGGAATGCAACGACAAGCCCTCAGCCCGGTGCGGGCCCCAGGAGGCTCTCAGATCCGGGCATCCTCAGGCCGCCTCCAGGGCTCACCGCCAAGGGCTCCAGTTCTAGGTCTCAGTTTCCCCAACAGCACAAGGCGCGGCTGGGCTCCAGCGCTGTGGGATTTTTCCAGCCCCGCACAGAGGCTGTCAGATCCCGGAGGGTGGGTGCGGCGGGAAAGGCAGGGGTGCGACGCGCAGGGGCGAGGGGCTGGAGACGCGCAGAGATCGGGTCGGGGCCGGGTCTGACACATGCGGGCTCCGGGTCCCCAGATCTGCTGCGGAGAGTCCTGGGCGCCGAGGGTCGGCCTGACGCCCCCAACCCAGGCGCTGCCAGAGCGGCGCAAGGGCGGCGCCCCCAGCTGCAAAGCCCCGCCTATCATCTCACCTCTGCGTGCCTAGGTCTGCTGGGGCCCCGGCCCTTCGCCCGGACCCCAGGCCCCCGCGCGGACCCTGACCGCTTTCTGCAGCCTGGAACAACCCGGACCCCCGTGAGAAGCAAAGAAGGGGCGCCTTCCAGACATCCTGGCGCAGCCACGCCGGCCGGCGCGCTGGGAAAGGATCCCCGGCCCGCGCCACTGAGCTACGCGCTCCGGGCGCAGGGCAGAGGGCTGCGCTCTGGCCCCTCGGGGCTGCAAAATCCTGGAGCAAAAGTTGGGTGGAGCCGCTGGGTGATTTTCCCCGGCGTTGCAGGTGCAGCCTCCGAATGCCACCCAGCCCTTGCGGCGCCGCGAGCCAGCGCGGGGACCCGTTGGTCCCTCGGTCCCCAGCACCCACCTGCACTCATCTCAGCAGCCGCTCGGAGTCGGGGCGGCCCGGCGCTGCGACAGCCAGACCCTCGGGCCCGCAGGTGCCGCGCCCGCGCTATCCTCCGCCCGCCCGCCGGCTCCGCGCCCGCTCCTTGCGCACACGCCAGGCAGCGCCGCCGCAGCCCCACGGCGCGCAGGCCACGCCCGTGCCACGCCCACTCTCACGCCCCTCCTGGCGGCCCCGCCCCGCGCCCCCGCTGCCGCCCGGGAGCACCCTGGGAAGTGTAGGCACCTCGACGCCACCGCTCCGCCTGGCTCCCCAGCTGCGGGGCGATCGGACTACAAGTCCCAGCACGCTTCGCGGCCAGCGCAGGCGCAGACGGGCGACGGCGGCTGAGGCCTTTCGCAATCGTTCTTAGATCTCTGCAGAGCTGTCGCCACGGCCTGAGGGGCGACGTGGGGACTGCCGCTCACGGAATCCGGGAGTCGCTAGGAGAGCGGCGCAGGGAAAAGCGAGCTTGGTGCAGCTCTTCTTGAGTAGTCGAGCTACAAGGCGCCTGAAGACCTTCTGGGCCAACTCTTCTTTACCAGTTTACAGAGAGGGAAACTGAGGCGGGGGCGGTGCTCGGGCAGGATTAGCCCGCATCCGTCGGCGAGGCTTGCACTGGTGGGGATTCGTGCGCAGGTTTCCTGCCTCCGGGCTTGGGCTGTCCGCGCCTCGCCACCCACCCCAGGCTCCCGTCGCTCCTCGCCGGCTGGCGCCCAGCTGGGGGGTGCACCGGGAGAGGTGGCGCGGCTCACTTCGGCGCAGTCCCCGGCCCCAGCCTCCACGGTGACCGGCTACCCTGTGACATCAGGCGCCCAGCACAGGGCCTGGACGCGGGTGCAGGAGAGGGAGTCAGGGAACGGGGAGGAGCAGGGGTCCCCACTGTGTGCCTGGTGCGACAAAAGGCGAGCTGCAGAGAGGTCGGGAGGAGCCGGCAAACACAAGGATGCCCACCAGGCGCGGAGGGCCTGGGCTGGAGGAGCATTTAGGATGCAGAATCGCGGGAACCTGGCATGGAGAGAGAGGCCAAGGACTTTTGGCTTGGGCCAGGGCTGTTTGGAGATGCTTTCAACAAGTGGAAGAAGATTGGGCACAGAAAATGTAGACTGAATGGAACACTGAGGCAGGAGCAGGTACTCCTCCCCCTCCCTCAGCAGCAGCCATCTCCCCCAAGAGGGGCCAGGATGGGAGGCCAGGAGTACAGTGGCTCAGTGGGGGAGCTGAAGTCCTGGGGAACCAGCCAAGCCCCACACACCCTAGAAATCCAGGAGGCCCAGCTAGGTGATTCTGCCCGCAGCCGCAGGGTTCCCATGCCAGTCCACTGGGATCTTGTGCCATGTAATTGAGGGGGCGCCAGATCTAAGGATCAGTGAACTAATGTGTGCCATGACCCAGTGTGAGTTGAGATCAATAAATGTCTTTGCTTTGCTATTATTATTCTCTGTGGCTAACATAGGGCCTGGCACAGAGCAGGCAGTCTGCAAATATCTGTTGAATAAACGGAGAGAAGGATAGAGGGGAGGGGAGAGTGCTGGCACCTGGCACTCCTGGATCATAGCCTGAGAGGTAGGCCAGGCACCCACCTGCCGTAGGTACACCCTGCTGCCACTTGCCCTCTAAGGAGCTCTCGGTCAGGCTCCCCCGCAGCCTCTGTTTCCTCCCTCTGTTTCCAAAGGCTCCTGAGAACCTCCCAGGGGTGCCATGATTTCCCCCACACAGCCTGGTGAGGACGGCAGGGAGCCCTCACACCTCTCTGCCAAGACCCTGTGAGCCAGAGGGTGGATGTGGGTGCCCCATTCCAGACTGGTTCCAGAGCCCAGGACAAGGGGCTGGGGAGCCTTAACAGTTCTCAACCTGGAAGGGCCTCGGGGCCATGTGGTTCCAACATCTTCTTTCACAAGGGCAGAAACCAAGGCCCAAAGACATACTGCCTCAAGTCACCCAGCAAGTTAGTGACAGGGTGGGGCTTGAGCCAGGTCTTTTCTTTCCTTCCTGCTCCGTGTCTGCTGAACTGGGACTTCAGCGAATCTGCTGGTTGAATTGAATCGATTGAAACAGACTTGGTTCTCTGTCCATGGTACTACAGGCCAGGTGTGACCTCAGGCAACTTGCTTGCCCTCTGTGTGCCTCAGTTTCTATATCCTTCAACTCACAGTGCATACATACCCCTTAGGATTCTCAAACACCTTCAGTGTGCTGGGCTTTCTAGTCCTAGTGAAGAAGATAGACAAGAAATCATTTCACATGCCACAAGATTCATTCTAGAAAAATGCTGCCCCTCTTATTTTTTAGCAGGCCTGGTGGGGTGTCAGGGGGTCTTCAAGGGGCTCATGGACACAGGGAGGCCCCAAATATGTCAAACCAAGGTCCTTTAAAGGTTTATTAAAAGGGGACCGGGCGCGGTGGCTCGCGCCTGTAATCCCAGCACTTTGTGAGGCCAAGGTGGGAGGATTGCTTGTGCTCAGGAATTTGAGACCAGCCTGAGCAACATGGCAAAACCCTGTTTCTATAAAAAATACAAAAATTAGCTGGGTATAGTGGTGTGTGCCTGTGGTCCCAGCTACTCTGGAGGCTGAGCTGGGATGATTGATTGAACCTGGGAGGCGGAGGTTGCAATGAGCCATGATCGGACCACTGTACTCCAGCCTGGGTGACAGACCCTATCTCATGAAAAAAAAAAATCATTAAACGTGCATTTAGAGGAGGGCCTTGGTGGGTACCTTGGAGGGTACCAACATGGAAGCAGGAGCCCCTGCCCTCCTCCTCCAGCCTCAGCTCACATGCCCTTCACCACACAGGGAAGCCCTGCAGTGACCCATGCCTCCTTCCAGCAGGCAGCGGGTAGAGACCTGAACTCCGGGGGCTCCCTTCTACCTCCAGTGCTTATCCAGGTTCCCTGGGGGCTCCCATCCCATTTCAGTGGGGATCCTATCAAGCCCCTGATAGGCGGGTGCCCCAGGCAGTGACCTTGAAGGCCCCAGGCCCCATTTGCCCATTTCCACACCCACACTTGGAGCACGGCCCTTGGCTGCACCGCTCCTGCCTGAGAATCTGCCTGCTTCACTGGACTGTGGACTTCTCTGCTCTGCAGAGAGGAGTCTTATACAGGGGAAGAAACTTGGCCCAGGCTTCTCATTCCGGGAAGCACTAGGGGGAAAGCTAGAGTTTTCCAAGGCACCAGCGTAAAGGGCAGGATTTCCTTCACCCCTCCTGGTGCCCCTGGCTGGAGGCTTCAGGAGGCACCCCTGGCCTGGCCTCCCTGGGACGCGCTTTCAGGCACTCTGCTTTCTTTTGAGATTAGGAGACACTTAGAGGTGATGTGTCCACCTTTCCCCTGCTCTATGATGGGGTGCTCTGGGCTTCGGGGAGGACAGCAGTGTTATGGGGGTCTGCCAGGTGCCGGCCCAGGGCCAGCAGGAAGGTGACAGGCCCACAGGAGGCCAGAAGACAATGGTCAGAACCCCCAGTAGGACCCTGGGGGAAACAAGAGCACCCCCTCCTTCTGAGTGTCCTAACCACTATTATGGGATGTTGGTTGTTCCAGCGATGGAGGGAGCAGAATGCAGAGAGGGCAGCCCCAGGTCCGTGGCCTATCACACCCCAGGTCAAACCATCCGAAGCCAAATGCTGCTTCCCTGGGGCTCCAGGTTTACATGTGGGGTCCCGGACCCGCTGATAGAGGCAGCCATAAAAAAACAAAAAGGCAGCCAGGTGCGGTGGCTCATTCCTGTAATCCCAGCACTTTGGGAGGCCGAGGCTGGCAGATCACGAGGTCAGGAGTTCGAGACCAGCCTGGCCAACATGGAGAAACCCCATCTCTACTAAAAACACAAAAATTAGCCGGGCGTGGTGGTGCACGCCTGGAATCTCAGCTACTGGGGAGGCTGAGGCTGGAGAATTGCTTGAACCTGGGAGGCAGAGGTTGCAGTGAGCCGAGATCGTGCCATTGCACTCCAGCCTGGGTGACAGAGCGAGACTCTGTCCAAAAAAAAAAAAAAAAAAAAAAGAAATAACAAAAAGGCAATTCAACACAAACACGCACTTTCACAAATGTCTATTGAAAACAAAGCCAGGTGCTCGAGTGAAGAGCTGCGCCATGGCGTGTCTGGGGAATACTTTTCCTGCATGGCTGAGCTGGGTGAGGCTTCCTAAAATGTGAGTCCTGTGACCGCAGGTGGAGACTTGTTCTCTTCATGATAAATGCCCCCACCACAAGCACAGGCACCTGTCACTGCTCTATGACCTTTAAATTGCTTCAAAATTAGGATCATTTGTCCTGAAAAAGCTATTGCCCTTTCAGAGAGTGTGAAGCTCTCAGAAAGTGTAGAAGGACACATGCTGGGTGGGGTTGGGGGCTGAGGCAGACCCCACAGTGCCGGCCTCGCATGGACTGGGACAGGTGGGGCTGTGGGTTTCTTCAGGCTGGGCCAGGAGGGGCCAGGAGGGAGAGGGGCCAGCACCCCATGGGCTGGCAGCTGCTTTAGGGGGCAGGGGAGCCTTGATGGAGGGGTCCTGTCTAAGTCCCAGTGGGAGCAACTCCGGGCTGGCTCAGAGGTGGAGGGATGTGTGACACTGCACCCGAGAGCTCCCAGGGGCCAGGCCAGATGAGTCAAACAGTGACAGCCAGGACTGCTGTGTCCTTAGGGCTCTGCGCCAAGGCTCAGAGGACCCTATCATTGTCATCGTATCATCATCATCCCGATGTCACAGATGGGGAAACTGAGGGATTCACTTACCCAATTGAAAACTACGACCAAGTGGAGCAGGTAGGACGCACACCCAGGCCCTGCTGAAGAGAGAGCCCGTGGGCTTGGCTTCAGCCCCATGGCCCTCCGGAATCTGTCATCCCCTCCAGGGGGCATTCAAGAAGTCAAGGGATGAAGCTGGGAGTTGTGGGGTCCAGTGTGAGGTGCATGGCCAGGGGACCTGCTCCACTTGGCCCAAGCAATGCCAGGCCTGCTGCCCCCACCCTGGGCTGCTGGGAGTGCCGCATCTTCTCCCGGACAGCTCATGCTCACCCTCTGAACCTTGTTTTGAGATCCTCTCCTTGGATAAGCCTCCCTGGCCCTCTAGTGAAGTTGGGGGCCACCTCCACTCCCCCAGGGGGTCTCCAGCACAGAGGAGAGTGCCCACTGAACTGTGGGATCAGCAGGTACCCGCACTGCGGCTGCCACTCTCACTCAGCAATGGAAAGAGGTCAGACCCGCCTGAGCCCCTTTCCCACCGTCCTGACCTCTCCCTGGGTCTGCTGGGGTTTCCCACAAATTGCTTCTATGGAGAGCAGCACCGTGTGGCTGCGCTCACCTGGGGCCTGAGCTAGAAAGAAGGTGCCTGCTCTGGAAACCCAGCGGTACGGAAACGTTGCAAGTCAGAGACGCAGGGCAGCAGACAGAGCAGACGGCGTCCTGAGCCCATCAGGGGCTCTGCTCAGTAAGGGAGCCTCCAGGCTTTCTCTCACCAAAGCGGCAGGATTCCTTGTCCTTTCTTCATCTCTAAATACAGTCCAGGAATTGATTGACTTCACAGCCAAATGGAGAAACAAATGAAATATGATTTCATTGTGGGATCTTTCCAGCCGCTCAATAATTTAAAACCACGCCATACGAAACCAGGAGTAAAAATAGCATGTGACTCATGGCTTGGAGCCTATCTCTCAAGCACGGGTCCACACACCTGGATTCTCGCTAAGTCAGGCCCAGCCTCACCCTCGCATGCCCATGGCTTGCCTGATGCCTCCGGGTGGGTCAGGAGGGGAAGCGCAGCCCTGGGTTACACAGGTATCTGTTCTCCCTAACACCGGATCTATGCCACAGTTCCAGCTGCCCAGTTAACTCTGAGTGGTTTGTAGACTTGGCAATGCTTTGCCATCACAGAAAACTCACAAAAGATGGTTCATTACAAGTGATGGAAGGAAGTAGAATGTATAGGCCTGATTTGGGAATATGACCCACACCGTGCAAGGCTTGGATGTGGCTGGTCTTCTGAAAGCACTTCCTCCCATTAAACTTCATTCCTGTTCAGCAGAAACAGACGAGGACCGTCAGGAACACCTGGGAAGGAACGAGAATGGAAGAGCAGAGCAAGGGGCAAGGTCTGAGATGAGGTGCCGCCTCTATTCAGCACCTACTGCATGTCAGCCTCTGTGCTGGAAGTGAGATGAAGAAGCTCAGCTAGAGCAGGCAGGTGCATGAGTCAGCCGCGCTGCGGAACAGAGGACCGCAGGCTTTGCTGAAGGGGCTTGTAAAAGGGTAGGGCATCTCTCCCAGTGCCGGAGGCCGATCTCTTCATTCTGCCTCTGCTGTCACACAGCATTCTTCTGTGAATGTTCCCCTTCTGTTCTCATAAGGACACTGGTCCTAGGATGGAGGGCCCACCTTAATCCAATACTGTCTGACTTCATCTTAACCAGTCATGTCTTTGAAGACCTGATTTCCAAATAAGATCATATTCCTGGGGGCTAAATCTTGGGGTTAGGACTTCAACATATCTTTCTGGAAGGTACAGTGCACCCCACCAGAGGGGACCACCATTATTGGACCCCACAAGGGGCATGGTCTTCCAGATCTGTGGTCTGTGGGACCTGGGAGGAAAACTGCAGGTCTGAGGGCTCCCAGTTGGGGAGAAGAAATGGAAGCCCAGAGAGACAAAGTCACATGCAGCCAGGTCCCCAGGAGGCCAGAAGCCACAGTGCTCTCCCAGCCACCTGACCCTTGGTTGACAACCACACAGGCATACAGCCCTGCAGGGAACCCAGAAGGCAGCCATCCCTGACAGTGAGAGCAGCTCTTGTCCTGGGAAGGCAGATGGGTCCTGCCAGAAGCCTGGGCCTGGCCTTGTTGGCCTCACCGGCAAGCTCAAGCTTGCCCCCCAGCTGCTGATCAAGCAAGACATCGTGTCCCTTCTTAGCAACTTTGTCACCAGGCTGTGCTTCCCAGAGCTGCTGTGTGGGCATGGAAGGGATAAGGTTTCGAAGAAGCTTAATCAGGAGCCCTTGCCTGCATAACTTACAAAGTGCTTGTTCTGTGGGCCTCCCAATCGGGTGTTCCCTTGAGGTCATGGTGCTGAGTGTTACTCAGTCTGACAGACGAGACACTGTAGGCTCACCAAGGCTAAGAAATGTGCAGTCAGCTGGGAGGGGCTGGACCCGGCTCCCTGAGATGACCAGAGCAGAGCAGTCTCCACTAGAATTTCTTCTTTGGCTATGGCCAAGCTGCTTGGAGCAGGAATTGCATGGTTTGATGATAACACTAGTGGTTTGATAATAATAAAATGACTTTAAGTAAAGGAGATCACCCTCATCCAATCTGTTGAAGGCATTAAGAGCAAAAACAGTTTCCAGTGGAGAAGATCTGCCTCAAGACTATAGCACCGACTCCTGCCTGAGTTGCCTGCCTGCCCTGCAGATTTTGAACTTGTCAGCCCCCACAATACCATGAGAACATTCCTTAAAATAGAACCCTGTTTATCTATCAGTTGCCCTTTGTACCTGTCTGCTTACCTACCTACACACTCATTCATTCATCCGTTCATCCATCCACTCCCATCCATCCATCCACCCACCATCCATCCATCTACCACCCTTCACCCATACATTCATATATCTACCCATCTATCTACCCACCCATCCACCCATCCATCTATCCATTCATCCAGTCACCCAACCATCCATCCACCCATCCATCCACCACCCATCCACCTATCCATCCATTTACCTATCTGTTCATGCACTCACCCATCCAGCCATCCATCACCCAACCATCCATCCATCCATTCACCCACCATCCACCACCCATCCACCCATCCGTCCATTTACCCATCCATTCATCCACTCACCCGTACAGCCATCCATCCACCACTCATCCACCCATGTATCCATTCAGCCATCTATCTATCACCCATTCACCCATCCATGCATCCATCTATCTACCTACCCATCCACCACTCATCCACCCATCCATTCACCACCCATCCACCCATTCATCCGTCAGTCTGTCCATCCACCCATCCATCTACCACCCATCCACCCATCCATCCGTCTACCTATCTGTTCATCCACTCACACATACGGCCATCCATCTCCCACCCATTCACCCATCTATCCACCACTGATCCACTCATCCCTCCATCCATCTGTCCATCCACCTATACATCCACCACTCGTCCACCCGTTTATCCACCACTCATCTACCCATCCATCTACCCATCCATCCACCTACCATCCATCCATCCACCCACCCATTCACCATCCATTCACCTATCCATCCTTCCACCACCCATCCACCCATCCATCCATCTGCCACCCATCCACCATCCACCCACCATCCATCTGTTTCTATCAGTACTATTTCTCTGGAGAAGCCAGACTGATATACTTTCCAAATCTATAATTCCCTGGGCTCCCTGGCACCATGACTTGAAGGCCCCTGGCTGAGCTCAGCCTGTCCTAAGCTCCTCCCAGCTCCAGAAACGGCACCTGCTGCCACCCTATTGCTCTCCCTGACTCCTGAGAACCCCTCTGGGAGACTTCTCTTCCTGCTCCATCACATTAGTCCAACCCCAGGTCCTGCCTCCAAGTCCTTCCACAGCGTAGTTAGACACAAGTGCAGGCACCTTCTCCTGCTCTCTTTGCTCCTACTCCCCCCACCCCCATTCCTTCTCCTGCAGCCAGAGGGATTTGCTAAATGAAAGCTAATTCCACTCCATCACACCCCTGCCTGCCAGGGGCCTCCCTCTCCTCCTCTGCCTGGCCAAATTCTCTTCACTCTTTAAGGATCAGCCCAGGCATCGTCTCCTCCTAGAAGTCCTCCCTGGCCCCTGGCTAAATTGTGCAAACCCCCGGTTTCCATGAGTCCTGGGACTTCCTCTTTTACAGGCTGGTCACTTGGGATTGTCATTGATTGTTTCCTTGTCTGTGTCCCTAACTAAACAGTGAGCTTTGAGTACTATGAGCTTCTCTGAGGAAAGCTGAGATTTAAAAGGGCCAAGGTAATGGGACAGGTAAAGGATGGGTCGAGAAAATCCAGGAAGGCCTGCGTGTTTTACTTGACTTTTTGATTGCAGTACCTGGAACATTAAAAATTGAATGCTTTTATCCTATCTTGTTCTAAAGAGTATATGGGGCTTCTTACAAAGGAAGCCTTACTATAGAAAGATCTTTTTAAAAGCTGGTAAGAAAACTAGAGTTAAGGAAAACTACATAGATTAGGAGGAAGTTGGGGCTGAGGTCAAGCCCTGGAATCTCTGCCGTGGGTGGTGACACAGCCCAGGGCAGCCCCTCCTTCCTCTCTGTACTGCCCAGCAGCCCCAGCAGAGAGAGGAACAGGGTCAGTTACATAATTCTCTGTGTCCACAGGATTAGAAGAATTGCTGAGAAGAAGCATGCTTCCCAACTCTGAGACTTGAAGAACCTGCCTCTCTAGGTCCTGTGGGGTGAGGCCAGTCTGGCTTCCCCCACAGCCCACAGCCAACACAGCGTGCATCTCAGAGCACTCCTTCTCCTAACCATCCCTTCCTTCCTGTCCCTTTTTGTCACTGGATGCAGAGACCAGGGGACTTACTGTGCATACAGTAGGTGATGAGCAACCATCTAAAAGGAACCTAGTTGTATAATGAAGTGGTATTTTTAACATAAAAGTTACCTATAATTTCATGGAGAAAATATGTGATCATCTACATTTCTCAGGATGCCAAGGCAAATGAGCTTTTTTTTTTTGATTTTGCTGCCCCCTGATGGCAGAGTACCCTAATTGCAGGCATACTATCAAGGATCAGAAGTCCCCTCCATCCCACCAGTGACACCCAGACTGTGAAAAGTGGGCAGACACTGCCCTCATCAAAGATCACCCAAACATCTGCCTTTGGCCAACACAAAGAGACAGACGGGAAGGGGTAGTTTCATGTAAGATCTTTAACCACCCTCCCTTCCTGATTTCTGAGGTCTTGGGTCCAGAGGCTGTGCAGGCTTATAACTGTGATCGCATTAAGCATATGAGTGTGGAGAAGGTGAGGCAGCCAGTCAGACACGCTGTAGTCTCTGTTTTTGGGTGGGTTGTTTACTTCACTCCCATTTCCCCTGCTCCCTGCTTTCTTGTAGCACCGCAGTTTTTTGTGCAGGAGCCACAACACCTACCCATGCAGTCCATGGACTTCTCAGTAAGTGAGAGTAAGTGAGCTGGACTCCACATCCAGCTCAGAAGGTTTTAATGAGTCTAAGGATGACCCCATCTCTGGAGACAGACAGGCTACATTAGTCAACATCCCTGGACACAAAGATTTGCTCCAGGAAAGGCATATGACCCAATTCGGCTCAATGGGGTGTGGTAGGTGGCTTGCTAAGAAAGGCTGGAAAGGGCATCTCCTGACCTTCAGGAGAGAGTTTGGAAGCTGCCCTCTCTCCTGCTCTGCATATTGCAGTGTGGGATGTATGCCAGGGACAGCTTGGGCAATTTTGTCTCCATGTGGGAAGTGAGCCTGAGAGTGAACCCAATTGTAAAGAAGTGGTCTCAGAGCCCCTGGATCAAGCCAGTCCTGAGGCCCACCTACCTATGGACTTCCCAGTCCATGAGCCAAGGAAGACTTTTTCATTTGAGCCACGTGGACTTGAGTACTTTATTATTTATAACACTCCACGAAGCCCCAAGTCATCAGTGTTTGTGATGTCACTGAAATGAATGCCAGTGGGCTTAAGTGTCCTTGGCATGGTCTCCCTCAAAATACCATGGCATTTGGTTTGCTTTTGGTTTAGAACACTGCAGGGGGCCCTCACCCCTCACCTGCTCCCTGGTCTGGCGGTTTGTGCTCGGGGGATTCCTGAGAGCCTCTGGCTTCCCTGACCCCTCTTCAGAGGTGGAAGGAAAGATGACACCTCTCAACTCTACTTCAGGCAAGACTCAGGAAGAAAGGTATCTCCGCCTTGTGTGAGGGAGCCTCCTTAGCATCCGCCTCGCTGAAAGATGGAGGAGAAATATGTCCAGTACCGAATGTTCCCAAGGCCCCCCATTCCTCACACAATGCAGGCTGGCAAAAAGTCTTGCAGGCCATGATCAGGACTTATTTACTAATGAAAATTGATAGTATTGTCTATGCAGCCTCCTGGGGAGGGGGCTCATACCAAATGTCCCATTTTGCAGCAAAGATAGTGAGATAATGAGCTCCTGACCATGGGGCTCACTTGTCCTTCCACACACCCCATCTCAGGACAGCTGCCGGGTGCTAGAATGACCCACCCAAGGCTCAGCCTTCTGAGCTGTGTGCTGAGGGCTGGGTCCTATTTCCCAGGACTCAGCACGTGCACCAAGCCAACAGGCAGTGCACAGGGCCTGGAAGCAAAGGGCAGAAGCTCTGTCCTTTGCAGGGACCTCCTTGTAAGCTTTGTGCTTCAGTCTTGAGCTCTGTTGCATCAGAGGTCTGGGTTCAGGGTAGGAGGGTGGCGATGTTTCTGCCAAGGGAAGGAATAAAGTCTCTGTTGAATCTGTTGAACCCGTTGAACCTGAAACTGACTATTAATGGACTACTCATCCCAATGGATGGGAACGCAATGAAGAGTTCTTCTACTGGGAGGGAGGGGGCAGAAGACTGCAAATGACCCTTATTACCACGAGAGCTGGGGGTGCGCCTTCACCATGAGAGCCTCAGCCCGGAAGCTTCACTGGGGCATTTCTAGGTTCTTCCATGCCCAGCGATAATGGTAAATAGGCAATTGCAACACTACTGACCGGCAGACACAAAGGACTCAGGGCTCGGATACCTTAGAGCTGAGGGTGTGGGTCACCAAGCCTGACTGACAGGCTGTCCAGGGTGCACGGCGGGAGTGGCTGGTGGAGGAGATGGTGGCGTCCACCATAGCCCCGGGATCACCCGCAGCCACGGGGCCGGGACTTGTCTGGCTAACCCTCCTGGAGGAGTCTGCAGAGATGGTGGGCAGCTGGTGGCCCCATGGTGGGCTGGCCTTTCTGAGGCAGTAGTGGGGGAGCCACATGGGGGTGGACTGTGGGGGCACCTGAGGGGCGGCCTTCCCATAGCCCTGGCCAGGTAGGGGAAAACAGTGGGGCAGAATTAGAATGTGACTGCACTGCTGCCTTGGCCACTTGCAGACGTCTCTCTCTGATTCTGCCCCTGGCTTCACTGACATCTGACATGGGATGGTCTTGGGGCTTCCTGGCATGCCAGCCCAGTCTTGAGAGGGAACTGGCAGCCACAGGCACAGTGACCCATGGGGCATGGGAGCCTATGAATGCACGGCCCCCTCTTCCAAGCTGCAAGTGGACAATTTTTTTTTTTTTTTGAGACAGCATCTCACTCTGTCGCTCAGGCTGGAGTGCAGTGGCGAGATCTCAACTCACCACAACCTCCGCCTCCCAGGTTAAAGCGATTCTCCTGCCTCAGCCTCCCAAATAGCTGGGACTACAGGCACCCACCACCACGCCCAGCTAATTTTTATATTTTTAGTAGAGACTGGGTTTTGCCATGTTGGCCAGGCTGATCTCGAACTCCTGATGTCAGGTGATCCACCCACCTCGGCCTCCCAAAATGCTGGGATTACAGGCGTGAGCCACCACGCCCGGCCTGCAAGTGGACAAATCTAAGCCATGTTCTGCTTGGTTCCTCTGACGATCCCAGCCATCCAGCCCCAGGTGCCCGCAGGGGAGAAGTCCATGGACAATGCCCCCGTATGGGCCGCCTCCCTCCTGGCTCCCTCTCCCCAGCCCCACTCCTGTTGCCCTGGGCCCTTTAGAAATTAACTTCCTCTTCTGGAACTGGGTCTCCAGCTCTGCTTTCCAGAGAGGGGTGTGGGTGGGGGAACCAGCTTGAGGCAGGGAAGGAGCAGGGAGCAGGAACCCAGGCTGGCGGGCAGGTACCCAGGAGCCTCGAATGCCAGGCGCAGACACTGGGCTCCTTGGGCTCTCAGCAAATGAAAGTGGCTAAGTCTTTGTGCCTGAGGTGTCTGAATAACAGCAATTGCAGACTTGACCCAGGAGAGAGAGGGAGAGACCGACAGAGACCACAGGCACCCACACATACACAACCGGAGAGAGAGAGGGAGGGAAGGAGAGAGACCCAGAGAGGAAGAAACAGGGAGACGCCGGGAAATGACAGGGGAAGAGACTGGGGTGGAAGGGAGGGAAAACAGAGTTGCTGGATGTGGAAGATCAGCCCTGCCACCCCTCCAGCCTGGGATTCTGTCTCATAGGACCTTCTGTTCACAGTTCTCCCAGGAACATTTGGGACCGGACCCTTCTGGATACCAGGGGCGGGATGGTGGCTTCATTCTGAGGATGGATGCCTGAGGGCATTGGGACTCCGTGTTCTCAGGGAGTCCTTGAAGAGAAAGGCTGAAGGGAAGGAAAAAATCAAGAGATGTTTCGCTCACATTAGCCTCCTGCCCTGAGGATTCTGAGCTCATCCCAGCTGCTGTGAGGGAGCCGTGGGACGGCATGCAGGGGTTCTTGCTGATGCTGAGTTATCTGACCTACTCTCCAAATAGCCAACTATCTGCTTTCTTGCACAGAAGGAAAGGGAAGTGGGAGGAGAGAAGACGCAGACACCAGTGGGCTCTGAACTTTCGTCAGGGAGAGGTCCCCATGTAGGTTTCTGAGCAGAAACGCCCAGGACCCGCAGGACCAGCGTCGCCATTGTCCCACTGCCACTCCCTCTCCGGCCTCACTCTTCTCGTCTTTGCAGTGGGCATGTTCACACGCAACCCGCAGGCTGGCGGTGACGGTTTCGTGGGGCGATGTGCATGAGCAGGTGCTCATGAAGCCGGCCCCGCCCACACATGCAGATGGCGCGAAGAGGGGCTCCCCCAGCTCTCTGACTCTGACAGCTCAGTTTCCTGGGAGTCCTGCACCTCCCTGCTCCCCTGATGTGTTAACTGTCCTCCAGTGCTGGGAGGCCACGCAGGCAGGCAGCTGAGAACTCCCAGCTCACCCCCAAGCTAAGTATGCTTCAAGGTCTGACCCTAATGAGGGTCCCAAGCAGTGTACCCACGGGGCACTCCTGACCTCGCCACAGAGGAATCAAAGCTGAACAGACACGAGAACCCCAGTGCACACAAACCAGATGGCACAAGGACCAGACGTCTGAGCCGTTTAGCCAGCTCCGCCGCCCGCTGGGAAAGACACTGAATTCACAGAGACCTGTTTTTAGGCCGGGCGCGGTGGTTCACACCTGTAATCCCGGCACTTTGGGAGGCTGAGGTGGGGGGATCACGAGGTCAGGAGATCAAGACCATCCTGGCTAACACGGTGAAACGCAGTCTCTATTAAAAATACAAAAAAATTAGCCAGTCGTGGTGGCGGGCGCCTGTAGTCCCAGCTACTCGGGAGGCTGAGGCAGGAGGATGGCGTGAACCTGGGAGGCAGAGCTTGCAGTGAGCCGAGATCGCACCACTGCACTCCAGCCTGGGTGACAGCAAGACTCTGTCTCAAAAAAAAAAAAAGGCCGGCGCGGTGGCTCAGGCTGGTGGATCACAAGGTCAGGAGATCGAGACCATCCTGGCTAATGTGCTGAAACCCTGTCTCTACTAAAAACACAAAAAAATTAGCCAGGCGTGGTGGCGGGCGCCTGTAGTCCCAGCTACCTGGGAGGCTGCAGCAAGAGAATAGCGTGAACCTGGGAGGTGGAGCTTGCAGTGAGCTGAGAGCATGCCACTGCACTCCAGCCTGGGCAACTGAGCAAGACTCCATCTCAAAAAAAAAAAAAAAAAAAAGACCTGTTTTTAAGAAGTGATGAAATTACCTTTTATTTTTGCAGGGGTGGGTGAGTAAATGAATGGATGCACAGGATAAAACTCAGAATGGTGAGAACCCAAACAAGGTAACTGTTACTGTATATAAAAGTTTAAAAAATAATAGTACTGAAACAACACCACCACTAGATAAGCACCCTCCTATGCTGGGCACACAGCATTCCCTTATGCTACCTAGAAGCCCTCACTGAGCCTGCACCACCATCGCCCTTGCACAGATGAGGAAACCGAGGCTGACTCAGCAGAGGGGAGTTCCCAGGGTCATGGAACCGGAGGTGGCAGTGCCAGGACTGAAGACCAGGCCCGCAGTGCACTGTGAAGTCACACAGTAGGTTGAAGTTGTTCTGCCAGGGTGAGTCTGGATTCTGGAATGTTCGTCCACTACACCAGGGTCAGTGCCTGCCCACTTGTGCCCTTCCTCCTGGGAAATCACTCCCCATAGCTTATTAACCCCCAGGGGGAACTGAAGGTACCTGCTGCTGCCCATGGCCAAGGTGGCCACACCTGCCCCTCGGGGCTGGAGGCCAGGAGCAGAGGCGCCAGCCAGCCTGGCAGAAGGGACTCTGGGGGCAGGGCCAGAGGCGATGAAGAGTGGCCATCACAGCCCAAGGCTTAGCCATGCCCTGCCTCCCCTCTCTCCCGCCTTTCTCAGGGTCTCTGGGGCCCCCTCCTGGCTGTGGCCTCCCCCGGGCTGGGTTTCCTGGTGGCCCTCTGGAGTGCAAGAGACCTGGACTGGGCCGACTGGACCGTCCCACACCCTGACCAACTGTGAGACCCAGGTGTTTCCTGAGCCCTCGCTGCTCCTCCTCCATAAAAGGGAGCTGGCACTGGCCTTGCAGGGCTAGCGAGGGGCAGAATGGCATAGGAGAAGGGACTTCAGGGAGATGTGCAATAAGCATCTTCAGGCCAGGAGCTGGAGGTTTTAGATCGATCGATGGATTGATTTGGTAAAGTCTGGAACTTGGGTGAAAAGGCAGACTAGGCTGCATTCACTCAATGGCTTCTTGCTGCCAATTAAAACTGTAAGTGTGCAGGGTGACTGTCGTTCCTACAGTTACGTGTGTGGCATCTCCAGTAAAGATGAACCTGACTAGGAATCACTTATTTTTCTGGCTAGGCTTATGCCTCGCATGTGTCACAACGTTAACAGAGTTATTTGTATATTTGGCCCACCAGTTAAAGAACCTCCTACAGATGTTACTCCCACTTTCTTGACAACAGGGGTGCTCAGTACTTTACGCCAAGCTGATTTTGAGGCCCATAACATTCTCAGGGAGTCTGGGTATGCTGGGAAAATCAGCCAGATGCCGGTGATTTTGACACCATTACATTTTGATAGGGACCCACTTCAAAAGCAGCCTTCATGCCAGAGATCTGTGGTTATTCGAACCTTTATTACTAGTGACTCCCTGACTGGTATACCTGCAACACCTGGCAATGAGATCCCTGTAGAGGTGGTATTAAAGATGGTCACTGAGATTAAGAAGATTCCTGGTATTTCTCGAATTATGTATGACTTAACATCAAAGCCCCCAGGAACTACTGAGTGGGAGTAATAAACTTCTTGTTCTATTAAAAAAAAAAAAAAAAACAGAAAGAAAAGAAAAGGCAGACTAGGAAAACTGAGGACTCCAGGAGTCAGAGGTGGGCAGGAGAGGAGACAGCGGCACAGGGCCACCACAAGTTTGTGTCATCCGGTCCACCCTGACCCACTTCACAGCTGGGGACACCCAGGCTCAGAGAGGTTGAGTGCTCTGCCCAAGGTCACACAGCCAGCTTTTGGTAGAGCCAGGAACACCAAGGTGAAGTACATTCTAATCCCAGTGTCTTTAGTGAATTGGACGGACCAAGGGGGACTGCCAGAGCATTTTATCAGATCACTGTCATCCTTGTCTTTTCAGAAAGTCAGGCTCTGTTTATTATTTGCTCTCTCAAGGTACAAACAGACCTGGGACCTTCCTGTGTTTTCTTATCCAGAAGAGACACTGCCTTTCCGGGGGCCATAGGGGAAGGGAGTGGACGCTAATGCACCGACAGCTACACGACAAAGGCCTGACGCCAGAGCAACCCTCAAGTGACTGAGTGTCCTTGGCACTTCACCTGCGTGATCTCCTCCCAACAGAGCCGGAGGCTGCTACCTGCATTTCACAGGTGAGAAAACCAAGGCACACGAGGCCATGCCCTCCCCAGTAGCCAGCAAATGGCAGAGTAGAAGCACAGACCGTAAGTCTGCTTGGCACACAGCACAGTCACAGCTGGAATCATGAACCTCACCTTGCCTTCCTTCGTTTAATCACAAACGGTGCTTCCGTGTGGGCTGGGGAGGAAGAGAGGTTGAATCCTGTATTTTTAGTGGCTTAAAACAGCATTTATTTTTGCAGTTTCTGTGGGTCAGGAATCAGGTGCCTCTGGCTGAAGGCCACTCATGAGGTTGCAGTCAGCGCTGGCAGGGTCTGTGGTCTCATCTGAAAGTTCACTGGGGGAGGATCCACCTCTGAACCTGCTCATGCATGAGCCTCATTTGTGAGATGAACAAACTGAGTCTTAGAGAGGTTAAGGGTCTCACTCCAGAAAATACAGCTGGAAGGATCAGGGCCAGGTGAATTCATCAGCCTGTGCGGAGACGGGCTCCAGGTGGATGCAGCTCCTGGGGCTTCCCAGGGCATGGAACCCACTGTCTTCTGTCTTTGCTGGCAGCTGCCACCGTGGGCACCCACAGCACACTCCTCAGACATCCATCCACAAATCCCAGCCAGGCCAGGCCTTTCTGTAATCCCGTCCTGACTTCATAGATGTCTCCGAGGCTCAGGTGGGGCAGCTGCCCAGGGTCACACACTGGGGGTTTGGTGGAGGTGGGATGCAAACCAGGTCTTCTGGCCGAAAGCCCCTGTTCTTGCTCCATCAAACAGCTTCCTGTGTCCAGTGGCAGAGACACCTGAGCCCCAGTGCAGGGCCTCACCTTGATACAATCAACTCGTGACCTGGTCATCACAAGCATGGTGCCACAGGCATGGCCGAAGACACCCCCAGGGAGGCAAGTATGATGGTGGAGTCCAGGCTGAGGGGCCAGAGTGCCTGGGCCGTCCCCACGTTCATCCCACTCCCCAGCAGGAGATGTTGGGAGCTCCCCACCCCTGCATCATCTCTCAGCTCGTCACTCTAAAGAGTGAAGCCAGAAGCTCCCACCTCACAGGCTACACTGGTGATCAGATGGGGCAGCCCAGTGGAGCGGTAGCTGAGTCAGCACATGCAGGATACATGCACGGGACACTGTCCCTCCACTGCAGAGATCCATGCACGTTCTCTGCCGTTCAGTGCAGTACTACTGTATGCCTAAGGGCTGGGGATCTCACAACTGGAGAGAGCCAGATGAAGCCCAGCCCACCACTTCCTGGGCAAGCCATGCCCCTCTCCCATCCATGGAAGGGGTTGGTTTAGGAACGTGCACTCAGGGTGCTCCCACTGAGGGGAAGCACAGGAGGGTCTCAGCCTAGCGCCTGTCCAAGACCAGAGCTCAATCCTGGGTGCTGCTGTTGTTCTTCTGATTTTCCGCTAGAGGACAGCGGCGGGTCAGGGCCGTCCTCTCCAGGCTGACACTAACTGGGCCTGTAAATGTCAGGGGAGCTGTAGAGGTTGGTGCTCTGTCTACACACGAGGAGGGACTTGCTCAAAGCTACCAGGGAGAGCTGCCCCCGGCTCCCAGGACCCATCACACGCTTGTTCACAATGGGCACTTGTGGAGAGACACACCACAGACAGGTATTGCAAACTTGTCGGGGGAGCCTAAAGGACTGCAAACTTGTGGGAGGAGTCGGGGCCCCCGTGTCAGGGGCTGCTGAAGACTGAGGCCCTAGGAGCCCCCTGTGCAAGGTGTGCTGTCCTTGGGCTGGGCCAGGGACTCTGGGCCCCTGAAGAGGGACACCTCTTTTGTCTATAAACTTTCTCAGAAACACCATCCTCCATACACTTGCACCAACAAATGGCTTTTATTATCACACTAATGACATTTCTTCTGATTGCAAAAATAATCATCTTCTGATTTTAAAAGTAATGCACATGAAAAATACAGAAAGAGGATAATGAACATTTATTCACTCCAACCTGTCACTCTGATGACCACAGCAAATGTTTCCACATTCTTCTGTCCAACTTTTTTCTTCTTAAGAGCATTTTTAGAAGCACGATGTTTTGAGATCTCGCCTGCCTGGGGGAATACATTGAGACTGTCTCCCACGCAGTCACTGTTCTACTGGAACATTGCCAGTCACTCTCAGTGGCTCCTGACTCCCTGCTGGGCTGGGCAGACCCCTGGTGTCAGGGACCAAGCTGGCTTTGGGGAGGGTGGGTCCCGGGGAGGGGTGAGGTCCAGCTCCTGTTGCCAGGTCAGAAGGGCGCAGTTCAGGTCCTGTGTGGCCTCAGTGTTACCCACCCCACTGGCCTCAGCCGTTCATTTGTGAAGCTGGGATTCCCCCACTCAGGGGGTCCAACTGTCCCTGCTCTGCCAGAGCACCCACCTTTCCTTTGCCTCTCTCTGTGTCTTGCTCTGGCCTCAGGGTATACTGCTTATCCCAGAGAGAAACAACGGAACCAGCCACTGGCTGCTGCGGGGCCTCTGCTTCTGCTGCTTGGGGTCTGGGTCCAGCAGTGTCCATCGTTATGTGGGATCTTCCAGCCTATCGTGGGCGGCCTCCACGCAGGGGGCCATGCCTGCCCTTCAAGGCCACCTTTCACCCTTCACTCCCTCACTCGCCCTGCGAACCCCTCCTAGCTGTGGGAGACTCGCCTCACGGGGACCCTGTCAAATCTCCATCCCTTTTAGGGTAGCAGGGTGGCCTGGCCGGCACTTTTAGGATCAAGACTGACCAAAAGAAGGTGAATTGGCTTTATTTATTTCTAGAAAAGTCTTATAGAGTAAGACAATACATAGGTAAGTCGTGTTTCTCTCTCTCTCTCTTTTTTTTTTTGTTTGTTTGTTTTAGACAGAGTATCACTCTGTCGCCCAGGCTGGAGTGCAGTGGTGCAATCTCAGCTCACTGCAACCTCCGCCTCCCGGGTTCAAGCGATTCTCCTGCCTCAGCCTCCCAAGTAGCTGGGACTACAGGTGCATACCACCACACCCAGCTAATTTTTGTATTTTTAGTAGAGACGGGGTTTCACCATGTTGGCCAGGATTGTCTGGATCTCTTGACCTTATGATCTGTCCATCTTGGCCTCCCAAAGTGCTGGGATTACAGGCGTGAGCCACCGCGTCCAGCCATGTGTTCTTAAATGAATTCTGGCTCCATAGTGCCAGTTCCCAAGGCACAAGGAATTATGCATATTTTTGTTTGTTTGTTTGTTTTAGAGACAGGGTCCCACTCTGTTGCCCAGGCTGGAGTGCAGTGGCACCATCATAGCCCACTGCAGCCTCTACCTCCTGGACTTAAGGGAGCCTCCCACCTCAGTCTCCCAACTAGCTGGGACTGCAGGTGTGTGCCACCATGCCCGGCTAATTTTTCGTAGAGACAAGGTCTCACTACATTGCTCAGGCTGGTCTCAAACTCTTGGGCTCAAGCAATCCTCTTCCCTCAGCCTCCCAAAGTGCTGGGATTACAGGCGTGAGCCACCGTGCCTGGCCTCACACACATCTTGTACACATCAGTGAAGCCCCTTCTCATGTGAATTCTGAGTCCACCATCTTAGAATAAAAGGAGGCGGCAGGGAGGCTGCCACAGTGTGGACGCTCCTGTCGTTAGGGAGTTCTTGACAATGAGAAGGGAGCAGAGGTGTCTTGCTCCAGCTCTCACACAATCCCGGCCTCCCTCAGCCTGCCGGAGCTGTGGGGGTGTCGGTGGAGAAGGAAAATGCCTCCCCACAGTCTGGCAGGTGGGGAGGTGCCTGCTCGGTAACTCAGCCCCATGCCCTCGCTGGAAGGTGCACAGAGCATGCCCAGCTAAGCCCTTCCAGATGCAGATGGGGAGACTGAGGCTGGGATTTTAAATGCAGCCTCTTGACACAGCTCAGCCCCGGGAGGGGACCTGACGGGCTGGGGAGAGCAGAGGTCAGAACCTCTAGCACAGAAGAGCTCCAAGTCTCTGCAACTTTAGCCATGGGAGGTGCCTGGGTGCAGACCCAGCTTGGGGCTTCCAGAGTAAGAATGTGTCCAAGCTGCTGGGCTGCGCAGACCCGGTCTCTGCCCTTGGAAATGGGGAAGGCTGCACAGACCTCACTAAGGGGTGGGGGGCGGGGGTGACACCCAAGTCAGAGGCACAAAGAGAAGCACCCAGAGAAGCCCCTGGTCCCCGCCAGGCTCCTGACCTGCAGAGGGTCCATGGTAGAGAGTGGCCTGGGACTAATCTCTTCTCAGCCCCAGGGCCTGGCCTCCCTGGTCTAGTGGCCAGGGCACACACCTGTGGCCACCAGGAGCTTGCGGCCCTCCAGGAATTCCAGGGCTCTGGCCAGGTTCCTGAGGATGGAGCCGCTGGAGGCTCAGTCACAGCTCAGCTCCGGCAGGGTGTCAGTCAGCAGGGACCTCCGTGTGGCTGTGGGGTCAGAGAGCTCACCCCATGAACAGCGGACTCTTAGCGCCTGCTGTGGGCAGGCTGAAAGTGTCGCCCCATGTGGCCAGGCTTCCTGGGTTTTCAAGAACAGCAGGATGTCTGGCTTTCGGGGGAATCTCCACCAGCTTTATTGCTGGAAACACACTGGGAAGTCTTTAAATCTCACCCCAGCGCACTGAGGGCCACTGACAAGGGTGATGCTCGGGCAATGTGAGCTCCCAAGGTGGGGCCTGTCCGAAATCCCTGGTCCTGGAGCAGTGCCCAGTGAATGTGGGGGAAGGAAGCCTCTAGTGGGAGGGACAGGGCAGAGACCCAGTGACTATTGTTACCAGATTGCAACGAGCAGGGCATTATAGAGGTAAATTTGGTGTTTTCCTAATTAAAAGCAAAGAAAAATGTCAAACAATTCACACCTCATTCATTCATTCACATAGATAACAAGAAATGCTTGGGAAGTTCCTGCCCAGCCCCGAGGACCAGCTCAGGCCCCAAGTCCAGCACTTTCCCCGTCCCCACTGAGTCACAGCGTAAGTCACCTGACAGGGCTGGGTCAGGATCACCTGGGTGCCCGATAAAAATACACATCAGGGGTGTGTGTGTGTGTGCATGAATGTACATATGTCTCTGTGTGTGTGAGAGTGTATATATGTGTACATATGTGAGTGCACCTGTGTATATGTGCATGTGTGTATGTATGTGCACACATGTGTATGTGCATATGTGTATATATGTGTATCTGTGTGCATGTATGTGTATGCATGTGTGCATGTGTGTGTATATATGTGAATGCACCCGCATGTATGTGTATGTGTGTAGGTATGTGCACATGTGTGTATGTGTATATGTGTGTGCATGCATGTATGTGTATGTATATGTGCACATGTATCTGTGTGTCCATGTGTCTGTGTGCACATGTGTATGTGTATATATGTGTGTGAGTGCACTTGTGTTTATGTGTATGTGTGTGCTTGTATGTGTATGCATGTGTGCATGTGTCTCTGTGTGTACATATGTCTCTGTGTGTATGTGTATACGTGTGTGTGTGAGTGCACCTGTGTGTATGTGTATATGGGTATATGTATGTGCACACGTGTGTGTATGTGTGCATATGTGTGTGCGTGCATGTATGTGTATGCATGTGCGCACATGTGTGTCTGTGTGTGTGTGTCTCTGTGTGTAGGTCATTGTTTTAAGCCCTGAATGTTGATTAACTCGTTTATTCCTCATAAATACCCGATGAAGTAGGCCAACTACCTATTGTTCTTCCAGCACAAACACCAGGAAAGGGAGGCACAGAGAGGTTAAGAAACTTGCCCTGTGTCACACAGCCAGTCACAAAGGCGGTGCCCAGCTCCTGGGGGTTCAGGGTGCCTGTGTCTGTCAAGGCCCCTGGTGAGCATCTGAAGGTAAGAGTGCTGTTTGGAACAGAGGTTCCCAGAGTCACCTGATGACAAGCATCGCTTAGGAGCTTGTTAAAAATCCAGATTTCTGGGCCCCACTCTGGGAGATCCTGATACAGGGGGTCCCGAGTCAAGAATCTGAATCTTTAAGGACATCCCAGGTGACTCTATCTTGAGCGAGTTTGGGGACCAGTCCCTCTGGGCACCACATGAGAGGTCCTGCCCATCTTTGCTGGCCTTGCACTGGGCCCTATGGCACAAAATAGGTGCTCAGTAAATGTTTACTGGACTCCCAGCTAGCTGCCGTGACGGCCCAGCTGCAGAAACCGGCTTGGGTGAGACTGGTTCTCCTCATCCCAGCAGAGCAGGGCCTGGAATCTGTTCCTAGGGCCCAGCCTCTCTCCTCTCTGAGCAGGGAACAGGGAGGTGGTCTGAAACCCCCAAAGCCCTGGGCAGACTGGACCGGCCCAGGAGCGCCTCAGCCAAGCTCCCTGCGGTGGCTCCTCCCCACCCTGCTTGGGAATTCTGGCCCAGGAGAGCTAACAGTTCTGACAGCTGATAAGGAGGAGGAAGGTCAGGGAGGAGAAAGCCCTTCCCAGGGTGGGGTGGGGCAGGCAGGCCACAGCAGCACAGCCAATGACCCAGGCCGG
Source organism: Homo sapiens (assembly GCF_000001405.40). Lineage (NCBI taxonomy): Eukaryota > Metazoa > Chordata > Mammalia > Primates > Hominidae > Homo > Homo sapiens. The sequence continues at coordinate 8,182,033 of NC_000004.12, forward strand.
CCGCCCAGGTCATCTGATTGGAGCCCAGAGGCCAGGCTCACTAAAAATGTGCACCTTCTTGCCTGGACAGGGTGCTGGGCTGTGTGGCTGTCCTGAGGAACTGTGATAGCAACAGCTGTGGCCCTGCAGCAGGTGGTGGGCCCGGGATCCAGCCTCCCCTCTTCCCTTCCCTGGCAGGGTAAGTTCCAGAGCATTTTGCTGGGTCTGCGCTTGGAAAGCCCTCCCTGCCGAGGCTAAAGCCCTCAGCCCCATGCTCAGTGTCACCTGTCGAGACAGGTGAGGCCGGAGAGGGTTTTCATGGGGAGGGTGCACCCAAAACTCGAAACTCACCTGGCCAGAAGCAGCAGGGCGGGTGCTGCCTCGAATGGGGTTTCAGGCGAAGGGCCAGCCTGGTGTTCCCATGTATGAGAAATGGGCCAATAGCCTGATGGGTGGAGCTGGATGCTGTCAGGGTGGCAGGATGAGGTGGGAGTGCTGTCTCCCCAGGATCCCGACGACTGGGCGGGCAGGGTGCCTGGTGGAAAGGTGAGGTGCCAAGAGGCTGTGGCCAGGGGTTCTGATCCCAGCTTGCCACTGAGTGATTCCACCCTCCGTGCCTCAGTTTCCCCATCTGTAAGATGAGGCATTGGTGTTGGTGCCCAGGGCAGTGTCCGCATGTGGCCAGCAGCCATAGTTGATGGAAACAGTGCAATGCTGGTGACCCTGGAGGACGCAGGAGCCCTGGGCGGGCCCAGAGTCAGTCTTCCCCTGCACCCTGTGTCTTTCATGCTGCCCCTGCCCTCCTGCTACACCAGTGCCAGGGGTCTCAGAGGGGTTCCAGTGGCTCTCTGCATCTCCGAAGCCTCAGTCCCCCTCATGGGGCCAGGGTTCCCACCTGCCACTGGGGATGAGACCGCCTTCTCTCAGGGCTGGACTTGGGAGTGGGTTTTGAAGGAGGCAGGGACTGGACGCAGAGGCTGTTGGGGCAGTGGGGAGGCGCAGGGGCCTGACCCAGAGGAGGGCAGAGGAGAGGCTGCCCTGGGGGTGAGGGGGATCCATGGCCCCTGGCAAGGGGTGGGGCCTCTGTGAGCCTCAGTTTCTCAGCATGCCATCCGCCTGGCGACCTTGCCTCCCTCTCCCGCTGGGGCTATAGAATGGTCTGGAGCCCTCTGTGGCAGCAGCAGCCCCAGGCGAGTTCTGTTCACTACGAAGGAGCCCGTCCTCATCCTCCCCCTCGTTTACAGAGGAAGGCCGGCGCTCAAGGTGGCAGGACTGGCTGAGGACCACGGCAGGTCACGCCTGGGGCTAGGATGCCCTTCCAAAGCCCTGCCTCGGTTTCCTGGTGCTGTGGGAACAATGACCAGAAACCGGCCCTGCCCCACGCATCTCTGTGATTAACTCACTCCCTGTACAGTAGAGGGAGGCGTGGCCCAGGGAGGCTCCCGGGCTGGCCTGAGGCCCATGGCAAGCAGCCCCACCCAAGCAGGCGGCTCCAGGCTTGGCTGGGATCCCGCAGTGACGCTTGGGTGTCTTTGGGCCTTAAAAGTTCATCAAACTTGTTCCACCCTACAGGGACTTTTTGTTTGTTTTTCTTTTAATAGACTGAATTCTTTGGAATCCTCTTAGATTTACAAAACAGTCAGGAAGACAGTTCAGAGAGTTCTCGTAAAACCCCACCCAGCGGCCTCTATGATTAGCATCTCACCTTGGTATGGTACATTTGTCATAACTAATGAGCCAATACCACCAATGCCTGATTACCAGCTGCAGCCCACACCTGACTCAGATTTCCTTCGTCTTTACCTAACGCCTTCGCCTGCCCCGGGATCCCACCCAGGACCCCACTTTGTATTTAGTCCTCCTATGCAAGTCCATGGTGGTGGGCATTCACCACCATGCCCAACTAATTTTTGTATTTTTAGTAGATACGGGGTTTCACCATGTTGGCCAGGCTGGTCTCGAACTCCTGACCTCATGATCCGCCCACCTCAGCCTCCCAAAGTGCTGTATTACAGGCATGAGCCACTGCGCCTGGCCGTGTGTCTTTTCTTTTAGGCCCTCTCAGCTGACAGAGCATGAAGGCATATATGTGTACACCAACCATGTATATATGCATGTCTCTAAGTATGCCTAGATGCAATATCTGTATCTCTATTAGGTTAAATGTGAGTTCATACTGACGTCTCCAACTCAAATCCATTATTACTAAGTGGATTCCAGCTCTGCCCCACCAGCAATCTGTAACCGCCCACTCCAACATTGAGACACCTGGCTTTCACCATTAGCCATCCATTGACTTAACAGTTCTGTTCCAGTCTACATGTACGGAAGTATCAGAATGGCTGACCCATACCCCTGTGGGAGGCAACTTTATTCATTAATTTTTTGAGACAGGCTGTTGCTCTGTGCCCCGGCTGGAGTGCAGTGGTGTGAGCATGGCTCACTGCAGCCTCGACCTCCCTGGCTCAAATA